>NC_000016.10:53047348-53350378 GCF_000001405.40 Homo sapiens
AGTGAGCCCTGGATGCCATAAGAAAATACAACAGACTGGGTGGCTTACACAAGACATCTATTTCCTCACAGCTCTGGAGGCTAGAAGTTCATGAGCAAGGTGCCTGCAAAGTTCAGGTTCTGGTGTGGGCTCCCTTCCTGGCTTGTAGATGGCCCCCTTCTCACTGTGTCCTCACATGGCCTTTTCTCAGTGCTTTTGGAAAGAGAAAGCTCTGATATCCCTTCCTCTTCTTATAAGGATACCAGTTCTATCAGATTTCAGCCCCATCCTTACGACGTCATTTAACCTTAATTGCCTCCATAAAGTCTCTATCTCCAAATATAGTCACATTGGAGTTCAGGGTTTCAACATATAAATTTGGAGGTAGGGCCGGGTGTGGTGGCTCACACTTGTAATCTCAGCAGTTTGGGAGGCCGAGGTGGGTGGATCACTTGAGGTCAGGAGTTCAAGACCAGTCTGGTCAACAGGGTGAAACCCCATCTCTACTAAAAATACACAAATTAGCCAGGTGTGGTGGTGTGCACCTGTAGTCCTGCCTACTCGGGAGGCAGAAGTGGGAGGATCACTTGAGCCTAGGGGAGTCCAGGCTGTAGTGAGCTATGATTGTGCCATGGCACTCCAGCCTGGGTGACAGAGACACTGTCAAAAAAAAAGAAGGGAAGGAAGGGAGGGAGGGAAGGGAAGGAAAGGGAAGGGAGGGAGGGAGGGAGGAAAGGAAGGAAGGAAGGAAGGAAAGAAAAAAAATCAAATTTACTGTTTATTAAGAAAATTTGGTCTGGGTGCAGTGGCTCATGCCTGTAATCCCAGCACTGTGGGAGGCTGAGGCAGGCAAGTCACTTGAACCCAGGGGTTCGAGACCAGCCTGGTCAAAATGGTGAAACCCCATCTCTACAAAAAACAGACAAAAATTAGCTGGGTGTGGTGGCATGTGCCTGCAGTCCCAGCTACTACAGTGGCTGCAGTGGGAGGTCACTGGAATCTGGGAGGTGGAAGAGTTAGAGATTGCAGTGTGCCAAGATTGTGCCACTGCACTCCAGCCTGGGCTAAAGAGTGAGACCCTGTCTCCAAAACAAAAAAGGAAAGAAAATAAAATAAAAATTTTTAAAGATCAAACAACAAAAATAAATAAAAACCACTTGCCAGGACCCTAGGGGGGCTTATTTGCCATCTAGTCCTAGTACTCGAGATCATTTAAAATTCTCTCTCTCCTGCTTCTCACTCACTTACTCATTCAAACAAACAAACAAAAAGCGCTTGCCACTCATTTAGCTCAACAGCTCTTTATTGAACCACAAGGTACAAAGTTCCATTTTGGGTGCTGTGCAGTTTACAGAACTTTAATCGCAATTAAGGAGGCCTGAGCCTACAGGCCAAGAGGGCTTGTGTGCACAGGGTCACCTAACAGCTATGACTATAGGTCAGGAGAGTGGCCAACCCAAGGCACCCTGCAGAAGGGAAGCTGGGGACATAAGCACCCAACCTCACTCTCCTCCCTGCCTCTGGTCTCTCCCAGGTATACAACTGGCCAAACCCAGCTTGAAACTAGTAGGTATATAAGCCTTTGGTGTTGCCCATTTAAGTCAGGCTCCAAACACACAGAGCAGGATGGAGAGTGGATACAGAAGACATGTAGCACCACCCACATGGATCGGACTCTTGGTTTTTTATTTATTTGTTTATATTATTTTTTAATAGAGATGGGGTCGCACTATGTTACCCAGGCTGCTCTCGAACTCCTGGGCTCAAGAGATCTTCCTGCCTCAGCCTCCCAAAGTGCTGGGATTACAGGCATGAGCCACTGGGCCCGGCCAGTTTGTTTTTTGAAATCAGGTCTCACTCTGTTGCCTGGATGGAGTGCAGTGGAGCGATCATGCATGGCTCACTGCAGCCTCAACCTTCTGGGCTCAAGCCATCCTCCTGCCTCAGCCTCCTCAGTGGCTAGAACTACAGGCGTGTGCCACCACCCCCAGCTGTTGTGTGTGTGTGTGTGTGTGTGTGTGTGTGTGTGTGTAAACAGGGGTCTCACTATGTTGCCTAGGCTGGTCTCGAACTCCTGGCATCAAGTGATCCTCCTGCCTCGGTCTCCCAAAGTGTTGGGATTACAGACATGAGCCACCGCACCTGGAGGATCTTACTCCTGATTCAGGGGCATAGAATCTGCTGGAGGAGGCCACATTCTTGCAGCAAATTATACTATTTAGCAGCATCAATAAGTCCTTTAATATGGAAGATGTCACACTGGAAATAGGGGACAGGGGAGGGCTTCCTAGAGCAGGCCACATTTGAGCTGGACCTAGAAGGATGCGCAGAATATCAGCTAGTAAAAGAGGGAAGGACACAGTTGCCAAAATGAGCAAATATAAAATCCCTTCCCAAGAGTACAATTTAATTCACCAGTCATTGATGGGAAGGCAGGTAGTGGTCATGGTTAAAAGCAGTTTCAGCATGAGAGGAGCCTGGGTTTGAATACCACCTCTAGAGTGTACATGCTGTATGCCCTTCAGCAAGTTGCTTAACATTTTTGACTCAGTTTCCTAATCTGTAAGATGTAATTAATAATAACTGCTTCCTGCGACCGGGCACGGTGGCTCACGTCTGTAATCCCAGCACTTTCGGAGGCCGAGGTGGGCGGATCACTTGACGTCAGGAGTTCGAGACCAGCCTGGACAACATGGTGAAACCCTGTCTCTACTAAAAATACAAAAATTAGCCAGTCGTGGTGGTAGGTGCCTGTAGTCCCAGCTACTTGGTAGGCTGAGGCAGGAGAATCGCTTGAACTGGGAGGCAGAGGTTGCAGTGAGCTGAGATTGCTCCACCCTACTCCAGCCTGGGTAGGAGTAGTATTATCTCAAAATAATAATAATAACTGCTTCCTGGGCTGTGCATGGTGGCTCACACCAGGAATCCCAGCACTTTGGGAAGCCAAGGTAGGTGGATGGCTTGAGCTCAGGAGTTTGAGACCAGCCTGAGCAACATGGTGAGATTCTGTCTCTACCAAAAATATAAAAAATTAGCCAGACATGATGGCACACACCTGTGGTCCCAGCTACTTGGGAGGCTGAGGTGGCAGAATCACTTGAGCCTGGGAGGTGGAGGTTGCAGTGAACCAAGATCACACCACTGCACTCCAACCTGAGTGACAGAATGAGACCCCGTCTCAAAAAAAATAAAATAAAATAATTGCTTCCTGGGATTTTTGGAAAGAGTCAATGAGACAGAATCAGTTCATCTGCTATTACACTTCATAACACCTGACAGGGTTTGCAGGTACAATCCAGGACCAGAATGTGACCAGTCTTATTCCTACCAATCATAGACACACTGTGACCTCAAGAGTTAAGTTGCCAGTCAGTCCACAAGCCAGCCTTACAAGACCAAGTGTCCTTCTGGGACGGGTACCCAGGCCCTTTCCCTTTGGTCTCTTTGGCATTTCTCCCTCTTTCCTTCTCTACGCCTTCTGCTGGGGACCTGACACCATCTTGCCCATGACTCCAGTGCCACCATTTCTAGCTCCATCCACTTTAGACCACAGAGGATCCTCACCCTCTTTTTTTTTTGAGACGGAGTCTCGCTCTGTCTCCCAGGCTGGAGTGCAGTCGTGCGATCTTGGCTTACTGCAAGCTCCGCCTCTCGGGTTCACGCCATTCTCCTGCCTCAGCCTCCTGAGTAGCTGGGACTACAGGCGCCCACCACCATGCCCAGCTAATTTTTTGTATTTTTAGTAGAGACAGGGTTTCACCGTGTTAGCCAGGATGGTCTTGATCTCCTGACCTCGTGATCCGCCTGCCTCGGCCTCCCAAAGTACTGGGATTATAGGTGTGAGCCACTGCCTCTGGCCTGATCCTCACCCTCTTTAATGGAGACTCACTCTAGAAGATAAATATTCCCTTTCTTACTAAAAATTAGGTCACATCTCATAACATAATTTTATGAATTTATTTTAAAAAACAAAAGTAAACAAAATTTTCCCTTTGAAGAAAAGGGTGAACAGAACAAGAAAGCAAAAGGGATAAAAATGAGTAAATGTCCAACAATGATAGTCTGGATTAAGAAAATGTGGCACATATACATCATGGAGTACTATGCAGCCATAAAAAATGATGAGTTCATGTCCTTTGTAGGGACATGGATGAAGCTGGAAACCATCATTCTCAGCAAATGATCGCAAGGACAAAAAACCAAACACCGCATGTTCTCACTCATAGGTGGGAATTGAACAATGAGAACACTTGGACACAGGAAGGGGAACATCGCACACCGGGGCCTGTTGTGGGGTAGGGGGAGGGGGGAGGGATAGCATTAGGAGATATATCTAATGTAAATGACAAGTTAATGGGTGCAGCACACCAACATGGCACATGTATACATATGTAACAAACCTGCACATTGTGCACCTGTACCCTACAACTTAAAAGTATAAATATATATATATATATATATATATATATATATATATATATATAATGAGTACCTTGCCTATCCTGTTCCATATATAAAGCACAGCGTCCAGCACATAGTAGGTGCTTAGTAAACAGTAGTGAGGTGTTCAGGGCATGTGCCTTGGAATAAGATAATCCAGATTCACGTTCTGGGTACATTACTTGCTAACTCCTCTACCTAGGGCAAGTTACTTAAACATCGCAAGTCTCAGTTTCTTCGCTGAGAAAGTGGGGAGAGTAACAGTGCCTACTTTGTAGGATTACTGTGAAGATTAAACTAAATTGTCAATCTAAAATCCTTAGTGCATGAGCCAGGTATGGCAGCTTGTGTCTATAATCCCAGCTACTTAGGAGGTTGGGGTGGGAGAAATGCTTGATGCTAGGAGTTCTAGACCAGCCTGAGCAACATAAAAAAAAAAAAAAACAATAAACCCCATCTCTTAAAAAAAAAAGAAATTAAAATTTAAAAATTAGCCAGGCATGGTGGCACATGCCTGCAGTCCCAGCTACTTGGGAGTCTGAGGTGGGAAGATCCCTTGAGCTCGAATTTGTGGCTGCAATGAACAATGATCACCTGGATGACAGAACAAGACCCCATCTCTTAAAGAAAACTGTTAGTGTCTAACACGTTATAAATATTTTATTATTGTTATTTACATACTTCAGCCTACCAAAACTCCTGTTTTCCATGGAGAAAACAGATCTGTTGATAACTCTGCAGTTTCCAGAAACACTGTGATTAGCAGAATGAGAAAAATGCCAGGAGAACTCAGAAGAGAAAGTCACTAGGAAGACTTAATCTCATCAGGTGATGCCAGAATCCAGAGGTTGTAATCTAGGACTTTGCCCAGGCATGCTTTGGGGCACAGTGGTGGGGAGGGAGCTGTTGCAAAGATGGGGCAAGAATGGTCTGGACATGACTCAGACACTTTAAAGTGAAAGAATGGGAAATTGTCTGGCAGCTGGTACTTACCATGGGCAGTCAGCACTCCTCTGACTGATTCACCTTCACCAGGGCACCAGCCTGCAGTGAAGTAGCTGGGGCTGGTTCCTTTTAGTGACACCCACCACCCCTTGCCCTTCCAGGTATTGTCCACAGATGACACCTCCTCCTCCTCCTCCTGCTCCTCCTCCTGCTCTGCCTCCTCCTCCTCCCCCTGCTCCTGCTTCTCCTCCTCTTCCTCCTGCTCCTTCTCCTCCTCCTCCTGCTCCTCCTCCTGCTCTTCCTCCTCCTCCTGCTCTTCCTCCTCCTCCTCCTGCTTCTCCTCCTCTTCTTCCTCCTGCTCTTTCTCCTCCTCTTCCTGCTCCTCCTCTCCTTCTGCTCCTCCTGCTTCTCCTCCTCCTGCTCCTCCTCCTCCACCTGCTCCTCCTCCTTCTCCTCCTCCTGCTCCTCCTCCTTCTGCTCCTTCTTCTCCTGCTCCTCTTCCTCCTGCTCCTGCTTCTCCTCCTTTCTCCTGCTCCTCCTCCTCCTGCTCCTCCTCCTGCTCCTCATCCTCCTTCTCCTCCTGCTCCTCCTTGTCCTCCTCTGCCCTTGATATTCACTTTGACCAGATTACACCAGTACAGAGAGTCCAAAGGTTAAATAGGCACACACTCACACACAAACTCACACTGGGCTAGAACAATGACAGAGCGTCCTGGGGGAGCAGAGTGGGGGCCGGGGGGAGGGGGAAAGGAGGATTGCAGGCCTAACTTTCACAAATCACCTGAAATTTCCACTGAAGGCATTATCTCCAAATGTTGCCACAGAGATAAACTGCCAGGATTACAAGAAAACGTGAAGACGTTCCCATAGAACTCTGTAATGCTTATATCCATCACCAGGAATGTCTGCCCTTGGCGCCCTAAACATAGATTGATTGATTGATTGATTGATTGATTTTGAGGCAGAGTCTCACTCTGTCACCCAGGCTGGAGTGCAGTGGTGCGATCTCAGCTCACTGCAACCTCCTCCTTCCGGGTTCAAGGGATTCTCCCACCTCAGCCTTGGAGTAGTTGGGATTACAGGCTCCTGCCACCACGCCCGGCTAATTTTTGTATTTTTTGTAGAGACTGGGTTTTGCCATGTTGGCTAGGCTGGTCTCAAACTCCTGACCTCAAGCGATCCTCTTGCCTCAGCCTTCCAAAGTGCTGGGATTACAGGCGTGAGCTACGGTGCCTGGCCCTAAATATAGATATTTTTAATAAATCCTCTACTTATCTCACAACGAGCTCAATCGCTTTGCATTAGATCGTTGGGTGTGTTAAAAGTATTCATGTGTTACATTAAATGTGAATTCAACAAAAGCAGAGATTTTTGTGTTTTGTTCTTCATTGTATCCCTTGATTGTAGAAAAGTGGCACATAGTAGGTGCTCAGTTAATCGTTGTTAAATGAAGACATAAATGAAATATAAACCATTAAATGTCCACCATATTTGTAAGCGTTTTGGCATGTCTTCATTGAAAGAATACCAGGCAGCTGGGAGCCATAGTTTACTCCGGTAATCCCAGTGCTTTGGGAGGCTGCAGGTGAGAGGATCGCTTGAGACCAGGAGTTCAAGAGCCACCAGGGCAACATAGAGAGACCTTGTCTCTACAAAAACAAAACAAAACAAAACAAAAAACAAAAAACACAATTCCCTTAAGCCGCCCCTTCCCCTTCCACTGCTCAGAGAAGGCCTTCCAGCAGAGCAGAGCACGAGGTCGCTGGCACACACCCATCCTCCACCAGTCCTGGCCTCTGTAGAGCAAGCCAGCAGAGCAGGCTGTTTCTCTCATTCAGGGACGGTTTAGGGGGTGGCAGGAAAAAATGGTTGCTGATAGGCGAAGGGCCTCCCTGGGTTGGAGAGAACCCCAGCCTCGGATGGTCCCAGCACATTTAAAAGAGAAGCAGTGCCAAAGGTGGGGTGCACTGAAAGCTGCTGGATGAAGGGAAAGATCCTTGTGCTCAGCCCGGAAAACCGGAGGATGGATACCAGGCCGAGGGGTCCCTCCGTGCCCCAAGAGAAAGTTCACCAAGTTTAGATCCCAGTGCCCCGCAGCGGGTGAAGGTGGTCCCGCCCCAGGCCGGATCTGGCCACAGGGCTGGCGGCGCGCTGGAAAACCGCCCACGTGGGAAGAAGCCCTGGCTGCATTTCCGCCCTGGACTGCGCTCCCGCCTGCCAGCGCGGTCCCTGCGCAGCCGCCCCGCGCCCACTAGGTGGCGCCTGCGCTCTAGTGGGCGCTTCACAGGCGCAGCGACAGCGACAGCGACAGCTCGAACCTGAGTCCCAGGATTCCGGGGACTGGAGGGCAGCGCCGGCAGCCAAGGTAGGATTCCTGAGCCCCGGGCGTCTCCCTGGAGCCTCTGAGGTCGGGGTGGACAGCGGGGCGGCCGCTGGGCACCGCTTGCGGTCTGCAGAGATAACCGGAGGAGTCGGGGCGGCAGCACGTGTTGTAGCCGTGGGGGGGACCCAGAGACCCGCAGCCTCGGAGCTGGGCCTAGAGCAAGGCAGAGCACCAGGTCGCTGGCACGCTCGCATCCTCCCCAGCCCTCGCCTCCCAGAGCATGCCCGAATCCCCAAGCCGGGCGTCCTCGAAGCGGAAAGCAGCCACTGTCGCCCAGAGCCACTCCAGGGTGGCAGCCGAGTGCTGATAAGGTCCAGAGCACCACTTCTTAAACTTGTCTGCCCGTTGGCGTTGCTTGGGAAGCATTAAAAAAATACCGATGCCCTAGTTCCACCCCCGCCCCCCCCCAGAGACTCAGATGTGATTGGTCTGGGTGGGGGACTGGACATCTGGGTATTAAAATGTTTGCAAGAGATTCCAGCTGGCAGCCAAATTTGAGGACCCTTGATCTAAGGAGTTGGAGAAAAACGGAGGACATTTGTTTGTTCTAACCCAGAATGCTGATGATTCCCTCCTCCTCCTATTCCTCCAGTTCGCCCTCCTCCTCCTTTCTCATGTGCCTTTTAAGCAGGAAATGCCTCTGCCTTTGTACTGTCAAACCCAAGATAACAAACTAACCATCCCCCACCCCCCACAGTAGGGCTGGTTCTGAAAGGGTTGAACTCGAAAGTGGACAAGGAACAGAAAGACACCAGTGTGGAATGTGAGCGAAGACTCTTAGGGGTTTATGGGTAGGAAGGGGGTTCCTCCCCACCCTGATCCCAGAGAAGATCAGGAGACTGGCTGGAGCTGTCTTCCTCATTTTGGCAAACCTAGCTGATTAGGCAGTGAGAGGCCTTATAACGAGCCTTTTTTACAACTAGTAAAAGGGCCCTTTTACAACTAGTAAAAATGAGCCCTTATGTTTGTTTGTTTTATAGAGATAGGGCCTCACTATATTCCCCAGGATGGTCTCAAACTCCTAGGCTCAAGCCATTCTCCAGCCTCGGCCTCCCAAAGTGCTGGGATTATAGGCATGAGCCGCTGCGCCCCGCTGACCCCTTATGTTTATATAACAGCAGTGTTACTAACATGGGCATAGATTCCCCCCCATAGGCAGCCCTTCCTTTGTGACCTTGGAAACTCACTGAACCATCCTCAGCTTCAGTTTTTGTATCTGCAAAATGGGTGTGAAAATCGGGTTGCCTTGGGAATTATTCACAATAAAAGCTACTGTTTACTAAGGGTTCACCCTATGCTAGAGGCTTTCTGTGCAGGGCCAAGTTAGACTCCTGACCATAACTTCCACGGTAGAACTATGAATACTGCATTTGATAGCCAAGGAAACTGAGGCTCAGAGAGGCCAATGATCTTGCTCGAAGTTATATAATTAATTAATAAGAAGCATGTCCCATATTTGAACCCAGGCAGTCTGCTCTTGAGCTCAGGTGCAAAAGAACAATACTCTGCTGTTTCCCTTGTTGACCAGGACAGCGTGCACGGGGCAGGCGCGTGGTGTGTCTTCACAAACACTAGCTATCACTGCTGTGAGCTGAGCACTTCCACTGAATTGACTCATTCGCTCATTGGAAATACATTTATTATTGAGAGCCTACTGTGGGCCAGGCAGTTTTCCAGATGCTAGAGATAAAATATGAGTAAGACAGAATTCAGCCAGCCCCGAATGAGAGAAACAGGAAGAAAGTGCAGTAGATTCTCATTATTCACAAGTTCTAAATTTGCAAATTCTTCCCTGTAATCCCAGCACTTTGAGAGGCTGAGGCAGGAGGATCGCTTGAGGCTAGGAG
This sequence comes from Homo sapiens, assembly GCF_000001405.40. NCBI lineage: Eukaryota > Metazoa > Chordata > Mammalia > Primates > Hominidae > Homo > Homo sapiens. The sequence continues at coordinate 53,056,943 of NC_000016.10, forward strand.
TTTCAGATCAGCCTGTGCAACAGAGCAAGGCCCTGTTTGCTTAAAAATTATACACATTGAATAATTCTTAAAAAAAATTTGTTTGTGGCCAGGCATGGTGGCTCATGCATATAATCCCAGTACTTTGGGAAGCTGAGGCAGAAAGATTACTTGAGGCTAGGAGTTCCAGATCAGCCTGGGTAACACAGTAAGACCCTATATCTTTATTTTAAAAATTATATAATTAAAGAATTTTTAAAAAAATATGTTTGTGGCCGGGTGTGGTGGCTCACACCTGTAATCCCAGCACTTTGGGAGACTGAGGTGTGAGGTTAGGAGTTTGAATTTAGGAGTTTGACACCAGCCTAATCACTTGAGCTAAGGAGTTTGAGACCAGCCTGGACAGCATAGAGAGACCTTGGCTCATTTAAAAAAAAAAAGAGGAAAAAAGGCCGGGTGCAGTGGCTCATGCCTGTAATCCCAGCACTTTGGGAGGCCGAGGTGGGTGGATACCTGAGGTCAAGAGTTCGAGACCAGCCTGGCCAACATGGCAAAACCCCGTCTCTACTAAAAATTCAAAAAATTAGCTGGGCGTGGTGGCAAGAGCCCGTAATCCCAGCTGCTTGGGAGGCTGAGGCAGGAGAATTGCTTGAACCTGGGAGGTGGAAGTTGCAGTGAGCCAAGATCACGCCATTGTACTCCAGCCTGGGCAACAACAGCGAAACTCCATCTCAAAAAAAAAAAAGAAAGAAAAAAGAAAAATAATGTCTGCGTAACTTCCAAATCAATATCCATGACACTTTCACAGTCATATATGGATGCACGTAGAATAGTGAAAAAGTTGAGTCACCCAACGTGCACATTTCCAGCCAAGGGCAAACAGGAGGACACGCTGCTTTCTGGTTTCAGCTCTTGTGCTATAAACAAGTGTCCCTTTTGTGGTGTACTTAGTGCCACATTTTTTGCATGTTTGTGTGTTTTTGTTTGTGATGTCGCTGTTTGAAATGGCCCCAAGTGTACAGTTGACGTGCTGTCTAGTGTTCCTAAGTATGAGAAGGCTGCGATGTGCCTTACAGAGAAAGCTTGTCTGTTAGGTAAGCTTCGTTCAGGCATGAGTTATAGTGCAGTTGGCTGAGTTCAGTGTTAATGAATAATATGTATATATATCAACAATATATATCAAATAAGGTGTCTTTTGTCTTTGTTTTTGTTTTTTTGAGATGGAGTCTCACTCTGTCTCCCAGGCTGGAGTGCAGTGGCACGATGTCAGCTCACTGCAGTCTCCACCTCTGGAGTTCAAGCGATTCTCCTGCCTCAGCCTCCCATGTAGCTGGTACTACAGGCACATGCCACCACGCCCAGCTAATTTTTGTATTTTTAGTAGAGACGAGGTTTCACCATGTTGCCCAGGCTGGTCTCGAGCTCCCGACCTCAGGTGATCACCCACTTTGGCCTCCAAAGTGCTAGGATTACAGGCTCAAGCCACAGCACCTGGCCTATAAGGTATCTTTAAACAGAAACACACATAAACAAAGGTTATGCATTGATCTGCCAGGCAGAAGGTGGGGTTAGAAAAAGATGTTTCTGGCAGAAAGGTCAGCATGTACAGAGATAGCCAAGAGCTTGGCAAGGCCAGGGGACTCAAGGAGAGCCAGTGGGCAGGGAGTGTGGTGGTGAAAGGGAGAGAGGCTGGGGCCAGGCGGCTCAGTGTCTTGTGGGCAGCTCTCATTTCATCCGATTAGCACGGTAATCCTGGCAGGTTGGACAGGATCATTTCCGCCTTTGAGAGATGATGAAATTGACGTTCCATGCTGTTAAATGACTTGCCCAAAGTTGCACTGCTGGTAAGCAGCAACACCCCCCACCCTCCAACTTAATCTAATGTTGACCAGACATTTGGGTTTTTTGTTTTGTTTTGTTTTGTTGGTTTTTGGTTTCTTTTGTTGTTGTTTTTAAGACACAGGGTCTTGCTCTGTCACCCATGCCTCCTGTAGTGGTATGATCATAGCTACTGCAGCCTCAACCTCCTGAGCTCGAGGGATCCTCCCACCCAGCCAAGTAGCTGGGGCTACAGGTGCACACCATCATGCCCAGCTAATTTTTTAAGTAGGGTCTTACTGTGTTGCCTAGGCTGGTCTCCAACTCCTAGACTCAAGTGTTTCTCCTGCCTTGGCCTCTCAAAGCACTGAGATTACAAGCATGATCTACCTTACCTGGCCAACATTTGGGTATTGATCAGAAATCTCAGGACGTGGGCTGGAGGTTTGGTTTGTTCTGGGGAGAAATCAGTAACTAAGTGGTGGTGAAAGTGATCAAGCGTCGATGAAACCACGTGGGATAGTGGCAGGGTGTGGAGAAGAAAATTTCTCATGTCCTTTAAAAAAGAAAAATATTTCTGGTGGCTGGGCACAGTGGCATATGCCTGTAATCCCAGCACTTTGGGAAGCAGAAGTGGGAGGAATGCTTGAGGCCAAGAGTTCAAGACTAGCCTGGGCAACATAGTGAGACCCCCACCTCTATCTTTAACAACAAGAAAAATGGAAAAAAAATTTAGTCAAAAAATATTACTGGTATAAAGACATGAATTCCTCTGTGAAAGAGTCTTAGGTACTTGCAGAGGGTGGGAGTAATGACCATGGTCATAAAGATGTGGCAAAAGGAAATGTGAGGTTCTGATTCAAACTGCCCCCAAATACTAGGTCTGGGCATCGGCCTCCCCACTCATGGGGCAGCCAGGCCTCAATCTGCCTCTTGTCTCTGCAGGATAATGACCGTGAACAGGCATCAGCAAACTTTTTCTGTAAAGGTCCAGAGAGTAAATATTTTGAGCTTTATGGACCATAGGGTTTCAGTTGCAACTGCAGTAAATTCTCAATTAATGTCCTCGTTAGGTTCTTAGAAACTGCAACTTTAAGCGAAATGACGTACAGTAAGTCCAAGTAACGTCGTTTCTTGTAATGTTGATGAGAAACTGCCACTGTAGAGTAAAAGCAGCCGTAGATGGTATGTAAACAAATGAGTATATCTGGGTTCCAATAAAGCTTTATGGACACTGAAGTTTTGAATTTCACATAATTTTTCTGTGTCACAAAATATTATTCTTTAAACATTTTTTTCAACCATTTAAAAATGTAAAAGCTGGCCAGGCATGGTGGCTCATATCTGTGATCCCAGGACTTTGGAAGACCAAGGAGGGAGGATTGCTTGGGGCCAGGAGTTCAAGACCAGCCTGGGCAACATAGCAAGACCCCCATCTCTACAAACAAACAAACAAATAAATAATGTAAAAACCATTCTTAGCTCACAGGCTATACAAAAACAGGCAGTAGGCTGGATGTGGCCTGTGGGCTGTAGTTTGCTGACTCCTGATCCCGAATAATGAGACCTGAGGATCAGAAGGATACTAGGTAGGTTGGGTGCAGTGGCTCATGCCTGTAGCCCCAGCACTTTGTGAAGCTGAGGCAGGAGGATTGCTTGAGGCCAGGAGTTCAAGGTCAGCCTGGGCAACATAGTGAGACCTCATTTCTATTTTAAAAATTTTAAAAATTAGCTGGGGCCTGGATTGGTGGCTCACACCTGTAATTCCAGAACTTTGGGGGGCTGAGGTGGGAGGATTACTTGAGTCTAGAAGTTCCAGACCAGCCTGGGCAACATAGCAAGACCCCATATCTACAAAAAAATGAAAAATTAGCCAGGTGTGGTGGTGCACCTGTAGTCCCAGCTACTCAGGAGGCTGAGGTAAGCGAATCAATTGAGCTGAGGAGTTTGAGGTTGCAATGAGCCATGATCATGCCACTGCGCTCCAGCCTGGGCAACTGAGGGGGACCCTGTCTCAAAAAACAAACGAAAATTAGCTGGGCATGGTGGCATGCACCTGCAGCCCCAGCTACTTGGGAAGCTGACGGGGGAGGATCACTTCAGACCAGGAGTTTGAGACTATAGTGAGCCATGATTGCACCACCGCACTCCAGCCTAGGTGACAGGGCAAGATGTTGTCTCTTTTTTTTTTTTTTTTTTTTTTTGAGACGGAGTTTCACTCTTTTGCCCAGGCTGAAGTGAAATGGCATGATCTCAGCTCACTGCAACCTCCGCCCCCCCGGGTTCAAGCGATTCTCCTGCCTCAGTTTCCCAAGTAGCTGGAATTATAGGTGCCCACTGCCATGCCTGGCTAATTTTTGTGTATTTAGTGGAGATGGGGTTTCGCCATGTTGGCCAGGCTGGTCTCGAACTCCTGACCTCAGGTGATTCACCCGCCTTGGCCTCCCAAAGTGCTAGGATTACAGGCATGAGCCACCTCGCCTGGCCAAGATGCTGTCTCTTTAAAACAAAAAAACAAACAAAAAAGACAGACACACAAAAGGAATACTAAGTGTTCATCTGATTTGAGTCTTTACCTGACCTGTGAATCTCCATTGAACATTGTCAGCCATTTCTTGAGTCCTCAGTAAGATGGAACTTCACATCTCACTGGGCAACTCATTCCACTGACAGAAGTTTAAAGCTGTGTCATAGTTGTAGTTTCCCCCAAAGCAGATCACGAGAAAAGGATTCAGGTGCCAGAAATGTATTTCGGAAATGATCCCAGGAAGCCCAGTGAGAGTGAAATTAACCGAGAAAGGGAGAAAAGCCAATAAAAAAGGTGTTGATGAGTGAGTTACCACTGGGCAATTGGGTCTCCATCCCTCAGGGACCCTTAGCGAGACTATAGAAAATATTTCAGAAGTGTCCCACGAAAAGGCAGGGAGACTGGGGTATATCCTCGACTCTCATACCTCATTATTGAGGGTTGTCTTGCTAACTGTCTGCTGTGCACACCCTGAAGCCAGAAAATAACTTAAAGCAGAAGTGAAAGGTAGCCCAGGGCATCTGGAAATGTCTGCAGGTAACCTCGGGTGAGCTGAGGAGTATGGGTGGGGCACCCATAGTGTCTCCAACAAAGTGTTTCTGACTTTGCTTTCTAAGATGTGCAACTCATACCACAAGGGGTCTTGTGAGATGGCTTTGGTGTGGCACAGAGAGAGACATGGTACCCAAGAGCACAAAGTCTCAGAATGGGAAAGGGATTTTTCCCTTTTGAGCTGTCTCTTTGATCCTGCTCTGCCCGCCTCTCACCCCTGGGGCTGCCCTCTCTCCCCAGAGCAGGTGCTCCACCCACGCTGGCCTTTCACTTCCTCCAACTTGTGGGACTGGGACTCTTGCTTCTGACTGCAGCCAACAGAAGTCTGGGCAAAGTACTAGAATGCTACTGTAACACTTGATTGTCTCCTCTTTCATTGGAAAGACAGCAGTCCTCCAGTTCAGGGCATTTAAGAGGCAACAGTAAGTGTGACCATTTAATAACATTGTTAAAACTGTAACAATCTAATAACATTGTTTGCTGTTATGTTTATCTTTACAGTTTCCACCTGTACATGGCTTTTCATGTATGGTAGTAATATAACGTTTCCCTTAAAATAAATGTATATAAATCGTGTGTCCATTTAAAGAAAAATATTAAATAAGAGTATCAATGGTATGAGGATAGAATAAAATATAATAGGCCAGGTGCAGTGGCTCATGCCTGTAATCCTAATACTTTGGGAGGTACACGCAGGGAGGTCACTTGAAGCCAGGAGTTGGACACCAGCCTGGGCAACATAGTGAGACCCCATCTCTACAAAACATTTTAAAAATTACCTGGGTGTAGTGATGCATGCCTGTAATCCAGCTACTCAGGAGGCTGAGGTGGGAGGATGGTTTAAGCCCAGGAGTTCGAGGTTACAGTGAGCTATGATCATGCCACTGCACTCCAGGAAGACCCCAATTATTTAAAAATAAAAATTTATGGAGCCGGGTGCGATGGCTCACGCCTGTAATCCCAGCACTTTGGGAGGCCAAGGAGGGCTGATCACCTGAGGTTGGGAGATTGAAACCAGCCTGACCAACATGGAGAAACCCCATCTCTACTAAAAATACAAAATTAGCCAGGCACATGCCTGTAATCCCAGATACTCGGGAGGCTAAGGGAAGAATCGCTTGGACCCGGGAGGCAGAGGTTGTGGTGAGCCAAGATCGCGCCATTGCACTCTAGCCTGGGCAACAAGAGTGAAACTCCGTCTCAAAAAAATAAAATAAAAAATAAAAGAATTTTATTAGAAAAATATATATGTATAAAATACCCACCACTTACTGGGTACTTACTAAGTGCTGGATGCTCTTCTAAGCACTTTCCATGCGTCATTCAAATCATTCAATTAATCCTCACCAATATGGGTTAAGTACTATTTGAGGTAGGGACTCTTTGCCCCATGTTACTACTGAGCAAACAGGCATAGAGAAGTTAAATAACGTGCCCAAAGTTATATAGCTAGGAAGTGATGAGCTGGAAAATAAACCCAGGTGGTCCTGCTCCAGATTTGTGCTCTAAATTGCAGAATTATGCTGCTTCTCATAAATTTCACACACACACACACACACACACACACACACACACACACACACAAAATGTGAAGGTGATATTTGAATAACTGAAGTTAGGGGAAAACTGCCCTAAAAGGTTCCCCATTTTTTCTGTCTCCCTGTATCTACTGCCCTTTGGTTGCCATACTTTTTCTTTTTCTTTATTTTTTTATTTTTATTTTTATTTTTTTGAGACAGAGTCTCGCTCTGTCGCCCAGGCTGGAGTGCAGTGGCGCAATCTTGGCTCACTGCAAGCTCCGCCTTCGGGTTCACGCCATTCTCCTGCCTCAGCCTCCTCAGTAGCTGGGACTACAGGCGCCCGCCACCACGCCCGGCTAATTTTTTGTATTTTTAGTAGAGATGGGGTTTCACCATGTTAGCCAGGCTGGTCTCAATCTCCTGACCTCGTGACCCGCCCATCTCGGCCTCCCAAAATGCTGGGATTACAGGCATAAGCCACCATGCCTGGCCTTTTTTTTTTTTTTTTTTAAGAAAGACAGGATCTCACTCTGTTGCCTAGGCTGGAGTCCAGTGTTGTGATCATAGCTCACTGAAGCTTAAACTCCTAGGCTCTGGCCATCCTCCCACCTCAGCCTCCAGAGTAGCTGGGGGTACAGACCTATGAGCCACCATGCCCAGCTAATTTTTTTTTTTTGGTAGAAACAGGTCTGGCTGTGTTGCCCAGGCTGGTCTCAAACTCCTGGCCTCAAATGATCCTCCTGCCTCAGCCTCCCAAAGTTCTGGAATTACAGGCATGAGCCACCATATATGGCCTGGTTGGCATATTTTCTTTAGAGCCTCAGAAGATCAATCTATTCCCTTTTCATCACCACAGTTCTTCAGATATTTGATGACAGAGAACTGGTTGGCCTTCCCAGATCTTCTGTGCTCTAGATTAAACATTGCCAGTTCCTTCTACTAGTTTCTGTTGCATGTTCTTGGCCTCTTCCCCTCCAGCACAGGGCCTCTTCTTTATTCTTGTTTCTTCAGCAGAACCTATAAAGTTATTTTGTTGTCGTAGCACTTTTTTTTGCAGGTTTCCCACAGCTCATTCCAGGGGCTCAGGGTAGGGAGGGTGTGATTGGGGTGACTGACATGGCAAAGGGCAGCTTGAGAGTGACATCAAAAAGGGGGGCCAGCTGTCAATCAGGGAAAAGCCCCCTAGGGCCAGCAGTACAGTGGGCTGGAGGCTGGTGAACCTGGTTCTCTGCAGGCCAGAGATGAAGGTTCTTTAGTGCACTTGGAGCTAACCAGGCTGAAAGGGGCGGACTAACCAAATTCACCAGAGCCTGGTGAGGAAGCCAGGCTGCAAATGTATTAAATCACAAGGGAGGCTGGGCACAGTGGCTCATGCCTGTAATCCCAGCACTTTGGGAGGCCAAGGTGGGTGGATCACCTGAGGTCAGGAGTTCGAGACCAGCCTGGCCAACATGGTGAAACCCCGTCTCTACTAAAAATAGAAAAATTAGCCAGGTGGCACATGCCTGTAATCACAGCTACTTGGGAGGCTGAGGCAGGAGAATCAGCTGAACACAGGAGTTGGAGGTTGCAGTGAGCTGAGATCGCACCATTGCACTCCAGCCTGGGCGACAGAGCAAGACTCTGTCAAGAAAGAAAGAAAGAGAGAGAGAGAGAGAAAGAAAAAGAGAGGGAGTGAGAAAGAAATCACAAGGGGAGAAGCAACTGCAAAGCAGTCTGAAACCTCCATGCTGACTTGTCAGCACACTCTTTCTCCTGTGGGAAAGTCAGAATCTAGTTAGAAGGTTGGTTTTTGTGGAATCAAAGCAAGGTGAGCAAAATGAGTGATTTTAATCACCAGGAAAACCTAAGATATTTGTACCCTCTGAGGGATACAAGAGTCTAGAGTGGCAGCACTGCTAGTATAATTGCCCCTTCCTGTGCTTGTGGTAGAAATGTCTGATCAATCACTGCATCTTTTCCTTCCTACTGCTCCCTGGGCCAGCCCTAAGATTCTTAGCAAGAGAGTATTCTGGCCCTGTGCGGTGGCTCATGCCTGTAATCCCAGCACTTTGGGAGACAAAGGCAGAAGGATTGCTTGAGCCCAGGAGTTCAAAATCAGCCAGGGCAATATAGTGACACCCCATCTCTACAAAAAAATTTAAAAATGAGCTGGATGTGTGGGCGAGCACCTGTAGTCTCAGTTACTTGGGAGGCTGGGTGGGAGGATTGCTTGAGCCTGGGAGATTGAAGCTGCAGTGAGCTCTGATCACACCACTGCACTCCAGCCTGGGAAACAAAGCCAGATTCTGTCTTAAATTAAAAAAAAAAAAAAAAAAAAGGAAGAGAGTATTCCTGGAAGCTCTGGCCAGACCTCTGAGCTGCCTGTAATACTCAAGGAGGTTTTCAGAGTTTCCACTACTCTGGACAATGTGGAAGACAATGACTCTCAAAGACTTGCTCTTTGGTACTGCCTTTTTGGAGCTCCTCACGCATCACCATTTCTCTCTACCTATGATTCCTTCAGCTTTTGTTAATGCAATTGGCTCGCTTTTTGTTTTGTTGAGTCTTGATTTAATTTCCAGGCTTTGCTCTTCCAGCTTTGTCCAGAGACACATCCTGTCCTGTCCTTAAGGACTTCTGCAAATCAGTAATCACAGATGTTGCGTGCAGTTCACTGATATCTACTCTCCTCGTATTTTGGGGTGGCTTACTGCATACCCACGAGTAAGAACTTCTTGCAATCAACAGGCAATTTGCTGGGGTGCTGGGGTTTGTTCCATTATCAAACAAACTGGGATTCCTACCCCAGTTCCATCACTTACTGGTTGTGTGTGACCTTGGATGAGTTGCTTAACCTCCTGAGCCTAGTTTTCTCTGCTGAAATATAGAATCGGCAGCATCACAATTTTAAACTCTTACTACTGTTATCACTCAGTTATGACTGGGGCCTGGGGTACAAAGGAAAGCAGCAAGTCAGCAGAGGAAATTTAGGCACTAAACCCAAGTCATCGAGTTTGCTGCTTTTTAACATTGGTTATGCTTAACTAAAGAGTTAGGAGTCAGTATTTTGAAGCAAGCAGACCTTTTACCAGCCTTAAAAAATGTACATTATGTACATGGCCTCTCTTTCTACCCATATAGAGAAATGGACTTACCTAAAAGAAAAATAAACACATACGGAGAATCAGTGGCACCTGGAGCTGAGAGAGACCTTGAGCTCCTGGAGGAGAGGTGGCTCCTGCCCGGTCTCACAGGGGAAACCCAGCTCTTGCCCTAGGAAGGCTGCTAGTCTAATGAGAGAGGCACCATATTTAACCTCAGGGAGTCTGGGAGGAGAGCCATACAGTCTTCTTGGTGTGAGCTATAGCTTCTTCTCTGCAGGCATTGCTGTGTCCGCTCCTTCTCTTTGGTCAATCAGCAGTCAGGGACAGAGAGGCTGTCATCATTCACAAGTCCATTACACCTGTGTCAATGCATGTTAGCGGGCCAGTTTCTGAGGATGTGACTCAGGAATTTGTTTTTGAAAGACTTTATATATTTTTGGTACAATTTAGATTTACAAAAAAAAATTGAGACAATACTACAGAATTCCCACATATTCCACATCCAATTTCCCCTATTATTATTATTTTTTAAATTTTGAGACAAGGTCTCTCTCTGTCACCCAGGTGAAGTGCAATGGTGCGATCTTGGCTCACTGCAACCTCTGCCTCCTGGGCTCAAGCCATCCTCCCACGTCAGCCTCCCAAGTAGCTGGGACTACAGGCGCACACCACTATGTCCAACTAATATTTTTATTTATGGTAGATATGGGGTCTTGCTGTGTTACCCAGGCTGGTCTTGAACTCCCGGGCTCATGCAGTCTGCCTGCCTCGACTTCCCAAAGTGTTGGGATTACAGACATGAGCCACAGAGCCGGTCTATCCTGTTATTAACATCTTATATTGCTATGGTACATTTGTTACAATTAACTGATATTGATATTTGATATGGTACATTTGTTACAACCTGATATTGATACATTATTATTAACTAAAAACATAGTTTATTCAGATACCCTTAGTGTTTATTTAATGTTCGTTTTCTGTCCCAGGATCCCATCCAGAATACCAAATTACATTTATATCTTTTTTTTTATACCAACAAAAATGGGCTTGAAACCACTTTACATTTGTTTGTTGTGTGTCCTTAGTCTCCCATTGACTGTGACATTTTCTATGAATTTTCTTGGTTTTGATAACCTGGAGAGTTTTGAGGAATACTGGTCAGATATATTGTAAAATACTCCTCTACTGGAATTCATCTCATATTTTTCTCATGATTAGGGTTGTGGGTTTTGACGCGGAAGACCACAGAAGTAAAGTGCCATCTTTATCACATCACATCAAGCATCTGTACTATCAACATGACTTATTACCAGGTGGCTAAGGTAGCGTTTGTCAGGTTTCTCCACGGTAAAGTTAACTCATTTTCCTCCTTTTCATAGTGTCCTCTTGGAAGGAAGTCACTGAGCAGCCCACACTAGAGCCCAGGAGTTTGGGACTAGCCTGGGCAACATAGTGAGACCCCAACTCCACAGGAAAAAAAAATTAGCTGGGCATGGTGGCATGTGCCTGTGGTACCAGCTACTTGGGGTGCTGAGGCAGGAGAATTGCTTGAGCCCAGGAGGTCAAGTCTGCAGTGAGCTAAGATTGTGCCACTGTCCTCCAGCCTGGCACAGCCAGACCCTGTCTCAAAAATAAATAAATAAAAATTTGAAACCCATGTAGGCCTGGATTCCTACCCCACTTCCATCACTTACTGGCTGTGTTTGACCTTGGATATGTTGCTTAACCTCCTGAGCCTCAGTTTTCTCAGCTGAAATATAGAGCTAATATCACTACCTGCTGCTTAAGGTTATTAAATAACAGGCACATAGTAGTCCTCTATGAATAGAAGTTGTTATTGTTGTTAGTCTGCCATTCAAGTTCCTTCTGGATCTGACTCCAGATCCAAACACCACTTTTCAAGGTTGCAAGACAACAGGCTTGTGTGGCAGATATTCCTGCACCGAGTTGCATTCTCACTGGTCACATTCTCTTCCCCGCCGATCCAGCATTCTCTCCCACCTCTGCCTCTCAGTCACACAGTACTTCAGCTAAACACAGGGCCCGCTAAAGTGCCCTCTACCAAGCCACACATCTGCATATCCTCATTCTCTCAAACCCACCTTAAGCACCACTTCCTCTGTGACACCACCCAAGAGAGCCAGGCAAGAAGTCCTCTCTCCTCCTGGGAACTGCCACAGCACCCACTCCACTGTATTCCCTCATATTCTGCAGCCCTCATCACTTTTAACCCATTGTCAAAGCAAGGTGCACTGTCCTCTCCCTGAACAATTCTCGTCTTTGTTCATCTTTCTCTCCCACCTGCACACACTGGGCTCAGTGCAAGCTTGCGGTCTTGTTTATACCTGCGGTAAGTTTTGACAAGACAAAGGAAGTAGGGGAAATGCCATATCCTGAATGCTAACTGGGCCTAACTGGGCAGCCTCTGTGGGCCGAACTTTGCAGAGGTTGAGAGGCTGACCGTAGGTCACTTCCACTATTTTATATATATCCACATATTTTATTGTGGTAAAATACACATGACATTGAAATTTACCATTTTAACCATCTTAATGCATTTTCTTCTTTTATTTTATTTTATTTTATTTTATTTTTGAGACAGGGTCTTGCTCTACTGCCCAGGCTGTACTGCAGTGGTGCCATCTTGGCTTACTGCAACCTCTGCCTCCCAGGTTCAGCAATTCTCCTTGCCTCAGCCTCCAGAGTAGCTGGGATTACAGGCATGTGCCACCACGCCCAGCTAATTTTTGTATTTTTACTAGAGACAAGGTTTCACCATGTGGCCAGGCTGGTCTCAAACTCCTAACCTCAAGTGATCCACCCACCTCGGCTTCCCAAAATGCTGGGACTACAGGCATGAGCCACCGCGCCCAGCCTGCATTTTCTTTAGTTCAATGCATTAAGTGCGTTCACATTGTTGTACAACCATCACCACTATCCATCTCCAGAACTCTTTTTCATCTTCCCAAGCTGAAACTCTGTCCCCATTAAACAACTCCCCTTCCCCCTTAACCCCATCCCTGGCAACCACCATTTTACTTTCTGTCTTTGTGAGTTTGACTACTCTGGGTACCTCATCTAGGTAGAATTACACAGTATTTATCCTTTAGTGACTGGCTTATTTCACTAAGCCTAATGTCTTCAAGGTTCATATTCCATTTTAATAGACTGTGGTATGTATCTGCCACAGTGTGTTTATCCATTCATCTGTTGGTGGACACTTGGGTTACTTCCACTTTTTGGCTATTGTGAATAACACTGCTATGAACATGGGTGTATAGATATCTGTTTATGTTCCTACTTGCAATTCTGTTGAATATATACCTATAATGGAATTGCTGGATCTTATGGTAATTCTGTGTGCCATTTTTCAAGGAATCATCATATCATTTTCAACAGCTGCTGTACCATTTTACATCCCACCAACAATGCACCAAGGTTTCCATTTCTCCACATCCTTGTCAACGTTTGTTATTTTCTGTTTGTTTGTGTGTGGTTTTTTTTGATCATAGGTGTCCTATCCTGGTGTGAAGTGGTATCTCATTGTGGTTTTGATTTTCAGTTTTCTAATGATTAGTGATGTTGAGCATCTTTTCATGCGCTTACTGGCCATTTGTATATCTTCCTTGGAAAAATATCTATTCAAGGTATTTGCTGATTTTTAAAATCAGGCTGGGTTGTTTGTTTCTTTGTTGTTGAGTTGTGGGGTTCTTTATCTATTTTGGGTATCAGTCCCTTACCAGATAACAATTCCAAGTATTTTCTCTGTGGATTGCCTTTTTAGTCTGTTAATTATGTCCTTTGAATGCACAGAAGTTTTTAATTTTAATGTTTAATTTATGTATTTTTTTCTTTTGTGCTTTTGGTGTTGTATTCAAGAAATCATTGCCAAATCAATGTCATAAAGTTTTCCCTCTATATTTTCTTCTAAGAGTGTTATGGTTTTAGCTCTTATATTTTAAGTTTTTGATCCATTTTGAGTTACTTTTTGTATGTCATGTAAGGTTAAGGATACAACTTCATTTTTTTGCACGAGTAGCATGTCTTTCTTTCTTTCTTTCTTTCCTTCCTTCCTTCCTTCCTTCCTTCCTTCCTTCCTTCCTTCCTCTCTCTCTCTCTCTCTCTCTTTCTTTCTGTCTTTCTTTTTTTTGGAGTCTTGCTCTGTCACCCAGGCTGGAGTGTAATGGCGTGATCTTGGCTCACTGCAACCTCTGCCTCCCGGGTTCATGTGATTCTCTTGCCTCAGCTTCCTGAATAGCTGGACTACAGACATGCACCACCATGCCCAGCTAATTTTTGTAGTTTTAGTAGAAACAAGATTTCACCATGTTGGCCAGGCTGGTCTCAAACTCCTGACCTCAAGTGATCCGCCTGTCTTGGCCTCCCAAAGTGCTGGGATAACAGGCATGAGCCACCGCACCTGGCCATATGTCTTTCTTTATGCAAATACTACATTGCTTTGATTACTGTAGCTTTGTAGTAAGTTTTGAAATCAGGATGTGTGAGTCCTCCAGATTTGTTCTTTTTCATGATTATTTTGGCTATTTGGGGTCCCTTGGGATTGCTTATGAATTTTAGGGTGGATTTTTCTATTTCTGCAAAAAGTCATTGAGATTTTGATAGCAATTACATTGACTCTGTAGATCACTTTGGGTAGCACTGACATCTCAATATTATGTCTTCCAAGTCATCATGGGATGTCTTTCCATTTACTTATATCTTCTTTAACTTCTTTCACCAGTGTTTTGTAGTTTTTGGTGTAGAAGACGTTCACCTCCTTGATTAAATTTATTCCTAAGTATTATGTTCTTTTCAATACTCACATTCATTTTTGAGGCTCTTGATATATTTAAAAATGAAGAAATGCAAAACAGGATACTAATATGGTAGTCATTTTGAACTGTTTGGTCCCTTCAGTGTGTCTCAGAGATGGTGTTATATAGACAATGACAGTGTTATATAGAGTCAAAAGCCTAGGTTTAAGTCATTTCAAAAATGTGAGCCCCTACCCATTCACCCCACTGTGATTGTAAGAAAGGGTTTGCGAGTTCCTCTTCCTGGGGTAGGAATGGGAATAGTAAAATATTCCCTCAGGTGAGCCCTCCTGGGGGCCAGCAAAGACTTGTCATCACTATAGGCATAATCAATACATCTTCCCAGAAAGTGATTCTGAGAACATTCAGGTGCCTTTAAAGCCTCAGGCTAGAAGACCCCAGAGCCCCAGCATCATGGAGACTGAAGCAGAAACAGTCACTCAGAGCTGCAGAAGAAAGAGAGCCATCAGCTCGCCCACCCCTCGGTCCTGCTCACCCTGCGGGGATTTTGTTGTCTGTCTTTCTGGCCCACCTCGGTTTCAGTTTGAAGAACTGTGCTGAGGACAAAGGTGAGGGAACACAGTGTGATGGCCAGCCCTACTCAGGCATTTCCCCATACCCCAGAAAGCATTTCAACGGCAGGCCTTTCCTCTTCTGTCACTCAACGGTTTGGGGGCTTTCTTACCCTCAGGACAGCTGGTGAAACTGTGTTCTTTTTCAGGCATTGAGTTTATTGTGCATCTTGTTTTTCTGGCCTCTGGGGATACATGTGCAACACAGACACACATGCATGCACACCCACCTCTGTATCCAAATGTCTGCAGAATTCATAGGCGCCAGTGTCTAGAGACAGACTCTGTCTCCTTTTCTTTCTTCTTTCTACCTCCTACTCTCCCTGCTGAAGTCTGTTGTTGTCTTATCCCCAGCCGGAAGCCCCCCTCTGTCACAGGGCCAACTTCCCGGCCACTTGTTCCCCTCCAGCTGCTGCTCCTGCAGGCCCAGCCAACTCCTATTTCCATAGCAACCAAAACTCATTTTTCCATTTCTGCCTTTCTACTTTGGAAGGAAAGCCATAAGTCTTTTTTTTTTTTTATAATTGGGATCCCTGCAATATTTTTTTCCAATTTAAAAAATACATGTAAAATTTATCACCATAACTTTTTTTTTTTTTTTTTTGAGGCAGGGTCTTGCTCTGTTGCTCAGGCTAGAGTACAGTGGTGTAATCATATAGCTCACTGTAGCCTCTAACTCCTGGGCTCAAGCGACCCCCAACCCCACCTCACCCCACCCCACCATGCCTGGCTAACTTTTTAATTTTTTGTAGAGACAGGGTCTCAATATGTTGCCTGGTCTCGAACTCCTGGGTTCAAGCAATCCTCTTGCCTCAGCTTCCCAAAATGCTGGGATTATAGGTATGAGCCACTATGCCCAGCCTATAACTTTTTATTTTTTTATTTTTTTTATTTTTTTTTGAGACAGAGTCTAGCTCTTTGCCCAGGCTACAGTGCAGTGGCACAATCTTGGCTCACTGCAAACTCCACCTCCCGGGTTCAAGCAATTCTCCTGCCTCAGCCTCCTGAGTAGCTGGGACTACAGGCGCCTGCCACCACGCCCAGCTAATTTTTGTATTTTTAGTAGAGACGTGGTTTCACCATGTTAGCCAGGCTGGTATTGAACTCCTTACCTCAGGTGATCCACCCGCCTCGGTCTCCCAAAGTGCTGAGATTATAGGCTTCAGCCACCACGCCCGGCCATCCCTATAACCATTTTCATATCTATGGTTCTGTGATATTAAATATATTCATAGTGATGTGTAACCATCACCACTATCCATCTCTAGAATTCCTTTCATCTTGTAAAACTAAAACTCTGTACCCGTTAAACACTAACTTTCTATTTTCGCCTCCCCGTAGCCCTGGCAACAGCCAATCTGCTGTGTGTCTCTATGAATTTGACTACTCTGAGTGCCTCATACCAGTGGAATCAGATAGTATTTGTTTTTGGTGACTGGCTAATTTTACTTAGCGTGATGACCTCAAGGTTCATCCGTGTCGTAGCCTATGTCAGCATTTCCTTCCTTTTAAGGCTGAATACTATTCCACTGTATATGTTTATGTACCACAGTCTTATCCATTTGTCTGTTGATGTTCACTTGGATTGCTTCTACCTCTTGACTGTTGTGAATGATGCTGCTATGAATGTGAATGTACAAATATCTCTTTGAGACTCTGTTTTCAATATTTTTGAATATATATCCAGAAGTGGAACTGCTAGATCATATGGTAATATGGTTTGGCTCTGTGTCCCCACCCAAATCTCATCTTGAACTGTATTCCCATAATTCCCACCTGTGGTGGGAGCGGCCCAGTTGGAGATAATTTGAATCATGGGATGGTTTCCTCAGTACTGTTCTCGTGGTAGTGAATAAGTCTCATGAGATCTGATGGGTTTATCAGGGGTTTTTGCTTTTGCATCTTTCTCATTTTCTCTAACTGCTGCCATGTAAGAAGTGCCTTTTGCCTCCCACCATAATTCTGAGGCCTCCTCAGCCATGTGGAACAATTAAACCTCCTTTTCTTCCTAGTCTCATGTATGTCTTTATCAGCAGTGTAAAAACAGACTAATACAGTAAATTGGTACCAGTAGAGTGGGGCGCTGCTGAAAAGATACCCAAAAATGTGGAAGCGACTTTGGAACTGGGTAATAGGCAGAGATTGGAACAGTTTGGAGGGCTCAGAAGAAGACACGAAAATGTGGGAAAGTTTGGAACTTCCTAGAGACTTGTTGAATGGCTTTGACAAAATACTGATAATGATATGGACAATGAAATCGAGGCTGAGGTGGTCTCAGATAGAGTTAAGGAACTTGTTGGGAACTGGAGCAAAGGTGACTCTTCTTTATGTTTTAGCAAAGAGACTGGTGGCATTTTGCCCTTGCCCTAGAGATTTGTGGAACTTTGAAATTGAGAGAGATGATTTAGGGTATCTGGTGGAAGATATTTCTAAGCAGCAAAGCATTCAAGAGTTGACTTGGGTGCTGTTAAAGGCATTCAGTTTTAAAAGGGAAGCAGAGCATAAAAGTTCAGAAAATTTGCAGCCTGACAATGCAATAGAAAAGCAAATCCCATTTTCTGAGGAGACATTCAAGCAGGCTGCAAAAATTTGCATAAGTAATGAGGAGCTGAATGTTAATCCCCAGGACAATGGAGAAAATGTCTCCAGGAAATGGCAGAGACCTTTGCGGCAGCCTCTCCCATCACAGGCCCAGAGGTTGAGGAGGAAAAAATGGTTTTGTGGATAGGCCCCAGGGTCCCCATGCTGTGTGCAGTCTAGGGACTTGGTGCCCTGCATCCCAGCCACTCCAGCCGTGGGTGAAAGGGGTCAATGTAGAGCTTGGGCCATGGCTTCGGAGGGTGCAAGCACCAAGCCTTGGCAGCTTCCATGTGGTGTTGAGCCTGTGGCTGCACAGAAGTCAAGAACTGGGGTTTGGGAACCTCCGCCTAGATTTTAGAAGATGTATGGAGACGCCTGGATGCCCAGGCAGAAGTTTGCTGCAGGGTGGGGCTCTCATGGGAACCTCTGCTAGGGCAGTGCAGAAGGGAAATGTGAGGTTGGAGCCCCCACACAGAGTCCCTACTGGGACACTGCCTAGTGGAGCTGTGAGAAGAGGGCCACCATCCTCCACACCCCAGAATGGCAGATCCAACTTGCATCGTGTGCCTGGAAAAGCCACAGACAACACCAGCCTGTAAAAGCAGTGGGGAGGGAGGCTGTATCCAGCAAAGCCAGAGGGGCAGAGCTGCCCAAGGCCACAGTAACCCACCTCTTGCATCAGTGTGACCTGGATATGAGACCTGGAGTCAAAGGAGATCATTTTAGAGCTTCAAAATTTGACTGCCCTGATGGATTTCAGGCTTGCATGGGCCCTGTAACCCCTTTGTTTTGGCCAATTTCTCCCATTTGGAATGGCTATATTTACCTAATACCTGTACCCCCATTGTATCTAGGAAGTAACTAGCTTGCTTTTGATTTTACAGGCTCATAGACAGAAGGGACCTGCCTTGTCTCAGAAGAGACTTCGGAATGTGGACTTTGGGGTTAATGCTGAAATGAGTTAAGACTTTGGGGGACTATTGGGAAGGCAAGATTGGTTTTGAAATGTGAGGTCATGAGATTTGGAGGGGCCAGGGGCGGAATGATATGGTTTGGCTCTGTACCCCCACCCGAATTTCATCTTGAATTGTACTCCCATAAATCCCATGTGTTGTGGGAGGGACCCAGTGGGAGATAATTTGAATCATGGGGGCGGTTTCCCCCATACTGTTCTCTTGGTAGTGAATAAGTCTCACGAGATCTGATGGTTTTATTCCGGGGGTGGGGGGTTCTGCTTTTGCATCTTCCTCATTTTCTCTTGCTGCTGCTACATAAGAAGTGCCTTTTGCCTCTCGCCATGATTCCGAGGCCTCCCCTGCCATGTGGAACTGTAAGTCCAATTAAATCTCTTTTCCTTCCCAGACTCACATATGTCTTTATCAGCAGCATGAAAATGGACTAATACATATGGTAATTTCATTTTTAATCTTTTGAGGACCTGACGTACTGTTTTCCCCACAGGTATAGCTTTTTTACATTCCCACCAGCAGTGCACAAGGATTCCCATTTCTCCACGTCCTCACCAACACTTGTTATTTTCTGTTTTTTTCAGAGTAGCCATCTTAATGGTGTGAGTGGCATCTCATTATAGCTTTGATTTCCATTTCCCTAATAATTAGCGATGTCAAGCATCTTTTCATGTGCTTATTGGCCGTTTATATATCTTCTTTGGAGAAATATCTATTCAAGTCCTTTGCCCATTTTGAATCACGTTTGTTGTTGTTGAGTTGTAGGAGTTCTCTGTATCTTCTGGCTATTAATCCTCCATCAGATATATGATTTATAAATATTTACTTCTATTTCTGGGTTGTCTTTTTACTCTGTTGATATTGTCTTTTTATGAACACATTAAAAAATTTTTCATAACATCCAATTTTTAAAAAAAAATTATTTTAATTAGGCTGGGTGTGATGGCTCTCGCCTGTAATCACAGCACTTTGGGAGGCCAAGACAGGCAGATCACTTAAGGTCAGGAGTTCGAGACCAGCCTGGCCAACATGGCAAAACCCCATCTCTACTAAAAATACAAAAATTAGTCAGGCATGGTGGCAGGCGCCTATAATTCCAGCTACTCAGGAGGCTGAGGCAGGGAAATCGCTTGAACCCAGGAGGCAGAGGTTGCAATGAGCCGAGATCATGCCAGGGCACTCCAGCCTGGATGACAAGAGTGAAACTCCATGTCAAAAAAAAAGAAAAGCAAAGAAAAGAAAAAATATATATATATGTATAAATTTGCTGGGCATGGTGGTGCATGCCTGTAGTCCCAGCTACTTGGGAGGCTAAGACAGGAGAATCACTTGAACCTGGAGGTGGAGGTTGCAGTGAGCTGAGATCATGCCACTGCACTCCAGCCTGGGCAACAGAGTGAGACTCTATCTCAAAAACAAAAACAAAAGCAAATTTTAATTAATTAATTTTTGTTTGCTAATTTAAAAAATGTATTTATTTATTTATTTATTTTTACAAGCAAGGTCTCAGTGGCAGGATCACAGCTCACTGCAGCCTTGAACTCCTAGGCTCAAAGAATCCTCCCACCTCAGCCTCCTGAGTAGCTGGGACTACAGGTGCATGCCACCAGGCCCAACTAAGTTTATTTGTTTTGTTTTGTTTTTGAGATGGAGTCTCACTCTGTTGCCCAGGCTGGAGTGCAGTGGCATGATCTTGGCTTGCTGCAACCTCCGCCTCCTGGGTTCAAGCAATTCTCCTACCTCAGCCTCCTGAGTAGCTGGGATTACAGGTGTGTGCCACCACGCCTAACTAATTTTTGTATTTTTAGTAGAAACAGGGTTTTCCCATGTTGGCCAGTCTGGTCTCAAACTGCTGACCTCAGGTGATCCGCCTGCCTTGGCTTCCCAAAGTGTTGGGATCACAGGTGAGAGCCACTGTGCTTGCCCATTTTTTTTTTTAATATATAAAATTTTATTTTTTAAATTCATTTTTTTTTGTTTGAGATGGGGTCTCGCTCTGTCGCCCAGGCTGGAGTGCAGTGGCGTGATCTCGGCTCACTGAAAGCTCTGCCTTCTGGGTTCATGCCATTCTCCCACCTCAGCTTCCTGAGTAGCTGGGACTACAGGCACCCGCCACCACGCCCAGTTAATTTTGTTTTTGTATTTTTAGTAGAGACGGGGTTTCACCATGTTAGCCAGGATGGGCTCTGTCTTCTGACTTCGTGATCCGCCTGCCTCAGACTCCCAAAATGCTGGGATTACAGGTATGAGCCACCGCGCCCAGCCTAAAATTTTATTTTTAAAGTATATATTTAAGGGGCACAATGTACGTTTACAATATGTAATGATTAA
Source organism: Homo sapiens (assembly GCF_000001405.40). Classification (NCBI taxonomy): domain Eukaryota; kingdom Metazoa; phylum Chordata; class Mammalia; order Primates; family Hominidae; genus Homo; species Homo sapiens. The sequence goes on from NC_000016.10 coordinate 53,077,693, forward strand.
ATCAGGCTAGTTGATGAATTCAGTACCTCACACACTTATCTTTTTTTGAGGTAAAACATTTGAAATCTACTTCTTCGGCAATTTTGAAATATGCAATGCGACCCAGTGCAGTGGCTCACCCCTGTAATTCTAACACTTTGGGAGGCCAAGTCAGGTGGATCACTTGAGGTCAGAGTTCAAGATCAGCCTAGCCAACATGGCAAAAATCCCGTCTCTACTAAAAATACAAAAATTAGCCAGGCATGGTGTTGCTCATCTGTAGTCCCAGCTACTTGGGGAGCTGAGGCAGGAGAGTCGCTTGAACCGGGGAGGTGGAGGTTGCAGTGAGCTGAGATTGCACCACTGCACTCCGGCATGGGCAACAAAATGAAACCATGTCTCAGAAAAGGAAAAAGAGAAAAAAATATATATATACAATGCATTTTTATTTATTATAGTCACCATTCTGTCCAATATATCACTTAAGTTTATGTCTCCTGTGTAACTGAAACTTTGTACTTGCTATGGTTTGAATGTTCCCTCCAAAAGTGGTGTTGAAATTTAATTGCCATTGTGACAGTATTATAAGGTGGGACCTTTAAGAGGTGATTAGGTCATAAGAGTAGAGGCCTCTTGAATTGATTCATGATGTTTTCACAGGAAGGGGTTAGTTATCTTGGGAGTGAGGAGGATGAAGTTCGGCCCTGTTTCCCTTTCTGTCTCTTGCACTTACTTGCCATTCCACCTTCTGCCACCTGATGACACAGCACAAAGGTCGTCTCAAGGTGCTGGTGGTATGCCATTGGACTTCCCAGCCTCCAGAGCTATGAGCCAAATACATTTCTGTTCATTGTAAATTACTAGTCTGTAGTATTCTGTTATAGCAACATAAAACAGACTAAGTATTATTTGATCATGTCTACTTTTTTTCTTTTCCTGCCTGTGCCCATAATAATCTTTTAAAAGAAAATAAAATGAGCCACATCTGGCATAGTCAACTTGGACTATACAGAATTCCTAGCTCCCCAACTCCCTTGGTCCCTTAAAGACCCTTACTGCTTCCCTCCCCACTTCCATTCCCCTAACTCCTCATGGCTCCTGGCCCAGAAGCAGATTTGAGGAGAAGTCTGTGTGGGTCCTTTCTCCCCTTAAATTAATGCAAGATAACATTGTGCTTTGCCAATTCAGAGAAAAGCAAGAGGTCTGAGGCACTGTTAACATTGTATCAGGTGATGCTAACCAGCATCACCAGAGTTATCTGCTTATTTACCCGCCTCCTGCCTGCAGAGGTCAGAGGTTGCCTGAATATGGCATTATGTCGTCTTTGAAAGTGAAGCTCCCACTCTGCAGCTCCTGGGAAGCATAAATCCTAGGTTGGTTCAGCAAGATTTGATGACCATACTTTCAGTATGGTTGTTTGGCTAGCGTTATACATACAGGAGCCTTGGAGTATGAAGGGACCTGGGAAAGCTTTTCCTTCTCGTACCCCTCAAAAGATTTTCCTACTGGTCTGGTCCATCTTTGGTGGCAAAACTTCCACCATTGGCTGTTCATGCCATTGGGCTCCCAGATTGCTTTCTATTAAAACTGCAAAATGCATGGTAAGCTGTGGTCAGCTTGGATACCTCCACCCCTAGAGCTGTATATTGCACACGTTAAGTGCTCACACAATGTTTGTTGGATTGAACCAATGACTTAGCATAAAATGCTTCAACAGATGACGTTCTAATCTGACATCTGGCCAGAAACACTTCTAGAACTGAGTTATGTTTAGGCACTGTGGTATAATACAAAAATATATTTGGTCTTTGTCTCTGGTTCCTGGTACACAGCTCCTACATCCCTGGGAATTTTCTGAATGGTAGGAATATCTTTTGTTATTCATAATAAGCCCCTTTCCATTATACCTCAGTTTATGTTAGTGGGGTGTCTTTTGGTTGGAATCCTAGATAGCCTCAGGGTATGGCTGGTCACCAAAAAGACCACACTGGAACTTTCAGTACCACCTACTGACCAGCCCCTCGAAAGGGGCTGGGGGTGCAATGCTGGAGACTAAGCTCTATGAAAACTCTTGAACAATGAGATTTGAGGAGCATCTGGGTTGGTGAACACTTGGAAGAACTAGGAAGGTGGTGCTCCCAGAGAGAGCATGGAAGCTCTGTCTAGCCCCACCATACCTTGCCCTCTGCATCTCTTCATCTAGCTGTTTCTGACTTGTGTCTTTATAGTAAACTGGTAAACATAAGGAAAGTGTTTCCCTGCATTCTGTGAGCTTTCTAGCAAATTATTGAATCTGAGGAGGGGGGCATGGGGACCTCCTGAATTTATAGCTGGTTGGTCAGAAGTCCCAGAGATCCGGGACCTTCAACTGGCATCTGAAGTGGGAGCAATCTGTGCAACTAAGCCCTTAACCTGTGGAATCTCCAGGTAGTTAGTGTCAGAATTGAATTGCATTATAGGACACCAGCTGGTGTTGGAGAATTGGTTGGCATGGGGGAAAAGACCCACACATTTGTTAACAGAAGTATTCTGTGGGCAGAAACAGATCTTAGGAGACATATTTTGGCAAGAAGGGTTTTTTTCTTTTTTTTATTAACCACTTTTTCTGGTTATCCCTTCCCTGTAGCCTACTCACACGCCCATCAACATGGATAACTGAGAGGCATACGCAAGGTGCGGCAATCAGTTTCTAGTACAGCAGTTTGTTATTACAGTTGCTCAAGAAATATGTGTGCTGGGAAAATAAGGAGTGTCACTCTACACCTCCAAGGGGGAGACAGTGTTTGTCTAAACACAGGTCTTTGTCTCTACAACATGCTACCCCACCCACCCCTGCTGCCCAAGTAAGCTGGGCTTTTTGAGTCATTCGTGATGTGTTTTTGAACACAACGAGGGGGAAGAGCTCCCACAGTCTGTTCAGTTCTTGCTACAAGAAATACAAGCTGGGTTTGACTGAATGACAAAAAGAAATCTGTTGAGCCAGGAAGCGTAGTAAATACCGTGACTCTCTGCAAATGCGCACAGCCCAAACAGCTTTTTCCAGTCTGGAAAAATGAAGAGATTTGTCTGTGCAAAAACCAGCCAAGTCTCCACCCCTCTCCCTTTCTACTCCTCCACCCCCACCTCCTGGCTAGGCCTTCCACCCTGCCCCAGACATTCAGTCATCAGCTTTCATCCTCTGTGACTTGCATTGCCCCAGGAAATAACATGCCCGGCTCTGGGGAGATACACCAGCCTCTCCCAAGCATCTTTCAGGGATGTCTGTCTGGTTGGGTTTTGCCAGTCATCTCTGACCTTGGCCAGTGCTGGCTCACAGCAAAGTTATTCATTACGCAAAGTGGGTCTGGTGTCTTATTCCTTGTTTATTCCCTTCCTTCTCCTTCCCACTCCAGTCTTCCCCCTTTTGCTTTGAAAGAAGCTTTGTCCCATCCCTACTTCCATCAGGCAGTGTTTAGAGAGAAGATTTGCCAAAGATGAGATTTTAAAAGCATTTGCTCTCAGCTAGTACAGGGCATGGAGGCAGGATGGAAAATCTCCCAGGGACTGTCAAAGGCAACCAGTTCAGGACAGTCTTTGGTGGATACAGAGTTTCTAGATGGGAGGGACTTACAGGGAGAATCTGGTTCTGCACCTTGTCTTAAAGATACATTTGCATAACAACTATGCAGTTTTCTCTTTGATGGTATGTTTTGGGAGGTGGTAGCTGGCAAAGACTATGGGGCAATAAAGCACCCACCCAAACCACTGGAGCAGTGGAGACAACACATCAAACCTGCAGTTCATTGTATTGGGAAGGGCACTGGAATTGGAATCAGAATTTCCATGAGTTTGAACCCTGGCTCCTATGAGTAGGCGTGTCTTATTCACCACTCTATCCACAGTGCCAAGCACAATCCTGCCAACAGCAGGTCAGCAGGTGCTCTTTTTTCCCCTCAAGTTGGGGGTTTGCCCTGTTGCCCAGGCTAGAGTGCAGTGGCATGATAGTGGTTCACTGCAGCCTCAAACTCCTGGGCTCAAGCAATCCTCTTACCTCAGCCTCCCAAGTAGCTGGGACTACAGGTGCATGCCACCATGCTTGGCTAATTAAAAAAAAATTTTTTTTTGTAGAGATGGTGTTTCACTATGTTGCCCAGGCTGGTAAGTGATCTGTTTATATTTGTCAAGTTTGTGAATGAATGAATGAATGAATGAATGAATGAATAAACCAATAACCTTGGATACTTTTCCTCTTTGAGCCTCAGTTTTCTCCTCTATAAAAACAATATTTAAAAAAGTCTAACACCTACTCTGCCTACCTCACCAGGTTAGTGTGTATGTGTGTGTGTGAGAGAGAGAGAAAGAGAAAGAACAAAATGTATGAATGTTCTTTGTCTCCTGCGCACTGGAATTTAAAAGTCACTTTGTCTCAGGCTCTGTGCTTTAACCTTGGTGTTGGTGTTCCATATCAGGAGGAAGGACTATTTTCCAGTGTCTGGTAAACACTTAGTTCTCCATCCTGTATTCTAAGTATCTTAAGGACAGGAGAACATTTTATTTATTTATTTATTTATTTATTTATTTATTTATTTATTTATTTATTCATGTATGTCAGCATCTTGCCCTGTCATCCATGCTGGAGTGCAGTGGCGTGATCTTGGCTCACTGCAGCCTCAACCTTCCCTGCTCAAGCCATCCTCCCACCTCAGCCTCCTGAGTAGCTGGGACTGCAGGCCTTTGCCGCCACACCCAACTAATTTTTATATTTCTTTGGGTAAAGACAGGGTTTCATCATGTTGCCCAGTCTTGTCTCAAACTCTTAGGCTCAGGTGATCTTCCCACCTCTGCCTCCTGAAGTGTTGGGATTACAGGCATGAGCCACTGCACCCAGCCTATTTTAAATGCTTTTAACCGATTGGTTTAAATTTGAGAACAAAGAATTTTAAGGTTCTCAGCCTCAGCTTATAGCCACTGCCCTGTTGGTCCCTTACTTGGCCCCAGAACCCTGGAAACCTTCCCAGGACAGAGCTTGCCTTACTTCCAACCACAGATCTTCATCAGGTGCAGGAGGAATTCGACCTTCAGATCTTTGCCCATGCACTTGGCTCTGCCTGAAGCATTCTCTTTGCTTTTTACCCGTCCAATTCCAGCACATCCTTCAGATCCCAGGTTAGACTCCCTTCTTCCAGGATACGTTCCCAGCTCCTCTCTGCCCTGTCAGGTAAGCTTCCTCCTCCATGCCCTCCCTCTTTGTGTCCTCTATCTGAGTGCTCACCCTGCTGAACTGTGGTTTCCCATCAGTCGTCTGCCTCCCTTTTAAACTGTGGCCCCCTGAGGACTATGATTGTGTCTTCCTTGTTCATTGATGTAACCTTGGTACATATCACAGTGCCAGGTACCAAGAGGATATTCTACAAATAGGCATTGATTAAGTGACTGGCAACAGTGTGTTGAGGAGATGGGAGAGAGGGTGACAAATCACAAAGGTCCCCATAGGAGGGTATTGTATTTCCTGAAGTATGAGAAACAACACTTCCACCAAAATGGCTTGCATAGCTAAGGATGCAAAGCTTTGGTGCATAACTTGCATAAACTAAGGATGCAAACACACCCCCAGACATTCCTGGACACACCCTACTGTAGGCAGTCATTCATTTAACACACTTGCCCTTGCTCTGAAATTTCTCCTCTTATCGTCTCCTTCCACTCATCTTTCTCATTTCCTGTATAAGGGAATTGCAAGACTAAAAGAATCTAACTGGCAGCAAAAAGATAATGCCAGAGAAAGAGATTATATTGCCACACCTTTGCTTAAGGTTTTTTCCCCTCTTTCTCTGCCTGTTAGATTTCTGCACCATTCCATTGTAAGGAAATTCTACTTATCTTTATTATGGACAATTCCTGAAGACACCTGAACTTTGAAAAATAGCTTAGTATGTGGTTCTGCCCACTCTTTGGAGTCCTGCCAAAGGTGTCTTTCAGCAAATAGCCCCCAACTCCGTGCCTCAGTTTCCCTCTTTTCTCTCACAGAGATGAGAAACAGAAGTTGTCCTTGAAACTTTTTTTTGAAAATAAAAGCGCCCCCACCCCCCGACTTCTTTGTTTTATTTTTAACAAAATAAAACCTGTCTCTCACTCTGTCACCCAGGCTGGAGTGCAGTGGCATGATCATAGCTCACTGTAGCCTTGAACTCATGGCCTCAAGCGATCCTCCCACCTCAGCTTGCCAAGTAGCTAGGACTACAAGTGTGCATCACTATGCCCAACTAATTTTTTTTTTTAATTGAGATAGGGTCTCACTTTGTTGCCCAGCCTGGGGTCTCAAACTCCTGGCTCAAATGATCCTCCCGCCTCAGCCTCTTAAAGTTCTGGGATTACAAGCGTGAGCCACCCGCACCCAGCCCTGACTAATTTTTGAATTTTTTTGTAGAGGTGAGGTCTCACTATGTTGCCCAGGCTGGTCTTGACTCCTGGTTTCAAGCAATCCTCTTGCCTTGGGCTCCCAAACTGCTGAGATTACAGGTGTGAGCCACCGCACCAGTAGAAGAGCTCCTTAAATATGCAGTTACTTGCTGGTCATGACCATGGAATGTGAAGGAAAGGAAGGTGTCACTTAATTCTTCTATGGGCAGGTGAATTTTAAGTTCTTAAGGTTGACTCAAATGTGGTCAGAGACTCAAGTGAAAACTTGCCCTACCCAAAGAAAGAGTCCTGAACTGGCCTTGAAGAGGAGGAGGATTTCTGAAGCAGTTTAGAGTGTTGTTGGTAAGGACCCAACTGGCAGCAGATACAGCATGATAAAATCACAGAAGCCTGGCAGGGTGCGGTGGCTCATGCCTATAATCCCAGCACTTTGGGAGGCCAAGGCGGGTGGATCATGAGGTCAGGAGATCGAAACGATCCTGGCCAATATGGTGAAACCCTGTATCTACTAAAATACAAAAAATTAGCCGGGCGTGGTGGTAGGCGCCTGTAGTCCCAGCTACTTGGGAGGCTGAGGCAGGAGAATGGCTTGAACCTGGGAGGCGGAGGTTGCAGTGAGCTGAGATCACGCCACTGCACTCCAGCCTGGCAACAGAGTGAGACTTCGTCTCAAAACAACAACAGCAACAACAAAATCACAATCACAGAAGCCGGAAAGTGTTTTCTGAGCCCCAGGAACATCAGGCGGTCTTACCCTGTTAGGATGCTGGTCAAGTCTTTCGTGGTATGCCTTCATCTGACCTCCTGGCTTCGTCTGTCCACACCCTCTACCATACTGCAGGCATACAGGACCCACTTCCTAGGTTAGGGTTGCAAACTGGGGGTGCTCGGGTAAACTTGGACTGCTAGACAGGCTTTGTTTGGCTCATAACATCGTCTTTTGCAATACTTTTTACTTAAGTCAATTCCCAAATTGGGAGACTTCACGTAAAATCCAAATCTTCACTTATTTTGGAAAAATAAAAGATCTGGCAACAGAGGGCCACATTCGTCCATAATAGCAATCAGCTAGAGCCAGAAGTGAGTAGCTGCTGCCCCTTTCACAGAGGACTTGCTGTCTCCAGTCCCCACCACTCTGGTCAGCTGCCTTTGATCATCTTTTTTTTTTTTTTTTTTTTTATTTTTTTTAGAGATGAGGTCTTGCTATGTTGCCTAGGCTGGTCTTTTACCACTGGCCTCAAGCAATGTCCACCTAGAGCACTGGGATTACCCCCAGACCCAGCCTGCCTTTGATCATCTTACCCCCCAGGACATTTATGTTGCCTGCTGTGCCTAAAGGCACTTGAGTTTCCTGACATCTGCCTTGGGGAGGACCTTCTATCCCCTGGGCTCCTGGTACATCACACACCCTTCCTCCCTGCCCCCATTGATGCTGATTTATCCAGTATTCTGGGGCTGGGGGCTGGGTTCTTTCTGCTTTCAAGGGGATAAGTTCCCATTCCATAAAGACACACAAGGCCACAGGCTAAGGAACAGGCAGGGACCTGTTCTTTGCTTCCCAGATAACACACACCCGCTTTAGCAATAACCTTCTGGGAATCATGCCCGTGACTTTTCTTTTTTCTATTCCATTAGTGATTTTCAAAGAGGAAGTTTCAGTCAGATAAAAGGAGCAGATGGCACTGTACGAGGCCTCCTGCCGGGTAAATATTTTGGAGGAGCCAGGGCTTTTCTGTGAGTTGCTCCTCTTGCCTGGTAAGCTTTGATTTCCCAGGTTATTGAGGTGTGTTCTCCTAAGGAAGGAATCAGGCCTTACTTAACCTTGATAATTAAAATCACTGTTCTCATTGCCCTTCCTTCATAAACAAGGAAATTGGAACAGAGCTAAGAGAAGATTTTTCATGCAGTTTAGGAAAGAATGAGCAATGGAAAAAGGAAATTGAGAGCTTTGGGGAGTTTATAGCAGAGAGCATTTGAGTTTGAAATAGGAGCTGAGAATCCATATGTTTGAGAGGAAAGAAAAGAAAAGAACAGCCACATGCCCAGAGCTTCAAGGGGACGTGCGGAAATTGTTATAGGAAAGGGGGCAGGGAGGCCCACGTGGGTCTCCCTTTATCAGACCCAGATGTTCAGGCAACGGTTCTCAAGATGCCCATGAAAAGGTCTAGAGTCTGCTGAGCTAGACTCACTGTTTTCTTAACTACCAAGAGGCACATGAAATCAGTGGCCTGGAGCTTTCCACCGTGTGCTCAATGGTTCCCTGAGGCCCTCCTGGGGTCTGTGCCGCACCAATTATACACAGACTGGGCTGCCTTAGGGCAGGACTTGAAAGTGAATAGGACTGACTGGCTCACTGGGTAACTGTCCCTGCCTGTCAGCCCCTGCCAAACAGAGGCTGCCAAACCTCCCTCTGTTGCCTCCCGCCCCAGACTAACCTTGGAAGGCAGGAGACATTGGAAGGTCCAGGTTCAGCTCTCAATTCCACCTGGCATAAATGACTTAGCTTCTCTGAGCCTCAGTGTTGGTGTCTTTAAAATGAGGAAAAAAATCATTTGTGAGGTGCATATAAGATATGTGTGAAAGGGCTCTACAAAGAAGAAAGCACAAAATGTTTTTTATTATTCATTATCCTTTTAAAAATTACTAACAAAAATTTCAAATAAATGCTCAGGTAGGCGGAATGAACCCTCATAACCCAGCTTCAAGAATTATCAACTCATGGCCAATTTTATTGTATCTATATCTCCACCCACTTTCTCCATCCCTGTGTTATTTTGAAGCAAATCCCAAATATTCTATTATAGTATCTTACTATCAAATGTATACAGCTGACTTGCTCCCTCAACCAATGGAAACTTACCCAATCTTCAGGTGTCCCTTTCTGCACCCCTTTTCCCTTCCAGGGGGCCACACCTCCTATCCCCACCATGCACCTGGTGCCCTAAACCTTCTCAAATCCATTATTACTACGAAACTGTCATCACTGATAGTAGCTCAGGTTGTAAGCCCTGGGAAGCCTGAGATGTATTTGCATTTTATCAGGCCCCATTGTCTTTAGAGAGAAGAGTGACTTCTAACAAGTAAACTATGAAGTATCACTCTCTAGAAGTAGCAGGAGGTGGTGAGCCATTAAGGGCCCTCCAAACCCTTGACACCAAGCATAAGCTCTATAGGAATTGGCTGAGTTCCTCCTCCTGTTGGTGCTTTTCTTCCAGGGAGAGGGCACACGGAGCAGAGAACACCGGTGAATTATGTCCTCTCAGCCTCTGACTGCAGGGGAATCAGGGCTCTCCTCTCCTGGCAGATGCTCTACTGCTGACTTGAAGTCTGTGACTAAGCTGTGAATATGAGACTCGGGTCTATTCCCAAGTCCTCATGCAGTGGATAGGATGCAAGCTCCAAAAGCCAGGAGACTTGATTCAAATCCTGCCTCCACTATTTATATCACATAGCTTCTCTGTGCCTCACTTTCTCTTCCTTATCTGTAAAGCAGGGGTTACAATACTTACTTCACAGTTGTTGAAAGGATCGTTATGAGATAATGTCATATTCCTTAGGATTCTTTTGGTAGCAGGTGATAGAAAATCCAATTCAAGACTGGACACAGTGGCTCATGCCTGTAATCCCAGCACTTTGGAAGGCCAAAGCAGGAGGATCACTTGAGGTCAGGAGTTCGAGACCAGCCTGGCCAACATGATGAAACCTTGTCTCTACTAAAAATACAAAAATTAACCAGGCATGGTCGTGGGCGCCCATAATCCCAGCTACTCGGGAAGCTGAGGTAGGAGAATCACTTGAATCCAGGAGGCTGAGTTTGCAGTGAGCCGAGATCATGCCATTGCACTCCAGCCTGGGCAACAGAGCAAGAGTCTGTCTCAAAAAAAAAAAAAAATAGAAATCCAATCCAAGATACTTTTGAGCAAAACAGGAGTGCAGGGGCTCATCTTAAGATGAAAATTCCAAGGATGGACATGATGGATTTGGAGTTCAAATGTTAGAGCGGGACTCTCCTTACGTCTTGGCTCCATATTCTGTCTTTTAACTTTAGTCTTGGGTTAATGTAACAAGCTGACAGCATCAGTTCTAGCCCCTATATCCTTTCAGGTCTGGGGTCAGAGAGATTCTGACAAAAGTCTCATTGACCCTGATTGGGTCCCATGAGCATCCCTGAAACAATCACTGTAATCAAGGAAAATGACATGCACTTTGTTTTTTTTTTTTTTTTGAGATGGAGTCTCGTTCTGTCGCCCAGGCTGGAGTGCAGTGGCGCGATCTCAGCTCACTGCCAGCTCCGCCTCCCAGGTTCATGCCATTCTCCTGCCTTAGCCTCCCGAGTAGCTGGGACTACAGATGCCTGCCACCACGCCTGGCTAATTTTTTTGTGTTTTTAGTAGAGACGGGGTTTCACTGTGTTAGCCAGGATGGTCTCGATCTCCTGACCTCCTGATCCACCCTCCTCGGCCTCCCAAAGTGCTGGGATTACAGGCTTGAGCCACCGCGCCCGGCCAACATGCACTTATTTACTTGAGCTGATGTCACTGCATCTATAGGGACTGAGAGAGCAGGAGGAGTGGTTCATTACAGGGCATTGCAGGGGTGTTGGGCATGGTTACCCAAATGAAGGTGAGGCCAGGCATAGTGGCTTATTCCTGTAATCCTAACACTTTGGGAGGCCAAGGCAGGAGGATCGCTTGAGGCCAGGAGTTAGAGACCAGCCTGGGCAACATAGTGAGACCCTGTCTTTACAATAAAAATTAGCTCAGCCGGGCGTGGTGGCTCACACCTGTAATCCCAGCACTTTGAGAGGCTGAGGCAGGCGGATCATGAGGTCAGGAGTTCGATACCAGCCTGGCCAATATGGTGAAACCCCATCTCTACTAAAAATACAAAAATTAGCTGAGCATGGTGATGCGTGCCTGTAGTCCCAGCTACTCAGGAGTCTGTGGCAGAAGAATCGCTTGAACCTGGGAGGCGGAGGTTGCAGTGAGCCGAGATCGTGCCACTGCACTCCAACCTGGGTGACAGAGTGAGACTCTGTCTCAAAAAAAAAAAAATAATAATAATAATTAGCCAGCCATGGTGGCGTGCACCTGTAGTCCCAGTTACTTGAGAGGCTGAGGCAGGTGGATCACTTGAGCCCGGGAGGTCGAGACTGCAGTGAGCTATGATGGTGCCACTGCACTCCAGCCTGGGTGACAGAGTGAGATACTGTCTCAAAAAAACAAAACAAAACAAAAGAAAATGAAGTTGAATAGATACTAATGGCAAAACTGAAGGTGCTTGCTATAAATGCTTTGTAAGTCCTCAGGCACATTATTGAAGATCATAAAACAATAATTCCCTTCTCCTATCTCATGGAGCATTTTTTATTCCTTTTCAAATAAGTTTCACATATTTAATATCTTTGAGCTTCATAACAGTCCTATGAGACAAACAGGAGTACAGGTATTGTCTTCCCATTTTTACAGATGAGGAAATCAAAGCACAGAGCAGGTGAGGACTTTGCCCATGGTCAACATGGCAAGGTAGTGTGGACTGTGCTTAGAGTCACACAGAGACACAACTGGCTCTGAATTCCCTGGCAGATCCACTGGGACTGGAAACTAGGACATTTAGGGTATGGGTTAATCAAGGCCTGCCCTGGGATTTGGATCACCCACCCAGGTTCATTCCTGAGTAAACAGTTTAGACTGATGGCAGTTGAGTATGTCAAGGACCCATTGTTGATGCCCTGGCAGGTGGCAAGGGAAAGAACTGGAAGGAAAGACACTGGCACACGAGGAACACCCTCACATGACTGATCCCCTTTACACCAGGCAGCTGGGTACAAGACTTGGTCTTCCTCGTCCCAGAAAAAAATGCCAATCAAAAATAAAACAAAAAGAAGGGGAGGCCACGCTGGTTGCAGGGCTGGTTCCTGGACTTCTTTCAAGGGAACTTGATCCTGGAGCCAAGAGCATCCTTTGCCAGGATGTGGAGGGAGAGAAGAATCCCCCAGTCAAATGAGGATGGTTTGGCCAGAGTCTCAGCATCCTCTTAAGTGTTGCTGACATCTCCAAAGAGTCTTCCAAAAACCGGAGTCCCTCCTCTGCCTCCAGGTTCTGAACACATTGAGAAAGAAGACAAAGGAATGGCAGGGAGCCAACATACCACCTTAATTACCACTAAAGCTAGCATGGAGGTTGCAGCTGAGTGTGAGAACAAAATGAGCTTCCTGACCGAGCCTGGGAGAAGGATGGGGCTGAGCTGATCATTCCAGAGAGTCTTCCCAAGTCACCCATTCAGATCAGTCATTCCATTATTGTGGACAGTGAGAGTGAAGATAAAGAGGGGTGTTTAGGAAAAATCTCTCCTTGTGAAAACCAAAAGCAGGAAAACATGTGAGTGTGGCAAGGTATTAATCTCTCTGCACATCAGTCGAGATCTCTTCTTCAGTATAATGGGGATAGTGACAGTGAGGGTTCTGTGGGATCACGTGTATGACGGTCCTGGCATACAGTAATCGCTCAGTAAAGGCTGTTTTTGTGTGCAGTCCAGGTTCATGGCAGGTGGCCTTTCTTTCCTCCCCGGCATGAAGCCCAGGGCCCCAGAGTCCTGCCGGGCTTGTGTATCGCTCTTTCTCTCCAGCTGTAAAAATTCATGAGAATGTGGGTGTGCGGTGGCTTTCCAGTTTCTTGGCTTCTCCCCAGGCTATGTTCTCCCACTTGGGGGCAGGGGGGTGGCAGACATCCTTTTCACAGTGGTGAGTGCCACCCCACCCCAACCCCCATGCCCTGTCCCAGCAGAGTCTGGCTCAAAGTTCAAAGCCAGGGTGGCTTTGTTGAGTAATTTGGTGACATTGCCTGCCTGCCTGCCCACCATGCTCTCACACGCCCATTTGCTAGGCATCTGCTGCCCTGTGTTTTGTGGTGTGGAGGATGGGAACAGCTCACCCCCCCCCGACTGACCGCGGTGAGGCTCAGCTTCCTTCCTCTCCCCCGCCCTTGGGCTCTCAGTCCCACACACAGCCCCACTCAGTGAGGTTTCGGATCTGCTCCCAGGCTGGTTGGCGCTGACTCCATCTGGATCCACACCAACCCCTTCCTCCTGGGGGTTCAGAGTGTTCTTGGAAGGAAGCCTGGGAAGGGAAAGGCCTTCTCCAGCATTCCCCATCCAGTGGTTGGCTGACAGCATAGAACTGAGCTGCCAAGAACGCTGGAGTCAGACAGAACTGAGTTCAAATCCCCGGGTGACCTTGGGCAAGCTGCTCTCTCTGCTTCAGTTTCCTCATCTGTAAAAAATGTGACAGTAACAGGATCTGCCTCCTGGGATGATTGTGAGGATTCAGGGAGATACTAACTGTGATGTCCTCACCCCTACATCTGGCAGGTGGGAAGTGCTTAAGAAATGGTGGCCCTGGAGCCAGGGATCCCCTGCCTTCCCATGGGTGTACTCACAGGGAGGAGGCGAACGCCGTCTCCTTTTGCTCATCCCACCTCCCAAATTAGACCCCTGCCGTAGTTACTCTGACATGACCAAACTGGTTTGGTTTCCTGCAAACTCCTTTTGGACAAGGACTCTGTCTCATTTGTCTTATAACTCCCATGCCTAGTGTGGTCCTGGCACTTACACAGCACTAAATGTTTGGAATAAATAAGTGGAGGATAAAGGAGCAAACGAGTGCCTGGTGGGCAGCATCTGTTCAAGGACTGTTTTCTGAACTCCAGGCAGTTATTTCTGTCCCTTCCATTTTCCCTCTCTCCTTCCTCCCTCCCTCCCTTCCTTCTCTCCTTCCTTCCTTTTGACCTTCCTCTTCAGACCTCCTTTCCTTCTTGCTAAATGGAAAGAGCTTCCTCCTTTCCTTTTCTTGTAATATCCAAGCTGCAAGAGCATCCCTTGAGAGCCCTTCACCCAGCCGAGAGCAGCGATTCCTCTTTCAAATTGAGTCTGTCCCCTGACTCATTCATTAAAATGCATAGGGCATGTGACCAAACTGCATAATGAGTCTCTCATGAGGAAGGCTTGGAGGCAGGGAGATGCTGCCAACTGCAAAGGCAAATACTTCCCCCCCAGCTGTGGATCAGGCTCATTGGCTGTCATACCCTGGGAAGGCTGGGGGCTGCAGTTCATCTCCAGTAAATCAGCCAAGCCCTGGAGAGCTGCAGCCTGGCGCAGGCTGTACGGTCTTGGAAGCTGTGTTGCTTTGGAGAATCCAACCCATGACTTTTCTCAACCTTCTTCCACCCATTTCTAGTTTTTCATTTATTTAAATATACTTTTAACTCCATAGGTGATATGCAAATACATGCTTATCATAAAATATGCAAACATAAAAGAAAACCCCCTTTGATAATGTCTCTGTACTGCTACCTCTCTCGGAGACAAACAACTGTTGTCACTCAGCTCTTTACCTTCCAGGGCCCTTGGGCTGCTGGGTGACAGATGTCCCATGAAGGTGATTTGGGAGCCCAAACACCCTTTTGCCCTCCTGAAGTCCTAGGCCAGTTCTCAGTAAAAACAGTCAACATTCATCTTAAGTGCCTTCTCAGCTCCCTCCCTAGCAAACTCTGTGTCTGTTACGTGTAACCCCTACCCACCCTAAATCCCATCCCTGCAAAAGAACCCCACTCTCCACACTTAGGAAGCAAACAGATAAACTAGATTATTTCCTCATTGGAAATTTAGATTTGACTTTTCCAGAGGCACCTGCACCTTTATTATTATTTATTTATTTATTTATTTATTTAGAGAAAGGATCTCACTTTGTCATCCAGGCTGGAGTGCAGTGGTGTGACCAAGGCTCCCTGCAGCCTCAATCTCTCAACCTTAAGTGATCCTCCCATTTCAGCCTCTCGAATAGCTGGGACTACAGGCGTGCACCACCACACCCAGCTAATTTTTGCATTCTTTGTAAAAATGGGGTCTCACTATGTCGCCAGGGCTGGTCTCAAACTCCTGAGCGCAAGCCATCCTCCTGCCTTTGCCTCCCAAAGTGTTGGGATTACAGGCATGAGCCATTATGCCCTGCTGCATCTGCACTTTAATATTGGATTCTTGAAGAGTGAGAAAGATATCAAAATTCAGTGACTCTCATCATTGCCTCTCAGGCACTAGGGCCACCCCTATGTTCCATTTTTAGGTGGTGAGCCTCTCTGAATCTGCAAATTCATATCACTTTGGTCACAACCTATTCAGCTAGCTATGTGGCCTTAGGAAAATCACTGACTTCTCTGAATCGCATTAACTCATCTGCAGAATGTGAATAACAATAGTACCCCCATTTATTGGGTTGTTGTAAAGCTTAGATGGGATTATCTATTACAGCCCTAAGCACTATGCGTGGCACATAGCCAAGATGCAATTAATGTTAGGGATTATCATCATCATCATTATTTTTACTCTAATCTGTCATAACCCAATTCGCTCATTCAAGAACTATTTATTGAGCACCTGCTATGTGCCAGGCATTGTCCTTGACCCTGAGAGTAGGGCAGTGAAGGAGTCATACAAGGTTCCTGCCTTCTAGGGGCTTACATTCTAGTACAAATGTACCACACCTTTCTGTTTGATAAGCACTTTCTTCCCCATTGTGTCATGTTGTTCTCACTAATGCCTTTCAATCAGGCAAAGGCGGTATGATTGTCCGCATTGTACAGATAGAAAGCTGAGGCTTAGAGAATTAAGCTAACAGAGATAGCTAGAAAGTGGCCAGGTACAACTTGATCTAGGGTCCTCCTGGCTCGTTTCTGTGCTCTCTCATGATGGACACTGATGATTGTTTTGGGGTGAGGGGCATGGAAGCAGCTCTCAGAGCCTTGAGAGCTCTGACCCACCAGCAGAAGCACAAAAGAGAACCAGGGACTGGCTTTGGTTCGATTGCGAGTGTCCCAGTTAGTTCTGTCCATGAAGTCTGTCAATGACTGGGCCTAACAATGTGTGCCTCTGCCCGGTGTCAGCCTTGGGGGCCTGGAGGAGACTTTATCTTAAGGAAAAAGTGCTTGCTTCAGCACATGGCCAGTGGGGCCTGGCTGTGACAGCAGGCAGCTCTGCTGTGGCAGCTCAGCTGTCTGAGAGCACTTCCCCTTGGGTTCCCCGCAGAGCAGGAGAGAAGGTGTCTAGGCCTATGGGCTTGGTGACCAAACTGCATGGTTTCTGGTAGTGTGCCTGGAACTCCTGCTGTGCAAGATTTCCTATATACACCCAGCATCCGCCTAGTCTGGGCTGGGCGGGGCAGGGCTGATCCTGTCTGAGAACACAGGAACTGGAAGTCTGTACCGGGGCAGGTGGCAGGGGCAGGCCTGGCAAAGACCCAGGGAGAGGACACCAAGGGCCAGCCACCGCACAGAGAGACCAGTGACTGAACATGGCTGGGCCGGGGTGTTTCCCAGCCCCGTCACAGTGAAAACTCACCCGTACCCGGTGACCCCAGGTGACAATTCTGAACCTGCAACAGCAGTGCATAACTGATAGTGTCACCTCTGCCTAATCCTCCTGGAAACACACACACACCCTGCTTTATTTCCCGTCTCTCAACACCCTTCCTTATGGGTACTTCATACCAGTCCCAAGAGCAGGCTTTTGTTTACTTTTTCTTTTTTTTTTTTTTTTGAGATGGAGTCTTCCTCTGTCGCCCAGGCTGGAGTGCAATGGTGTGATCTTGGCTCACTGAAACCTCTGCCTCCCGGGTTCAAGTGATTCTCCTCCCCCAGCCTCCTGAGTAGCTGGAATTACAGGCATGCACCACCACACCCCACTAATTTTGTATTTTTAGTAGATACAGGGTTTCGCCACGTTGGTCAGGTTGGTTTTGAACTCCTGACCTCAGGTGATCTGCCCGCCTCAGTCTCCCAAAGTGCTGGGATTACAGGCGTGAGCCACCGCGCCCGGCCTTGTTTTCCTTTTTACTGAATTTAAGTGCTTAGGGTTATTCACAATATTTGACTCATGACATTCTTTCATCTTCAGTTGGACCTTGTGCAACCTGCATCTGGTAATTTGTTATTTATCTGTTTGTGTATTTCCTTATAATACAGTCACTCCACTGCACGTTCTTCCCCTGTGTCCTCCCTTCCTATTACTTTGCCTTCCCCACCCTATTCTGAATATTGAGTTCATCATTCCTTTGCTCCTCTAAAAACTAATGCTTTTTCAAATATTTTTCTAAAAGCCATATTGTTTAGATTTGTTGTTTTTTCTTGTGTAAAGGAATATCCTGGCTAGGCGCAGTGGTTCATACCTATAATATCAGCACTTTGGGAGGGGGAGGCAGGAGGATCACTTGAAGCCAGGAGTTCAAGACCAGCCTGGGCAACACAGCAAGACCCTGTCTCTACAAAAAAATTTTTAAAATGTAGCTGGGCGTGGTGGTGTGTGCCTGTAGTCCCAGCTACTTGGGAGGCTGAGGCAGGAGGATTGCTTGAGCCCAGGAGATTGAGGCTGCAGTGAGCCATGATAGTGCCACTGCACTCCAACTTGGGCAACAGAGCAAGACCCTGTCTCTAAAAAAAAAAATTAAAATTAAAACAAAAAAGAATATCCTGCTATATGCAGCTTTCTTGGGTATACTTTTTTCTCATAATATTATGTGGCTAAAACTCACCCATAGCGTAGCATTCAGCTACGGTCCACTTGTTGTCCCTGCTCTATTGCAGTTCTCCCTAGTATGTTCCATGGGAATTTACTGAATCTCCTGTTAGTGGACATTTGGGTTGTTACCAGCTTTCCATGACTTTGAACACGCTAAGCTGATCATTTTTGTCTGTGTCTCCAGGGAAACAATGTGAATTTATCAATTTACAATCCCAGTAACAACAAACATATAAATATCCAATTGATCTGTGTTCTTTCCAACAATTTGGTATTATCAAGCTTCTTAATTTTTTCCAACTGAAAGGGTATTAAGTGACATCTCATTGTGATCTCTTCATGGTTATTGCCTTTCCAAATATGGTTTACAGTGGTCAGTTGGTGGAGCAGTGGGGGTCATCCTGCAAGGGGACTGTGAAGATTTTTTTTTTTTTTTTTTAGAGATAGGGTCTCTAAAACTCAGGCTGGATTGAGTTCAGTGGCACAATCATGGGTCACTGCAGCCTCAACTTCCTGGGCTCAAGCGATCCTCCCACCTCAGCCTCCCAAAGTGTTGAGATTACCAGCATGAGCCACTATGCCCAGCCAAGACGTAAGGATTTAATGAAGCACAGAATGCTTGCAAAGCCTTTCCCAGTTAGGACCACGTCACTGTCTTATTCAACTTTGGGTCGCCAATACCCAACACAATGCCGGGTACCTCATCATTATTAAACCAACAATATGATAATATTAGGTTGGTGCAAAAATAATTGCGATTTTTGCCATAACATTTATTGAGTGCTTGCTTATTAAGTGCCAGGTGCTATATTAACTGACACCTTTACTTTTATTATTTCATTTAATTATTCTGGAAACTCTATAAGTTAAGTTCTATACTACCCCAATTTTGTAGATGGGAAACTGAAACTAAGTGTCTCTCCCAGAATCACACAAGTAGTAAATGATAGAGCCAGGATCTGAACGCTGGCATCTGACACCTAAGTCCTTAGCTACTATATTATAGGTGCTCAATAAATTCTTGAATGAAATAACTTCACTGTGTTATTCTCTTTCATGTTGCTTATAACCAAACACTTGAAACTGGATAATTGATAAAGAAAAGAAATTTCTTCACAGTTACAGAGGCTGAGAAGTCCCAGGTCAAGGGGTCCTATCTGGTGACAGCCTTCTTGCTTGAGGGGACTCTCTGAAGAGTACTAAGGTGGTCCAAGGTGTCGCATGGTGAGGGGGCTGAGTGTGCTAACATGTTAGCTCAGGTCTTTGTTCTTCTTATAAAGCCATCAGTCCCCACCCATTATAACCCATTAATCCATGAGTGGATTAATCCACTCATGGATTAACCCATTCATTAGGGCAGAGCCCTCATGATGCAAGCACCGTTTAAAGACCACATCTCTCAATACTGCCACATTGGGGATTAAAGTTCAACATGAGTTTTAGAGGAGACAAATATTCAACCCACAGCACCTACCCATAACCAGAGATAGGGTCACATGCCATGGTACTTTTACTTTTTATCTCTTATCAAGTATATTTAAATACACTTACATTTTGATTATAAACATGGCTTAAAGAATTTAACTCAATTTATAATTGGTTATAATTTCTCAGCAATCATGCAGACTTGAGAACTCTCGCTGTGAGAGATATCTAACTCACAGATTATTCTGAAATGCCAATTCCTCCTTTATCAACAATTCCTCTAACCTCGCTCTCCCTTCCTTCCTTCCTTCCTTCCTTCCTTCCTTCCTTCCTTCCTTCCTTCCTTCTTTCTCTTTCTTTCACAGTCTTGCTCTGTCACCCAGGCTGGAGTGCCTGGGTGACGATCATAGCTCACTGCAGCCTCAAACTCCTAGGCTCAAGCAATCAGCCCCCATCAGCCTCCCAAAGCACTGGGATTACAGGCATGAGCCACCGTACCTGGTCTGTTGTGTCTATTATTGACCCACAAGGGCAGAGATATTTGTATGCTTAGTTTTGTCTGTATCTTTAGTGAATTTAGCACTTAATGTGTCCCTAGTACCTGTAACTGTGTGTGGCACAGAGAGGTAACTCAACAAATATTTATTGAATGAAGAAATAAATGCATGCTTGCAGGAATGGATGAATAAGTGAATGAATCAATGAATACTAAATTGAATAGTTAATGAAAATTGACGATATTATTTTGATTTTGTGGTTTTTAAAAATTTTGGAACCAGGCTGGGTGCGGTGGCTCACACTGTAATCCCAGCACTTTGGGAGGCCGAGATGGGTGGATGACCTTAGGTCAGGAGTTCGAGCCCAGCCTGGCCAAAATGGTGAAACCCTGTCTCTACTAAAAATACAAAAATTAGCCAGGTGTGGTGGCAGGTGCCTGTAATCCCAGCTACTCAGGAGGTTGAGGCAGGAGAATCACTTGAACCCAGGAGGTGGAGGTTGCAGTGAGCCGAGATCGTGCCATTGCACTCCAGCCTGGGGGACAAGAGCGAGACTTCGTCTCAAAAAAAAAATTGGAACCAACTGTTTTTTCAGGTTTCAGACATTTCTGTAAACCAGTAGAAAAGCTGGGAGGCAGACAGGCGTGGTGGCTTACGCCTGTAATCCCAGCACTTTGGGAGGCCGAGGCGGGTGGATCACCTGAGGTCAGGAGTTCAAGACCAGCCTGGCCAACATGGTGAAACCTCGTCTCTACTAAAAATACAAAAATAAGCTGGGCATGGTGTTGGGCATCTGTAATCCCAGCTATTTGGGAGGCTGAGGCAGGAGAATTGCTTGAACCCAGGAGGTGGAGGTTGCAGTGAGCTGATATGGCTCTGCCCCACTCCAGCCTGGGCAACAGAGTGAGACTCCGTCTCAAAAAAAAAAAAAAAAAGAAAGAAAGAAAAGCTGGGAGGCCTGAGATTTTGTGTCTATTATACCTAAGGGATGAAAGAGTCCTGACCTGGAGACCCGAAACAATGTTTGGCTGCTTTTTTCTTTGTCTCTTGTAAACCAACATCAGCAATGAGCAGGCCACCTCAAGTGTGACTCAATCAACGCGAGGCAGGAGGCATGCAAAACAAAACAGAAAACTCCTGGCAGCCTTAATATAGCGATTTTTCTAGCAATCTACATGACTATCCAGGCCCAATGCACCCCATTACATATGCAAAACATCTGACGTTTGTGTAACAAGCCCTTAACCCCTGGCTGTTATTCTTATTTCCAAACTGGGGTGCATCATTAGATAAATGCAGAAATCAAGAACCGTCGCTCCTAGTCAAGCGTCTGTGGCTCAGTTCTCAGAGCCAGGCCAAAGGAGTAATTATAGCTTTCCTCTATAGTGTACGGGGCAGGAGGCTGATTTAATAAAGGAAGCCTACTGTCTGTCTCCAGCCTGGCTCTGACTCATGGAACGAGGGAGTCCCAGAGCACTACCCACAGAGGGTGGGTGGTGAGCAGCTGAGGGTGGGAGGTGAGGGTGGCCGCTAGCAAGGCCTGGGCCCAGAGCCCTGAGAATGAGGAAACTCCCTGCTTGGCCAGGAGGAACCTGCAGCTGGAGCCAGAGGAAGTGAGGCTCAGACAGAGCAGCTGCTGTTCCAGCAACAGCAGCAACTGCCGCACCCTTGAAAGGAGGCCCCTGCCGTGTGGACCCGTAAAATAAAATGGGTTAGTAATTTTCATATTCAGAATTGATTGGGGGAAACGATCGAATTGCTTCTAATGGGGATGGCCACCTTTGTGTGCTGTACCAGGGTCTTTGGTTTCTTTTAGGGGCCTGGGTCGATGGAGTCTGGAGTGATGAGCGTTCGGTTAATTTGGTTTCTCACTTTGGCAGCTAATTAGGTCTTCACGACCACAGAGAGAGTTCTGAGCTGGGAGTGGTTTCAGCTACACCGAGGGGGACGGCCCGCTCTGGAATGGATTTGTGTTCCACCTTAGATAGGTCACCAGAGGTCATCTTATCCTTCCTTCTGCCTCCAGCTGCTTTCTCCTTCCTCCCCTGACAATCAGCCAGACAGAGGCAACCTGACCTCTTCCTCCTCCGGACTCCTCCGGGCGGGAGATTCGGCTCCACCCCTTCCCTTCCCGCTGAGTCACACACCTCCCAGTCAGGTGATCCTCCCCTGGGCCCTTCCGAGAGCACCTTGACCTATATTCCGTTCTCTCCATGACAGCAGACTCTAAGAGTCCCGGGAGAGAGCCCGCCAGGCCAGCTGGCGTGGTGCCCTGGCAGCCCCAGACTGCAGACCAGGCGCCCCGGGCAGCGGGAGGGGGTGCTCCCACCCCAGAGGCCTGGAAATGGAAAGTTAGGAGGCTGGTGGCTGTGTGCAGGGCGGGGGAGGAGGAGGTGGGGAGTTGAGTCAGCTGGGAAAGCTGACAGCCACTGGCGGCCGCGTGCTTCCTCCCCTCCCTCTCTGGGCTCCTCAGCTCCCTGCCAGGCCCTGACCAAGCAGGCTGCAGGGGATGAAGCGGTGAAGGGCAGATGCCATTGTGGCTGGGTGATACTGCAGCCCACGGGGAGAGGTGAGGAATTGTGCAAATAATGGGATAAACCTACATGACTCACCCGGAGAATGTGAGCCGAAGAAAACTTCTCCTGCCACAAGGACCGAATTCCCATTCCCAAATTATCCACAAAATGGCCCCTACTTATTTTGTCTATGGGTTCTTTGTGCAGTTGCTGCCTGTACAGTCTTTGTGTCCTCTGAATGTGAGGAGAATAGGGCTGCTATGGGAAAGGAAATTAAAAGAGAAGTGATCCTTGGGTATCACACCTGTAAAAAGCGATATTAACTGAAAATCACTGTTCCTTTTGAATTAGAAAGCACTCTGAATTTAGACTCATTCGTCTTTTTTTTTTTTTTTTTCCAAAAGACAGGGTCTTGCTCTGTTGCCCAGGCTGCTGGAGTAAAGTGGCTGATCATAGCTCAGTGAAGCCTGGGACTCCTGAGCTCAAGTGATCCTCCCGCCTCAGCCTCCCAAGTAGTTGGGACTACAGGCATGCACAACCATGCCCGACTAATTTTTTAATTTTTTTGTAGGGATGGAGTCTCACCATGTTGTCCAGGCTGGTCTTGAACTCCTGGGCTCAAGCAATCCACCCACCTTGGCCTTGGCCTTTCGAAGTGCTGGGATTACAGGCGTGAGCTGCCACCCCCAGCTTGAGTAGAATCTACCTTCACAAACACTTAGAAGCTCTATGACATTGGCAAGTCACTATAGGCCTCTGTCTCCAATCTGTAATATGGGGATTTTTAATAAAACCATCCTACTACTACATCAGATGGTGTGAACATGAAATCAGATGATGTGCATAAAACATGTTATTATATATAATTATGTGTAACTATATAATATTTTCTCTAGATGGCTATGTCACTGCCCTGTACCATCTGAAAGGGTTGTTTTACTTGTTCACTGTGCTCATGATAGAAGAGCCTGCCTCTGGGTGTGTTCACAAGTGTAAATAGAAAGCTGTAGCCTCTGGCTACATTAGGATTTACTGCATCTAACAAGCAGCCCCACATAGCTTGTTTACACATTACCGACAGATTAGGTGTACATCATCTTATTCCTTTATATCAAGAAAAGCAAGTTTATCATAAGATGGATAAAAACCTGCTGACTGGAATAAATCTTTTTTACTCCAATCTCACATTTTTTCCTTTTCTTTTTTTTTTTTTTTTTTTGAGACAGGGTCTCACTCTTTTACCCAAGCTGGAGTGCATCGGTGCAATCACAGCTCACTGCAGCCTCAAATTCCCATACTCAAGTGGTCCTCCTGCCTCAGCCTCCTGAGTAGCTGGGACCACAGGCATGTGCCACCACACTCAACTAATTTTTAAATTTTTTGTACAGATGAGATATCACTAAATTGCCCAGGCCGACAATTTTTTAATCAGGATGTAAACTTATGAAGTTACTGCCTGGTGTACAGTGGGTGCTAGATGGTAGGGTAGGTGCAAGTTAGATAAATGGAAGGAAAGAAGAAAGGAAGAAGGAAAGAAATTAGGCAACTATAGGAGCAAAGCTGGATTTACCAGGAAACCTCAGGGCTCTTCATTTGCAGGTGTCCCTTACAAGGCCTTGTACCTAATTTTTAATTCATAATAATGTATTCCTTTTCTAAGGAGAGTACCCTAGTATTGTATACACTTTAGGCCACACCATACTTGGATTTGAGCCTTTACAAGAGGTCTGTGAGAGACCCAACCCTTGTTCTTGTTTAAGATTTTTAAGCACAAGTGAAAATCAAGTGGTGTCAGGGAGTTGGGCATTTCCATGTCGTCTCCATCATGAACTCCACATCTGAAATTTGTAGAGAGATCATATGTAGGCCAGGTAAGGACAACAGTGTAAGGAATGGGTCGTAGGAAAAAAGTGGAGGTCAGGAATGTGTAGAATTGTTGGGCCGCTTCCAGTTGATTTCTGTAATCTACTCTCATACTTCAGGGCTATTAAGTTTCCAGAAGGTGTGAATCTGGGTGATGCTGGTTGCATTGTACTGGGCAATGGAGAAACAGTGGCTTGCAATCTGGAACTCTCTGCCTAGTCCTGGCTGGTCTTCACTAGGACTCACTCACTAACTAGTTGTTTGGCCTTGGTAGGAGTCACTTCACCTCTTTGGCCCTATGTTTCTCTACATTTAGGATGTTTGATAGGTGATTTCAGAGCCCCTTGTTTTAGCTTCATGAGAGTAGGGTTCAAAACTGCCTTCTTCACAACTGTATTCCCTGTGTTGAGTACAGTGTCTAATAATAATTATTATTATTATATTAATAGTAAGATTTTTTCATAGTGCTTACAGATGAGGAAACTAAAGTGCAGAGCTGTTAAATAAATGTCCTAGGTCATCCAGCTAGTAAGTGGCAGAACCTGATTCAACCCAAACAGTCTCACTCCAGAGTCTCTCTTCTGAACTGTGACACTCTATACCCACAATAAATATTTTTTTAATAGATTTAGGCCATGCATGGTGGCTCACACCTGTAATCTCAGCACTTTCAGAGGCCAGAGGTGGGAGAATCACTTGAGGCCAGTCTTCAAGACCAGCCTGGGTAACATAGCAAGACTCCATCTCTGCAAAAAAATAAAAAATTAGCCAGGCATGGTGGTGCATGCCTGTAGTCGTAGCTACTCAGGAGGCTGAGGCAGACGGATTGCTTGAGCCCAGGAGTTCAAGGCCACAGTAAGCTGTGATGGTGCCACTGAACTCCAGCCTGGGTGACAGAGTGAGACCCTGTCTCTTTCTTTTTTTGGGGGGACAGAGTCTTGCTCTGTCACTCAGGCTGGAGTGCATTGGCGCAGTCTCGGCTCACTGCAAACTCCGCCTCCCGGGTTCACGCCATTCTCCTGCCTCAGCCTCCTGAGTAGCTGGGACTACAGGCACCCGCCACCACCCCTGGCTAATTTTTTGTATTTTTAGTGGAGAAAGGGTTTCACCATGTTAGCCAGGATGGTCTCGATCTCCTGACCTCGTGATCCGCCCGCCTTGGCCTCCCAAAGTGCTGGGATTATAGGCATGAGCCACCCCACCTGGCCCTGACCCTGTCTCTTTAAAAAAAAAAAAAAAGGTAGATTTTATTTGTTTTTTTTTTCTTTTTCTTTAAAAAAGAGATGGGGTTTCATCATGTTGCCCAGGCTGGTCTCCAACTCCTGAGCTCAAGTGATCCTCCTGCCTCAGCCTCCCAAAGTGCTGGGATTACAGGTGTGAGCCACCATGCCCAGCTTAGCTTTTATTTTTAGAACACTTTTAGATTTGCAGAAGAATTGAGTAGATAGCACAGAGAGTTTGATGAATGAGCAAATCAGTGAATGGAGTATCCCTTGATGGAGACGCTGATTCTTTACCCAAGGCAGGTTAAAAGGGAACTCATCTTTGTGTGAGTTCTCTATGTGCCCAGCACTTTATATATGCTATTTACTTTATTCTTACAGCCAGCTTGTTAAATAGGGAGCGTTAACCTCATTTTGCAGTGAGCAAACTGAGGTTCTGAATGGCTAGAAGAATTGCCCTAAGTCCTCTAGCAGATGAGGGGGTAGAGCTAGAAAGTTCTTATCTATCTCATCCTAAAGATCACATTTGCTTTTTCCTCTGATTGAAAACTTCAAAGTTATCCTCAACAGGTATTTTGTTTTGTACATACCTAACATTGGTCTCTAGTGCCTTATAGTTTTTAAAATGCTTTTGTACCCCTCTTTACCTTTTGGTCATCACAACAGCACAGGAAGGTGAGTAAGGCAGCTTTTATGATTGCATTTCATAGAGGCAGCTACTCGGGCTTAAAACATTAAGCTTGTATATGAAAAGGGCTGAGGTACCTTCAGGACTGGAACACAAATATGTTGATTTCCTACTCCATGGCCTTCCCTTCTCGCCAAAGCATTCCTCTGTTATAAACGACTTCATTGCACAGGATTCTTGCTGGGCCTGCACAGGAAATACCTGGTTTGCTCTGGTCGTGGAGCTGCTCCTCTTCCCTGGAGTTGGCCAGGGGAATTTTTCTAAAATCTAAGCTTTGACTGCATTTAACTCCTTTCCTAAATGTTTGGAGGAAAAGGGTGAACTCTGACATTTTATTTTTTCCCCCTTGTATTTAACCAGCACAAAGATTTGGCCATTTTCAGTTAAAGAATGTTGTTTCCGATTATGGCACAGTTAGAAATTGCATTGCCAATGTTGGAAACCCATTTCATGATGGCAGCAGAGCAGAGATTTCCACTCTGCCCTTGGCTCTCAGGCCACTATTGATATACATTGGAAGCCAGCAAATTCTCTTGGGTACTTCTCCTTCCTTGACAGCCCCTAGCTGAAAGCACCCAACTCAACTCATCACCCTGGAGGAGAGATTCTTATTTTGTTAAATTATTTTTTTATTTTGAAAACAATTCAAACCTACAGAAACTGTATAAGAAAGTTACAATGGGCTAGGTGCAGTGGCTCGTGCCTGTAATTCCAGCACTTTGGGAGGCCAAGGCGGGCAGATCACTTGAGGTCAGGAGTTGAAGACCAACCTGGCCAACATGGTGAAACCCCATCTCTACTAAAAATACAAAAAATTAGCTGGGCATGGTGGCAGGTACCTGTAATCCCAGCTACTCGGGAGGCTGAGGCAGGAGAATTGCTTGAACCCAGGAGGCGGAGGTTGCAGTGAGCTGAGATCGTGCCACTGCACTCCAGCCCGGGTGACAGAATGAAACTCTGTCTCAAAAAAAAAAAAAAAAAGTTATAATGAACTTCTTTCTCGTATATTCTCCTAGTTGAAGGGCTTAATTTTAAAAAATCATTTAATGTAATTTTACTACCTTGAGCCCCGAACGCCTGGGCCCAAGCTGTCTTGCTGCCTCAGCCTCTCAAGTAGCTAAGACCATGACTGGCTAATTAAAAAAAAACAAAAAAACAAAAAAAACACAAAAAACTGTAGAGATGGAGGTCTCGCTAATTGCCCAGCCTGGTCTTGAACTATTGTCCTCGAGCAATCCTCCCACCTTGGCCTCCCAAAGTGCTGGGATTACAGACATGAGTCACCACGCGCAGCCTCTTTAAAATATTAAGTTTATTTATTTCAGTAGGAATTATATTTGTTTGATTCAAAATTCGAAAGGATATATAGTGAGGTGTCTCCCCCAAACCCTGTCCCCCCAGTATCCAGTGCATTTTCTAGAAGAAGCCAATAATTTCAGTTTCTTATGGGCCTTTCCAGAGATATTTCATATATATGTATGTAAATGTATATAAGCAAATACGGTTTTATGTGCGTATTTTTGTTTTGCCTTTTTTTTGTGGTAGCATACACTTATTCTACAACTTGATTTTCTCATTTGAAATTATTCTATTAGTAATTTATTTCAGTCTTCTCATTTTTTAAAAATGATTTTACTGTATTCCATTGTACGGGTATTCCATAATTTGGTCAACCAGTTCCCTAAGATGGTCACTTAGGTTGTTTCCAAACTTTTGCTAATATTAACAATACGCCAGTGAATAACCTTTTATGCATATTATTCCATAGGAGAGTTTTCAGCTTTTAAAAGAGCCTGGAATCAAAGTTATACTATGAGACTATGTCCAGGATATCATAAATTCAGGTGCTTTGGAGAAGAGTCATTCCTTGTCTCTACATTCCTTTGATCTGGGAGTTGGTAATCTAATCTTCCATGCTGTGGGTCTTGAATTTTCACTGGTGATAACTGTCTCTGGTCACAACAATGATAAGAACTTTTTTTTTTTTTTTTTTGAGACTGAGTTTCACTCCTGTTTCTCAGGCTGGAGTGCAATAGCGCGGTCTTGGTCACTACAGCCTCCGCGTCCTGGGTTCAAGCAATTCTCCTGCCTTTGCCTCCCAAGTAGCTGGGATTACAGGTGCCTGCCACTATGCCTGGCTAATTTTTTGTATCTTTAGTAGAGATGGGGTTTCACCATGTTGACCAGGCTTCGAACTCCTGACCTCAAGTGATCTGCCCACCTCAGCCTCCCAAAGTGCTGGGATTACAGGCGTGAGCCACCGCACCTGGCTCAGAAGTTTTTTAAATGGATGATTTTCATGTGCTAAAGTGGCCTGTTTCTCATTATTCTCCTTTGCATCGTCTCTGCTCAGCACATTGGTCAGTTAGTTCAATACAAATGGCATATGCGTTGCCATCATGATTCTAAAATGGTCTGGGATCTATCCTTCAATTTGTGTTCTGACCTTGAAGCCAAGTTAGAACACTTGAACCAGAAGTTCAGGCTTCAGAATGTTTGCATTTGAAAAATGAACCAAAGTTTCCTAAATGTGCTGTTTGGTGAACTCAAAGAAGCATAGTAAAAGGTATAAACACCACCAACAAAAAATGACTAATGGATATTTCCCGAAGGACAGCTGGAAGGCAGTGCTTAAAGTTAAGTAGCTGGGAACATCTTCTGTTTCTTTTTCAAATTAGGTCTTATTATAACAGGTATTTACTAGGACACATTTCAGATAAAAAACTGAACCCCATCATTGTTAGCTGAGAGGAAAAGAAAAAAGGTTCATAATCTAGTTAAAGATGCAACTGCCTCAGACACACATACATACACACACACACACACACACACAGCGCGATGTGCATATGGTGTGGTTATAGTGCAGAATCTAGCATCCTGCTTCCCAAAATGGCCTACCCTACATCTATTCTAGATTTTAAAAAAGAAGGAGGAGGAGGAAGAGGAATAGATCTTATCCTTGAAAACATTTAGAAGAGGTAATGTGTATGTTCATTGCAAAAGATACATACACAAAGGAAAGATGGCATCAAAACTTCTGAGCTCCAGGGCACTGGTTGACCAAATTATGGAATACAAGAAAATCATTTTTAAAAAATGAGAAGACTGTGAAATGAATTAGAATGACTTCGAATGAGAAAATTAAGTTGTAGAATAAGAGTACACTACCACACACACAAAAAGGCATCTTTACAATATGTAGTCACCCTCACCATCTAGAAATTCTATTTTGCATCTGTTTATTGATAAAATTTTCAACAGCCTGGGCAATATAGCGAGACCCTGTCTCTAAAAAAATAAATGTAGGCCAGGCGTGGTGGCTCACACTTGTAATCCCAGCATTTTGGGAGGCCTGTAATCCCAGCACTTCGGGAGGCCAAGGCGGGTGGATCGTCTGAGGTCAGGAGTTCAAGACCAGCCTGACCAATATGGCGAAACCCCGTCTCTACTAAAAATACACAAATTAGCTGGGTGTGGTGGTGTGCGCCTGTAGTCCCAGCTACTCAGGAGGCTGAGGCAAGAGAATTGCTTGAACCCGGGAGGTGGAGGTTGCAGTGAGCCGAGATTGCACCACTGCACTCCAGCCTGGGCAACAGAGTGACACTCCATCTCAAAATAAAATAAAATAAAATAAAATAAAATAAATAAAATAAAATAAAATAAAATATAAAATAAAATTAAAAAATTTAGCCAGGCGTGGTGGCACATGCCTGTAGTTCCAGTTACTTGGGAAGCTGAGACAGGAGGATCATTTGAGCCCAGGAGGTGAAGCTGCAGTGAGCCATGATGGCACCACTGCACTGCAGCCTGGACGACACAGCGAGACCCCATCTAAAAAAATTTTAATAAAAATAAATAAATATAATTGGCACATTGTTACCTGAGCATGGGCATGACAAGTTCATTTATTTATCAAACCTTTATTGAGTACCTACTGTAGGCCAGGTATGGTCACAGCAGTGAGGACGTAGCAATGAACAAACAGAAATTCTTATCCCCTGAAGCTTATTTTCTAATGGAGAGAGAGTAAACAAAAAAATAAGTAAAACACTGTATATCATGTGGTGCTAAGTGACAGGGAGAAAAACAAAGCAGGGGATACAATAGGGAGGGAGGGGTGAAGGGAGAGGACTACAATAAAAGAAGGCATCATTGAGAAGGTAGCACCTGAACCAAGTCTTGAAGGAGTGGAGATTATAAAGTTGGAGCCTTTCAAATAAAGTCATAAACTTTCCTTGTGGTATAATTTGAGGGTAAGACCTTTTTATCTCCAAAATGTTCTTTTTACCCACTTATTGTGATCTCTAAAATTTTATTATTAGCAATACCCACTTTTAGGTTAAAATGCTAAAGTAGAAATATGCAGATATCAGGCCAAGCACAGTGGCTCATGCCTGTAGTCCCAGCACTTTGGGAGGTTGAAGTGGGTGGATCACTTGAGCTCATGAGTTTGAGACCAGCCTGGGCAACATGTTGAAACCCCATCTCTACAAAAAATACAAAAAAATTTAGCCAGGTGCGGTGGTGTGCACCTATAGTCCCACCTACTGAGGAGGCTGAGGCAGGAGGATCACTTGAGCCCAGGAGGTGGAGGCTGCAGTGAGCTATGATTGCACCAGTGCACTCCAGCCTGGATAACAGAGTGAGATCCTGTCTCAAAAAATATAGATAGATAGATAGATAGATAGATAGATAGATAGATAGATAGATAGATGCAGATATCAATTATTAAAACCTCTGTGTGGGGCCGGGCGCGGTGGCTCACTCCTGTAATCCCAGCTCTTTGGGAGACCAAGGCGGGCAGATCACCTGAGATCAGGAGTTTGAGATCAGCCTGGCCAACATGGTGAAACCCTGTCTCTACTAAAAATACAAAAATTAGCCAGGCATGGTGGTGGGTGCCTGTAATCCCAGCTACTTGGGAAGCTGAGGCAGGAGAATCACTTGAACCCCAGAGGCGGAGGTTGCAGTGAGCTGAGATCGATCCATTGCACCGAGATCGATCCATTGCACTCCAGCCTGGGCAATAAGAGCAAAACTGTTTCAAAAATAAAATAAAATAAAATAAAATAAAGTAATGAAACCTCTGTGTGAATATCTGATACTTTGGTAAGTTTTCATGAGGAAAGAGAGTAAGATGATTGAAGGAGAGGGGGTGTATCTGGGGATAACTGATCTTGGGATGTGCAGGGAGGAATAATGAGATGAGAGTCTGGATTGCCACTGCTGGAAAGCAGGGATCGAGCAGCTCCTTAAGAATGGTTCCTATCTCTCATGCCATGCCCGGTTGCCCTGTCCTGGGGATAATCCTGGGGCTCTCAGCCAGTTTCTCCTAATCCCAGTGCTAACTGAGGTGCATGGGGGCACAGGAAAAAGGCTGCTGTGTGGTTTAGTGACACGTCTCCTGAGGGGCAGGGGTGTTTGGAGTTGTGCTACAGATAGTAGTATAAACAGGGACACCCAGAAAGCAATTTTGGGACTCGTAGTCCAGCTAGTTTGTAGTTAATTTAACAGCCCTCAGAAAAATAAACAATTCAGGAAACACTGAAAGTTTCCTTCATAATCAATGCAAGAAAGCAGCATTTTTTTTTTCTCCTACCTCAGCCTCCCATATAGCTGGGACTACAGGCGTGCGCCACCATGCCCAGGCTAATTTTTTGTATTTCTAGTAGAGACAGGGTTTCACCATGTTGGCCAGGCTAGTCTCCAACTCCTGACCTCAGGTGATCCACCTGCCTTGGCCTCCCAAAGTGCTGGGATTACGGGTGTGAGCCACAGCGCCCGTCCTAAGATCAGAATATTTTGCCTAAAAATTTGGATTCCCAGTTTCTTTTTTTTTTTTTTTTTTTTTTTTTGAGATGGAGTCTCGCTCCGTCACCCAGGCTGGAGTGCAGTGGCGTGATCTCGGCTCACTGCAAGCTCCGCCTCCCGTATTCACACCATTCTCCTGCCTCAGCCTCCCGAGTAGCTGGGACTACAGGCGCCCGCCACCACGCCCGGCTAATTTTTTGTATTTTTAGTAGAGACGGGGTTTCACCATTTTAGCCAGGATGGTCTCGATCTCCTGATCTCATGATCCGCCCGCCTCGGCCTCCCAAAGTGCTGGGATTACAGGCGTGAGCCACTGCGCCCGGCCTGGATTCCCAGTTTCTATTGAAGAACGAGAAATTCTAGCAACATTGAACTCTTATACCCAATAGATAATAATCCCAGGAGCCGAGTAAAGCTATGCACTCTCCAGTTTGTCATCCCCAGCAGTCCCTATTGCCTCATTTCCTAGCTTGTGCCCATTACTGTCTGGTCCCGGTAGGCATTTGAGTTTGTGACCGGTGGTTTAAAGCTTATGTCTATAGAAGTATTTTTGAGAACTGAACTTACAGGAACAAAGATAAACCTAAAATAGAGAAGACAATCCAGTTTCAAACGATGAGGTGAATGCCTTCAGAAATAATCTGCTTTCTTGGCTGGGTGCAGTGCCTCATGCCTGTAATGTAATCCCAGTGCTTTGGGAGGCTGAGGCCAGATGATCAACTGAGCCCAGGAGTTCAAAACCAGCCTGGGCAACATAGTGAGACTCTGTCTCTATTAAAAACTTTAAAAAATATATTTTAAAAAGTAATGCTGCTTTCATGGGCTGGCACCGTAGCTCACGCCTGTAATCCCAGCACTTTGGGAGGCCAAGGTGGATGGATCACCTGATGTCAGGAGTTTGCAACCAGCCTGGCCAACATGGTGAAACCCTGTCTCTTCCAGAAATGCAGAAAAATTAGCCAGGCGTGCTGGTGTGCACCTGTAGTTCCAGCTAGTTGGAGGCTGAGGCAGGAGAATCGCTTGAACCTGGGAGGCGGAGGTTGCAGTGAGTCAAGACTGAGCAACTGCACTCCAGCCTGGGTGATGGTGAGACTCCATCTCAAAAAATAAAAATGTTAATAAAAATTTTTTTAAAACCAAAATATTCTGATTTTGAGATGCTGGCAACTGATTCAAGATAGTTAAAGACACGGTGTGGGCCAGTGTGTGATCTCTGACATAAACAGGTAATCTGGGTGCAGCATGGAACATGATAAGAAAGTAGGCAAAGGAAGGACATCTGGTCAACCTGACAGTTTGAGAAGGTACATTTTTTGGGGAGTTGACCTTTTCCAAGTTGACCCCTTTGCCAAGGTTCTGCCCCACCTATTTAACCAATAGATTATTGTGGAGTAATGTCTGAGTAGTCCTGGCAGAATGGAAGAAAATGCTGAAGTGAGACTCATAGGCCTGGGTTCTAATGTTGGTTGTCCCACAAACTCACTGTGCAACCTCAGATAAATCCCTCAGCCACTCCAGCTTTAATTTTCTCATCTGCAGAATGAGGGGGCTGGACTTACAGATTTTCAGCATGTGCCCCACCAAGCGCAAGACATCTTCAGAGATGCCTGGGAGAGCTGGGGAGGGTCGGGGAATCCCAGGGCTTGCAGGAGGGCAGCTGAGCCTTTGTTCCATTTTCTCTTTGGGGTTTCCACTTTTCTGTTTTACATCTCAGGGTTCTTCTGCCAAAAAAGAAAAAAAGTCTTTTTCAAGAAAGAATTTCCTCACTTTAAAAATGTTTGAAAATCTTTGGATTCATTGATCAGCTCTAGTATACGGTTATTAGCAGAGGTTTGCAAATTCTTTGAGGCCTGTAGTTCATCTGAATGTTTAGTCTTTTCTCCATTTGCCTCATGTGCTTTTCTGCTTACACTTACCACTAGCTCCAACCCCAGGCTGATGAAATGAACAAGTAGCCAACGAATACCATGGGAAGATTCTGACTCATTATCCAGTTCAATAGCTTGTATTGGGGAATTTTCTTTTTTGTTTTGGTGAACATATATGTTCTTATTTCTGATATTATATTGTTCATAGGAATGTAGTCATATTTGCTACTAAAAAACGTTCATATGGTTTGATACCACATTTCAGCATTTCACAATGATCTGCAACTTCCAAATGCTCTGCCACTAGAACAAGTCTGAAAATCACTCAACTGGCCTTAAAAAAATTAGCTATAATTTGTTGACAACTTAATATGCGATGACTTTATATGTATCATCTCTAAGATTCAGATTATTATCCCTGCAGAGAAGATATCTTTGTCTGTGTCTTACTGATAAATAAGGAAACTAAGTCTAGGTGAGGTTAAAAACTTGTCTTGAACACACAGGATTCCAGCTTGTATCAGTGCCAGCATATTCTCAACCAGACAACCTCTAAATTTGCTTCTCGATTTGAGAAATCAGGCAACAGCAGGTCTTTCTTCTGTTTTAAGCTGTCCTAAAATCACCTGCAAAACTGCTTTCAACTTTCAACTTTCCAGATCCTCTTATCTACTGAAGATTCCTTGAATGGTAGCTTGTTAACTCACAACTGTTCAAGTTTGTTGCCCTAATCTTAACTGATAAGAGGGCCCCTGAATTTAAGTAGTCCCTTCCATGCCCTGGGTTGTTTCAGTGGAAATGAAAGAACTTGAGATCTAGGGGTGAAAACAGACTTTGGGGAAGAAATAAGTGGGTTTTTCAATGTTATTCCTGGACTTGGCTGAGCTGAGCTTCTCTCCTGCTGCAAAGGAAATTACTTTCCCTGTTTGTTGATCTACCTGTTGTTCTAAGTGTAACGTGTTCAGTTTCTCTGGTGGTAGATATATGCCAAGCATGTGTCACAAAGTAAGTATTATGGGCCATTCTTTTTGTTTAGCACTTTGCAGGGCACATGGTATATCCTAAGTCAATATTTTTAATTCCTATAACTGGATTTTTTTTTCCTTAAAGTTCACTAACAAGACAAAAGACCAGTACTTTTTATTTGCACAATGTAGTATTTTTGGAGAATGCTTATGAATATTATCTATAAGAAACAGCAACAAGGCCAGGCATAGTGGCTCACACCTATAATCCCAGCACTTTGTGAGGCCAAGGCAGGAGGGTCACTTGAGTACAGGAGTTCAAGAGCAGCCTCAGCAACATGGTGAGAGACCCCATCTCTACAAAAATAAAAATAAGCTGGGTGTGGTGTCTCACGCCTGTAGTTCTAGGCTAAGGCAGGAGGATTGCCTGAGTCTAGGAGGTCAAGGCTGCAGTGAACTATGATGGCACCACTGCACTCCAGCCTAGGTGACAGAGCGAGACCCTCTAAAGACAAAACAAAACAAATTAAAATTAAAAATAAATTATGTGTGCTTGGTGGTGTGTGACTAGTCTCAGCTACGTTTGGGAGGCTGAGGCATGAGGATCACTTGAGCCTGGGAGGCCGAGTTTGCAGTGAGCCATGATTGTACCACTGCAATCCAGCTTAGGTGACAGAGCGAGACCTTGTCTCAGAATAAATAAATAAAGAACGTCAATGTGAGGCAGGCAGCATAGATGTTATGAGTCTTATTTCACAGACAAGAAAAAATTGCTAATCACTCATTCAGTTGGTTAGTAGTAAGCCTGGACTACAACTCAGATATTTCCACTTTCAATCCTGTGTTCTCTCTGTTTTACAAGAATCTTGGCACTTTTTTTTTTTTTTTTTTTTGAGATGGAGTCTCGCTCTCCTGGGCTCAAGCAATTCTCCTGCCTCAGCCTCCCGAGTAGCTGGGACCACAGGTACATGCTACCACGCCCAGCTAATTTTTGTATTTTTAGTAGAGACGGGGTTTCACCATGTTGGCCAGGATAGTCTCAATCTCTTGACGTCATGATGCACCCGCCTCAGCCCCGCAAAGTGCTGGGATTACAGGTGTGAGCCACTGCGCCCAGTCGAGTCTTGGCATTTTTAACTGGAGGAGGAGAGTGGTTTCCAGTTGACTTCCAGGATGAGCCTAGTTTTTTTGTTCTTTTTCTGTTTTGTTTTGTTTTACAGAGACAGGGTCTTATTCTGTCATTCTAAAAAAAAATCTGGAGTGTAGCGGCACGATTGTAGCTCACTGCAGCCTCAAACTGAACTCCTAGGCGTAAGCGATTCTCTCACCTCAGCCTCCTGAGTAGCTAGGACTACAGCATGCACCACCACGCCTGGCTATGTATGTATGTATTTATTTAGAGATAGGAGTCTTGATTTGTTGCACAGGCTGGTCTTGGACTCCTGGCCTCACCTCCCACCTTGGCTTCCCAAAATCCTGGGATTATAGGTGTGAGCCACCACACCCAACCTTTATTAACATATGATGATGATTTTGAGGAAAAGGGTTATTAATTATTGCTTGAGAAAAAAATCAATAACTACTGTTTTTTCTTTAAAAAAAAAAAAAGAGGTTCCAATTGTAAGCAAGGCCTTAAAGTTTAGAGTTTGCCATAACAAAAACATATGAACAAGCATTTTTGAACCCACCACTATTTGGTCTAATTTCTTCCATGAAGAGGATGGAATCTGACCATCTCACTCTTCTGTGAGCATCATTATTATTGTTATTATTATTATTATTTTGAGATGGAGTCTCGCTCTGTTGCCCAGGCTGGAGTGCAGTGGCACGATCTTGGCTCACTGCAACCTCTGCCTCCCAGGTTCAAGTGATTCTTCTGCCTCAGCCTCCCGAGTGGCTGGGATTACAGGCCCATGCTACCACACCTGGCTAATTTTTGTATTTTTAGTAGAGACGAGGTTTTGCCGTATTGGCCAGGCTGGTCTCTAACTCCTGACCTCAAGTGATCCACCTGCCTTGGCCTCCCAAAGTGCTGGGATTACA
The DNA here is from genome assembly GCF_000001405.40 of Homo sapiens. NCBI lineage: Eukaryota > Metazoa > Chordata > Mammalia > Primates > Hominidae > Homo > Homo sapiens. The sequence goes on from NC_000016.10 coordinate 53,114,535, forward strand.
GGCGTGAGCCACTGCGCCTGGCCAGCATTATTTTTTATTATTTTTTATTTATTTATTTATTTTTATTTTTTGAGACGGAGTCTCGCTCTGTCACCCAGGCTGGAGTGCAGTGGCGCAATCTCGGCTCACTGCAAGCTCCGCCTCGCGGGTTCACGCCATTCTCCTGTCTCAGCCTCGCGAGTAGCTGGGACTACAGGCGCCTGCCACCACGTCTGGCTAATTTTTTGTATTTTTAGTAGAGACGGGGTTTCACCGTGTTAGCCAGGATGGTCTCGATCTCCTGACCTCGTGATCCGCCCGCCTCGGCCTCCCAAAGTGCTGGGATTACAGGCGTGAGCCACCGTGCCAGGCCAGCATTATTTTTTTATTTGCTTTGTAGCACAAGTATTTGATTGATTGATTGATTGATTGATTGCCTCTTACTTCTACAGCTAAATGAAGGGATTTGTTGATGACTTTCTTCCAAGAAAGAAAAGAGAAGTGTGCTGCAGTTTTCTTTCTCCCTTTAGTTTGAGGTTTTCAGGACAGGTGTTAACAGATTAACTTAGGTTACTTGAATGCCTCTTTTCTTTCCTGAGAGGTTGATTTTTCATCTGGTTTGTGCCTAAGGCTGCCTCTTGTGATAATGAGGCAAATGTTTATAGCAGCCTAGAGAATGATCCGAAGAACAGCTTGGGATGCTGTCAACCTAGATGACCTAAGAAGGACTCACCCAGATAATAAGAACATGGGTAGCCAGGTAATTATTCAGTTCTGTGTCACTCAGAGCAGTACTTTTCCATGTTGGTTGCACAAGTAATTACAAAAAGAGCTTTTAAAACGTAATGCTTCCATACTGACCCATCACCCCTAAGTCTGAGCAGGGTCTGAGCAAAGATAATTTTTAAGTTTCCTGGGAGATTCTATGAGGTTGGTGAATCTCCTAATCTTATTCTATTAGGTTCTATTATTTTGCCAGTAATGGCCAAAATCGCAATTACTTTTGCACCAACCTAAAAATATGGAGCTGGGCTTCAGAACCTCTAATAAAGGCTTCCAGTGTCCTGTTCAAAACCAGGTCGGATAACTCCAAATGGCAGCCGGTTTTTCTGCCAGAACAATATGGGTATGTTGAGTGATCGGTTTGTTTTGTGTAAGATACACATTTATTCAGCACCTGTGTTCTAGGTGCTGAGAGTTTTTCGAGGAACAAGACAGAACCTGCTTATGCCTTAAGATGCTTTCTTTTTTAGTGGATGGAGACAAAAAGTAAATATATAAACAGGACTGCGGTTAAGTGTTAGGAAGGAAATAAACTAGGAAATTAGGAGTCAAAGAAGGCCTCTAATATGAGGAATTATTTTTGCAAGACTTGAAGAGGAAGAAGGAGCAGCTGTACCTAGAGCCAGTGGTAAGGCAGAGGGAAGAGAAGGTGAAAAGGTTCCGAGACAAGGAGGGTGTGTTTGAGGAACAGACTCCAGGTGCTTTCAGTTATCTAGAAAGAGGAGCGGCAGATCATAAGCAAATACCAGCCTGACATTTTCTTTTTGCTTTTTTTCTTTTTGAGACAGAGTCTCACTCTGTTGCCTGGGCTGGAGTGCAGTGGTGCGATCTCACCTCACTGCAGCCTCCACTTCATGGGTTTAAGCAGTTCTCCTGCCTGAGCCTCCCGAGCAGCTGAGATTACAGGCGCATGCCACTACATCCGGCTAATTTTTGTATTTTTAGTGGAGAAAGGGTTTCACCGTGCTGGCCAGGCTGGTCTCAACCTCCTAACCTAAAGTGATCTCCCCACCTTGGCCTCCCAAAGTGCTGGGATTATAGGCGTGAGCCACCATGCCTGGCCTGACATTTCTTATAGTTTGTACAAATCACTCAGTATGTTCTTGCCAAATAGTACACACTCTGCAAGAGAAACACAAAGAGAAGCATCCTCCAGGAGCCAGGATAAGGTGTGCTGGATAGAGAGGGTTCTGCTTTGCTAGTCAATAATTATTGATTATAAGGAAAAAGTTAGGCAGTCCCAGTCAAAATGGCGATTGTTAAAAAGACAAGAAACAACAGATGCTGGTGAGGCTGTGGAGAGATAGGAACGTTTTTACACTGTTGGTGGGAATGTAAATTAGTTCTACCATTGTGGAAGAGGATGTGGTGATTCCTCAAAGACATAGAACCAGAAATACCATTTGACCCAGTAATCCCATTACTGAGTATATACCCAAAGGAATATAAATCATTCTATTATAAAGATATATGCACAGGTAGGTTCATTACAGCATTATTCACAATAGCAAAGACATGGAATCAACGAAAATGCCCACCAATGATAGACTGGATAAAAAAGTGTGGTACATTTAAACCATGGAATGCTATGCAGCCATAAAAAGGAACAAGATCATGTCTTTTGCAGGGACATGGATGGAGCTGGAAGCCTTTATCCTGAGCAAACTAACTCAGGAACAGAAAACCAAATACCACATGTTCTTACTCATAAGTGGGAGCTGAACAATGAGAACACATGGACACAGGGAGAGGAACATCACACACTGGGGTCTGTTGGGGAGTGGCAAGGGGGAAGGGAAAGCATCAAGAAAAATAGCTAATGCATGCTGGGATTCATACTTAGGTGATGGGTCGATAGGTGTAGCAAACCACCATGGCACACGTTTACCTATGTAACAAACCTGTACATCCTGCACATGTACCCCAGAACTTAAAATTTTTAAAAAAATTAAAAAAAAATTTAGGAAGTCCTGTATGACACCATGATAAACAATGCAAAGGAAAAAATTCAATTATATATTTGATATTCAGAGGATTTGTGCTAATCCCTTAGTCTTAGAATACAGACTATTCATGTGGCGATAGCCACAGACATTCAGTTCTCTGACGTAATATATATATATATATATATTTTTGGAAACAGAATCTCACTCTGTTGCCTAGGCTGTAGTACAATGGCATGATCTTGGCTCACTGCAACCTCTGCCTCCTGGGTTCAAGTGATTCTCTTGCCTCAGCCTCCCAAGTAGCTGGAATTACAGGCACCCACCACCATACCCAGCTAATTTTTTGTATTTTTAGTAGAGAAGGGGTTTCACCATATTGGCCAGGCTGGTCTCGAACTCCCGACCTCAGGTAATCTACCTGCCTTGGCCTCCCAAGGTGCTGGGATTACAGATGTAAGCCATTGCACCCGGCCTGACATACTATTTTTGAGATCTTTACCCAAACTTTCTGGAAGGGGGAATGTTTTTTCAATTATCTGTAATGCTGGAGAAATCAAATATGTGCCTGTATAAGACCTAAATATTTCTCTTTTTTTTTTTTGAGACGGAGTCTCTCTCTGTCTCCCAGGCTGGAGTGCAGTGGTGCGATCTTGGCTCACTGTAAGCTCTGCCTCCCAGGTTCATGACATTCTCCTGCCTCAGCCTCCCAAGTAGCTGGGACTACAGGCACCCGCCACCACGCCCAGCTAATTTTTTTTGTATTTTTAGTAGAGACGGGGTTTCATCTTGTTAGCCAGGGCAGTTTCGATCTCCTGACCTCATGATCCACCCGCCTCGGCCTCCCAAAGTGCTAGGATTACAGGCATGAGCCACCACATGCGGCCAAGACCTAAATATTTCAATGGATTTCATATTTTAAGAAATCTCCCCTTGGGAGGCGGAGGCGGGTGGATTACTTGAGGCCAGGAGTTTGAGACCAGCATGGCCAACATGGCAAAACCCTGTCTCTACCAAAAATACAAAAATTAGCTAGGTGTAGAGGTGCACACCTGTAATCCCAGCTACTCTGGTGGCTGAGGCATGAGAATCGCTTGACCCTGGGAGGCGGAGGTTGCAGTGAGCCGAGATCACACCGCTGCACTCCAGCCTGAGCAGTAGAGCAAGAATCTGTCTCAAAAAGATGTCCCTTCTTTGTTTCCACTTAAGACTTTTGCTTAAATTGTGGAAGGTCACTAACTGCTTAACATCTAATGGTAACCAGAGAAAAAGGCTATACTGATTTATTTTTGGCAAAATGTTCTCTAAGATCCCACTGCTCTTAATTTTTTTCAATCATATAACCTAGAATTAATTTTCCTGGTTGGCATGTTGTTACTCATTCTCTAAAACCATGGGGTTTAGTGCAAATAAAGCAACTATAATTAATACGCATCCTCAGCCAAAATGTCCAAGAATTCCAAAAATCTCCAAATACTTTTACGTTAGATATCATAATGATGTCTTGATAAAACAAGAATGCTTCAAAACATCTCAATAAAAAAGATAACTTTCTTTTTTTTTTTTTTTTTTTGACAGAGTCTTGCTCTGTTGCCAAGACTGGAGTGCAGTGGCACAATCTCGGCTCACTGCAACCTTCACCTCCCGGGTTCAAGCAATTCTCCTGCCTCACCCTCCCGCGTAGCTGGGATTACAGGCACCCGCCACCATGCCTACTAACTTTTGTATTTTTAGTAGAGATGGGGTTCCACCATGTTGGCCAGGCTGGTCTCGAACTCCTGACCTCAAGTGATCCACCTGCCTTAGCCTCCCAAAGTGTTGGGATTACAGACATGAGCCACCATGCCTGGCCTAAGGTAAACTTTCTAAAGAAGGCCCCCCAACCTGAAAAAAAGGGACACAAGGAAACTTTTGGAGGCGATGAATATGTTTATTACCAGGATTATGGTAATGGTATCACATATGTCCAAACTCAGCAAGTTGTAGGCATTAATTATGTGCAGTTTTCTGCATAGCAATTATACCTCAATAAAGCTGGGGAGGGAAGAAGAAATATAATTTTAAAATTATTGAAGATTATATATTTTTACATTAAATTTGCAAATCCACTTGCAAAGAAAACTCACTGTTATTTAAAAAAAAAACAAAACAAGATTGTGATAATTGTTATTTATTTTATTCCTAACAGCAATATATGAATTTTGTAAGCTCTTCCCATGATCCAAGTAGGAGTATGAAAGCTAGCTCATGGGATTGCAGAAAGGTGGTGACAGAATTATAAGCATGGCTATCAAGTAAGGAAAAACAAGTCATCTGGGCATGGTGGCTCACACCTGTAATCCCAGCACTTTGGGAGGCCAAGGCAGGTGGATCACCTGAGATCAGGAGTTCAAGAGCAGCCTGGCCAACATGGTGAAATCTCGTCTCTACTAAATATAAAAAATTAGCCAGGCGTGTTGGCGCATGCCTGTAATCCCAGCTACTTGGGAGGCTGAGGCAGGATAATTGCTTGAACCTGGGAGGCAGAAGTTGCAGTGAGCCGAGACTGAGCCACTGCACTCCAATCTGGGTGCCAGAGCGAAACTCCATACTGAAAAAAAACAAAACAACAAAAACAAGTCAAGAAATGTCCAGGGAACTCCATTGCCATTTTCTCTTTTGTTGAACCTTATACAAGACAAAATGGATTTAAATTGCACCAGGAGGCTGGGTGTAGTGGCTCACACCTATAATCCTAGTGCTTTGGGAGGCTGACGCAGGAGGGTTGCTTAAGCCTCGGAGTTTGAGACCAGCCTGGGTAACATAGGAAGACCCCATCTCCACAAAAAAAAAAAAATTAAAAAATTAGCTGGTCATGGTGGCAATGCCTGTAGTCCCAGCTATTCAGTAGGCTGAGGTAAGAGGATCGCTTGAGCCCAGGACTTGGAGGTTGCAACAAACTATGATTGCACCACTGCTCTCTAACCTGGGCAACAGAGCAAGACCCTGTCTCTAAAAAAATAAAAATAAAAAAATTTTTTTAAAAAATTGCACTAGGATGGGTTTCTTCTGGAAATAAAATGCCTGTAATGCCTATAAAACCAGTTGATTGGGGCCAGGTGTGGTGGCTCACGCCTGTAATCCCAGCATTTTGGGAAGCTGAGGCAGGCGGATCACCTGAGGTCGGGAGTTTGAGACCAGCTTGATCAACATGGAGAAACTCCGTCTCTACTAAAAATACAAAATTAGCCGGGTGTGGTGGCGCATGCCTGTAATCCCAGCTACTAAGGAGGCTGAAGCAGGAGAATCGCTTGAAACCGGGAGGCGGAGGCTATGGTAAGCCGAGATCGCACCATTGCACTCCAGCCTGGGCAACAAGAGTGAAACTCCATCTCAAAAACTAAAACAAAAAACAACTAGTTGATTGGAAAAATACATGTTTACAGTTTCCATCACTCCTTAGGCTAAGTGGTATAAGTCATACATGCTTTCTAAAGCACACCAGGCCAGGTGCAGTGGCTCACGCCTGTAATCTCAGCATGTTGGGAGTCTGAGGCGGGTGGATCACTTGAGGCCAGGAGTTTGAGAGCAGCCTGGCCAACATGGTAAAATTCTGTCTCTACTAAAAATACAAAAAATTAGCTGGGTGTGGTGGTGCACGCCTGTAATCCCAGCTACTTGGGAGGCTGAGGCAGGAGAATCACTTGAACATGGAAGTTGGAGGCTGCAGTGAGCCAAGATCGTGCCACTGCACTCCAGCCTGGGTGACAGAGCCAGACTCTTGTCTCAAAACAAACAAAAACAAACAAACAAAAACCCTATAAACATACCAATTACAGTACCTGCAAATGAAGGTTAAGTGTTACCAAATTAATAAATATAATTAATTACTGTTTATTTGCTTTAGAAAATAATTGGCCATGAAGCCAGAGGACCATATCTATCTTGTTCATTGTTGTATTCCCAGCCCCTAGCATTGTGCCTGAGACATCACAGATCCCCTTTAAATACTTGCTGAGTGAATTCACTTTTTAAATAACAGCCACATTTCATCCTTTTGATCTCTCCAAACTTGATTTAGATGCAACTTCTCCAGGAGTGCTTATGTTACCCAAAGAGAAACAGATGCACAAAGAGAAGGAATGAGATGCTCGGGGATATTTTATCAAGGAAACCAGCAAACCGTCTTTTTCCTGAAGACCTTTTAAGATTAGGACAAGCAGCTGTTTATAAAAGCAGAACAGTGTTAAGATTTGAACTGTAAAGTAGGATCATGCTTTGAAGTATATTCTAGCTAAAAGCAGGGGATAAACTAGATAAAACTTGGAGACTCTAAGACCTGACCCTGATTAAGTGGGCCTACAAGTGAGAATCTGAAGAACAGCTCTCTGGCTGAACATATCCCTTGGATGTTGTTATTACCAGCTGCCTCTAGATTTGAGAACAGTGCTGAGCATGCTTTTAAATGATCTTTGAGGTACTTTAAGCTAGCTACACCTGAAAGCATACCTAGCCCTCATTTCTGTTTGCTTGAACAAGAGCCTGAAAAAGAAGTCTAAAGAACTTTCTAGTGATATCCTTCAGTCCTGTTCTAAAAAGAACCTGTGTTCTTCACCGAGTTAAGGAAATTTCACAACTCCCAGGGGCTAATGTGGAGTTCATTTTCACTTACTGCTGAATCAACTGAAGTTCCTTTCAGAGTCTTTTCCTAGAGTGGAAAAGTATCTGAGCTCTTCAACCTACTATTCATTAGTGCTGAGAGACAAAAATCATGTTAGAGTCTATAATGTAATGGAGCATAAAACATTTAAGTTATGAATCTGCATAAAATGTGTAAAAGATGAAAAAACATACTTTAATGTTTGTCAGTACTTATTGATCAGTGAAAGAACATTTTCATTAATGCCTCAGCCTGTGAATGGATGTCAATAAAGATGAGTGAGAAGGTATTTCATATACACACACTTGTTCAATATTTATTATATGTTTATTATTCATAATGTATTATTATTTATACGGGAATAATAATCTCTTCTGTAGCCAACACAGCACCTACCCTAGTATACATACATGGTGTAAGTATTTAAATATGTGTAAATTAAGTAAATTATAACAAAGTCACAAAACTGGTGAGCCCAATATAAGAAATGACAGTGCCACTACAACAATCTTCAAACTTTAAAAATTATTTACTGCGGAACTAATTTTATGAATATAATTAAAATATTATCTTTTTGTCTCAACGTGTTCATATGTTAGATTCATATATGTGGATTTAATGCGTACAATACTGTAACAAAGTTGGAAATTGCTGGCTGGGAATCCCTTTTTTTTTTTTTTTTTTGAGACAGAGTCTCACTCTGTGGCCCAGGCTGGAGTACAGTGGCACAATCTTGTCTCACTGCAAACTCCACCTCCCAGGTTCAAGAAGTTCTCTTGCCTTAGCCTCCTGAGTAGCTTGGATTACAGGTGTGCACCACCACACCCAGCTAATTTTTATTTTTTTGAGACGGAGTCTCGCTCTGTCGCCCAGGCTGGAGTGCAGTGGAGCGATCTCCTCTCACTGCAAGCTCTGCCTCCTGGGTTCATGCCATTCTCCTGCCTCAGCCTCCCGAGTAGCTGGGACTATAGGCGCCCGCTACCACGCCCGGCTAATTTTTTTTTTTTTTTTGTATTTTTAGTAGATAACAGGGTTTCACTGTGTTAGCCAGGATGGTCTTGATCTCCTGACCTCGTGATCCACCCACCTCGGCCTCCCAAAGTGCTGGGATTACAGGAGTGAGCCACCGCGCCCGGCCCACACCCAGCTAATTTTTATATTTTTAGTACAGATGGGGATTCACCATGTTGGCCAAGCTGGTCTCGAACTCACACCCTCAGGTGATCCATCTGCCCTGGCCTCCCAAAGTGCTGGGATTACAGGTGTGAGCCACCACGCCCGGCCTGGAATCACTTTTTTTTTTTTTTAACCAGCTTTATTGAGATAGTTTTATACTTGATAAAATTTATACTTCAGTGGTTTCTAGTGTATTCAGAGTTGTGCAAGTATCTCCACAATCTAATTTTAAAACTATTTTATTGCCCCCCAGAAGAAACCCTGTACATAGCTATTAGCAGTCACTCTCCATTCTTCATCCCCCTTCTCCCATGTCAGTCCTAGGCAACCACTAATCTACTTTCTGTCTACTTTCTTACTTTATTCTGGACATTTCATATAAATATAATCAAACAGTCAAGCCTTTTGTATCTGGCTTTCATACTTTTTATTTTTTAATTTTCATTATTATTATTATTATTTTGAGACAAGCGTTTTGCTCTTGTCACCCAGGCTAGAATGCAGTGGCTGTATCTCAGCTCACTGCAACCTCTGCCTCCTGGGTTCAAGCGATCCTCCTGCCTCAGCCTCCTGAGTAGCTGAGATTATAGATGCACACCACAACGCCTGGCAAATTTTTGTATTTTTAGTAGAGACAGGGTTTCACTATGTTGTCCATGCTGGTCTCGAACTCCTGACCTCAAGTGATCTGCCCACCTCGGCCTCCCAAAATGCTGGAATTACAGGCATGAGCCACCACGCCCGGCCTAATTTTTTTAAAATTAAACATCTTTGTGTAATAATTCTGTCTTCTGAGTTGGCTTACTAGGGGATGTATCTGGCTTTTATCACTTAGCATTATGTTTTCAAAGTTCATCTGTGTTGTACTATCAGTACTTAATCTTTTTTTATGGCTGAATAACATTCCAGTTTGTGTATATGCCATTTTTGTTTATCCAGTCATCAGCTGATAGACATTTGGGTTGTTTCCACTTTTGGGCTATTGTGAATCATACTGCTGTGAACATTTGTATGTAAGTTTTTGTATGGACATATGTTTTAATTTCTCTTGGGTTGCTGGGTTATATGGTAACTATGTTTAACTTTTTGAAGAACTGTTTTCCAAAACAACCATCATTTTACATTCCCACCAGCAGTGTACCAGGGTTCGAGGGTTCTACTTTCTCTGCATCTTCAATTACACTTTGTATTACTCTGTTCTCATGCTGCTAATAAGGGCATACCTGAGTAGGGTAATTTATAAAGAAAAAGAAGTCTAATAGACTCACAGTTCCACAGGGTTGGGGAGGCCTCACAATCATGGCAGAAGGCAAAGGAGTAGCAAAGTCACATCTTACATGGTGGCAGGCGAGAGAGAGAGCATGTGTTGGGGAAACTCCCCTTTATAAAACCATCAGATCTGGTGAGACTTAATTTTTTTTTTTTTTTTTTTTTTTTTTTGGAGAAGGTGTCTCGCTCTGTCATCCAGGCTGAAGTGCAGTGGCAATGATCTTGGCTCATTGCAACCTCTGCCTCCTGGTTTCAAGCAATTCTCCTGCCTCAGCCTCCCAAGTAGCTGAGATTACAGGTGCCACCACCATGCCCTGATAATTTTTTGTATTTTTAGTAGAGATGGGGGTTTCACCATGTTGGCTAGGTTGGTCTTGAATTCCTGATCTCTGGTGATCTGCCCTCTTCGGCCTCCCAAAGTGCTGGGATTACAGGTGTGAGCCACCACACCCAGCCTCGTGAGACTTACTATCACGAGAACAACATGGGAAAGACCCACCCTCATGATTTAATTACCTCCCACTGGGGCCCTCCCACTACACGTGGGAATTATGGGAGCTACAATTCGAGTTTTGGGTGGGGACACAGTCAAACCATATCACACTTACTATTGTTTGTCTTTTTTATTGTAGCCATCCTGATGAGAGTGAAGTGGTATCTCATTGTGGTTTTGATTTGCATTTCTCTAACAACTAATGTGTTGAGCATCTTTTCATGTGCATATTGGCTATTTGTAGATCTTCTTTGAAGAAATGTCTACTCAGATACTGTGACCACTTTTTAATTGGATTATTTATGTCTTTGTTGTTTAGTTGTAAGTGCTCTTTATATATTCTGTACACTAAACCCTTATCAGATACAGACTGTCCTTACCTTATCATGGTTCAAGTTAGGATTTTTTTTTTTTTTTTTTTTTTTGAGATGGAGTCTCACTCTGTCACTTAGGCTGGAGTGCAGTGGCGCAATCTCAGCTCACTGCAACCTCCACCTCCTGGGTTCAAGCAATTCCCCTGCCTCAGCCTCCCGAGTAGCTGGGATTATAGGCACGTGCCAACATGCCTGGCTATTTTTTGTATTTTTAGTAGCAATGGGGTTGGCCAAGCTGGTTAACCATGTTGGCCAGGCTGGTCTCGAACTCCTGATCTCAGGTGATCCACCTGCCTCGGCCTTCCAAAGTGCCAGGATTACAGGCATGAGCCACTGCGCCCAGCTGACTTAAGATTTTTTGACGTTGCAGTGGTGCTAAGGTGATACCCATTCAGTAGAAATTGTACTTTGAATTTTGAATTTTTATCTTTTCCCAGGCTAGAGATATATAGTAGATAATCTCTCATGATGGCTTAGCTTTCAGTCAGCCACATGATCACAAAGACAAACAACCCATACTGTATGATGGACTGCGTTGCCAGATGATTTTGCCCAACTGTAGGCTACAGTCAATGTTCTGAGCACATTTAAGGTAGGCTAGACTAAGCTATGATGTTCAGTAGGTTAAGTGTATTAGCTGCATATTCAACTTAACAGTATTTTCAACTTAAAATGGGTTTATCAGGACAAAACTTCATTGTAAGTTGAGGAGCATCTGTAATTTATTTGCAAATATTTTCTCTCATTCTGTTTTGTCTTTCTTTGCACTTTCTTAACAGTGTCTTTTGACACTGAAAAGGTTTTCTATTTTGATGAAGTTTAATCTACTTTTTGTGGTTTCTTGTATGAAAGTTTTTAATTTTAATGAAGTCTAGTTTATATTTTCTTTTGTCATTTATGCTTTTGGTGTCATATGAAGGAAATCATTGCCTAATCCAAGATCCTAAAGATTTACTTCTATTTTTCCTCTTAGAGTTTTATAGCTTTACCTCTTACATTTAGGTGTGTGGTCCCTTTTGGTTTATTGTTTTGTGTGGTGTGAGGTAGTGGTCCAACTTCATTCTTTAGTATGTGTGTATCCAGCAGTCCCACCATTGGTTTAAAGGACTACTCTTTCCCAATCTAAATGTCTTGGCATTCTTACTGAAAATCAATTGACCATCAATTGACCATAAATGTAAGAGTTTATTTCTGGATTCTATAGTTTATTCCATTAATCCATATGCCTATCCTTATGCCAGTTCCACACTGTCTTGATTATTATACCTTTGTATTAAGTTTTCAAATCAGGAAGTGTGAGTTCTCCAACTTTCCTCTTTTGACTATTCTGTGGGTATCACTTTTGCAGGTCTCACTGAGGTAGGATCTAAACCTTAGTTTTGCAGTTTCAGGATCCTTTTTTTTTTTTTTTTTTTGAGATAGGGTTTCTCTCTCTTTTCTCCCTTCCTTCCTTCCTTTCGTTCATTCATTCATTCTTTCTTTCGTTCTTTCTTTCCTTTTCTTTCTCTGATGGAGTCTCACTCTGTCACCCAGGCTGGAATGCAGTAGCACGATCTCGGCTCACTGCAACCTCCGCCTCCCAGGTTCAAGCAATTCTCTTTCCTCAGCCTCCCGAGTAGCTAGGATTACAGGCATGTGCCACCACACCCAGCTAATTTTTGTATTTTTAGTAGAGACGGGGTTTCCCCATATTGGTCAGGCTGGTCTTGAGCTCCTGACCTCAGGTGATCCACCCACCTCGGCCTCCCAAAGTGCTGGGATTACAGGTGTGAGCCACCGCACCCAGCCAGGTCTCACTTTTTCACCCAGGCTGGAGTGCAGTGGCGTGATCACAGCCCACTACAGCCTCAACCTCCTGGGCTCAAGTGATCCTCCCAACTCAGCCTCCCTAGTAGCTGGGACTACAGGAACATGCCACCATGCCCAGCGAATTTTTCTCTTTCTATTGTTTTGCAGAGATAAGGTTTTACCATATTGCCCAGGCTGGTCTCAAGCTCCTGGGTTCAAGCAGTCCACCTGCCTTGGCCTCCCAAAGTGCTGGGATTACAGGTGTGAGCCACCACATCCAGCTAGTTTCAGGATCTTGATTGTATAAGTTTTCTCCAGAAGTGAACAGGTACTACAGCATTGATTCATATTCCTCAAACTTGCAGGAAAACTCCACAAATTTACATTGTCAGATATTCTTTTGGTGACCTAAACCAAAATGCTTATATAGGGAATTTTCCATTCCAAGATGCCAAATTAGTTACTAAAATAGACATGCCTGATAAACATGGAATTGGAAACTCAGGCTGAGGGGAAGAATACAGTATAATGGTTACAAGTTATAGCCTTTGGGGCCAGACAGTTCTAAGTGTGAATATTGTTTCTGCCACTCAATGACTGTGTAACCAGGGCAAGATTTTAGACTATCTGTAAAATGGGGGCGGGGGGGAATCCCTTTCTCAACGGGCACAGTGGCTCACACCTGTAATCCCAGCACTTTGAGAGGCTGAGGTGGGTGGATCATTTGAGGTCAGGAGTTCAAGACCAGCCTGGCCAACATGGTGAAACCCCGTCTCTGCTAAAAATACAAAAATTAGCTGGGTGTAGTGGTGCAGGCCTGTAATCCAAGCTGCTCGGGAGGCTGAGGCAGGAGAAGTGCTTGAACCTGGGAGGTGGAGGTTGGTGTCCCGGGAGGTGGAGATTGCAGTTAGCCGAGATCATTCCACTGCACTCCAGCCTGGCCGACAGAGTGAGACTCTGTCAAAAAAAAAAAAAAAAAAAGCCCTTTCTCATAGAGTGGTTGTGAAGATAAAATGAAATAACAAAATATAAACCTTTAACACATTGCTTGGGACTAAATTTCAGTAAACGTATCTATTGTAGGATGTTTCTTTCAAGGTGAGGAGAGCCACTCCGTCATAGCACAGGCTTTCTGGATACCCAAATCCCTGTGTCCAGATAACAGGGCCTCTTTAATTGGAAAGACATTGAGTAGGAATGGAGACATTTTTTTTTTTCTTTTAAGACGGAGTCTCGTTCTGTCATCCAGGATGGAGTGCAATGGCGCCATCTCAACTCAGTGCAACCGCTGCCTCCCAGATTCAAGCGATTCTCCTGCCTCAGCCTCCCGAGTAGCTGGGATTACAGGCATGCGCCACCTAGCCCAGCTAATGTTGTATTTTTAGTAGAGGTGAGGTTTCTCCATGTTGGTCAGGCTGGTCTCCAACTCCTGGCCTCAGGTGATCTGCCCACCTCAGCCTCCCAAAGTGCTGGGATTACAGGCTTGAGCCACCACGCCTGGCCCGGAATGGAGACATTCTTACTCTGGAGTGGGATTGAGGGACCTAGAGAGTGTGGCCACCGCTTGGCTTTAGACAGCCCATTGCCTGGTGGAAATGGTAGGCCAGTGTTGCTAGATTTTGATGTTGTTCGTGATATTGATTCTTGCTAACTTCAATTGCAAAATGTAATATTTACTAATTTGACCCCTAAATTCTGAGATTCAGAGCCAACCTCTGCAACATTTTCCCAGAGTCCCCATATTCAGAAACCACAGTTACTGAGAATACCTCCAAAATTTAAGACAGAAGTGAACACCATTCACTGACCAGTGAAAATAAATGTCACAAGAACTTATGTACTTAACACAGGAGAACCCCACAGAAAATCTTTCTACAAAACCTGAGAGTCTAAGCTAATAAAAGTTTATCGATGTCCAAGTTCATAATGGCATAGACGCATCAAAAAAGTAGGAAAGAAGGTTGTTAGGTAGAAGAATAGAGAAGTGTCAGCCCAGTAGTGAGGAAGGAGATAGCAAAAACAGAAGTTCAAAACAAAACAAAAACACAAAAACCAGCATCCTAGAGGCCATTTATTATAGGGACAAATTTTGCATATTTTAGAGAACATTCACTGATTAAAATGGCATACAATAATGTTGATAATTATAGCACTGCTCTTTAATGACCAAGCCTAAGTAATTTTCAGAGGGCTGCATTCAAGAAAACACGAACGTTCTCTATCAGATGATGGGGAGGCCGCTCAAGTTTTTCATTTAAGTGGGATGTCATTCTGCTGTGATGTCAGATAGATGAGATGTTACTGGCCTTAAATTTGACTCAACAAGTTGAATTTGCAAACTAAAGCACTATCCAAATAAGTGGTGTGGGGGGCCCCAGAGATAAACTCTTTCTGTGCATTCTTGGTCTAATATGTGGTTGTTATAAGTATCCTTCAGGGAATCAAAGTTGGAACTGTAACCGCCCTTTCAGCAGGGTTTCTTCCCAGCCCTGTCAGTATCTCAGCTAAATAGAGTTATGCTGATCCACTCTGGAGGGCCTTCATGGGGAATATAAAGAATGAAATTACTTGGCAAATACCACTGTGTATACCGCAGCCATTCCATTCTGGCTAGGCATAAACAAGCGCAGTGTCGCTCCTTAGCGGAGGCTGAAATTCAAGAGATTTCTGTCAACTGTGAACGTGAAATATCACCTGCACTGGATCGGAAATGGTCAACAGTTTTGAACAAACATAAAGTAGGCCGACCGAAGTTCAAACATTTAATTCTTTTGTCTAGCTCACGTTTTCATATGGGTTTTAAATTTTTAATTCGGTAGAAAGCCAGCTAAGGACCTGAAAGGAGGAGACCCTTAGAATTTTAGAGCTGGAGGACTTTTGGACAACTTGTGCAGCCTCTTCCTTTTACAGAAGGCAAAACCAAGGCCCTAGGACACGCTAGGATTTGATGTAGGTCACTCAGTTAATTCGTGAAGGATCGAGAGGGAACCCAGGTTTTCCAGTACGCCCCCTGCTCCTAAACCAGTATCACCCTCCCCCACGGCTGTCTCTCTCTCTTCTTAAATTCTTGCGTTTATTTTTCTCTCCCTTCGTAACTGTGCAATGGAGAACGGGAGCCTGAGCCTCGGGAAGACAGGGTTGCAACCGCAGGCTAGGTGCGCGCTCTCCCCTAGCTCGCGGCGTGGAGCTGGGTCTCCGCGGCGGGCGCCGGCTACTGCAGGTGCTGGCACCTGGGCTCAATCGCAGCATCATCGCGACACGCTCCGTGCTCCCGATTCTACAGCACGGGCGCGTGACACCCGGGTCTCCGCGCGAAAGGAGAACGTGGGACTAAATCCACGGCTCCTTAAGAAGGACGTCTTTGGAAACTCTCGCCCTTCCTCGGCGGACCCGAGCTGCCCGAGAGATGCCCTGCATGTGAGTGACCTCTGCGCCGACCCCGCCACTGGTCAGCTCGCGGCTGGGGCGTGCCCTGCCGGGGCCTGACGTGGCGGCGGGGCCGCGGGGCGGGCGGCGCGAGGGGAGAGGCCGCCGTGAGGGCGCGGCCTGACGTGGCGGCCGCGGCGGGGCTGCCGGGGGAGCCCGGACCACTGCACTGCCCCGCGCTCCGGCCAGAGGGCGCCCGGCCCCAAGCCTTCCCCGCCCCGAGGCCGCCCAGGGCTCCGGGAGTAACCGCGCCAGCGATTGGGTCGGCGGCGCGGCGGGGCCATGTTGGAGCGGAGCAACGACCCCGCCTCGCACCGCCCTCCGCCCTGGGTCGGGCCGCGCCAGGAGGGAAGGGGAGCGGCGAAGGGGACGCTCCCTCTTAGGCAGCCCGACGCGGCTGGAGCCGCGGCAGGAGCGGCGGCGGTCACGACCGCCCCTCCGCGCCCGGGCCAATCAGCGGCGCGGGCACAAATATGCAAATAGCGCGCCGGTGCTGCCGGAGTGCCGCTCGCAGGGGCTGGTGGGGTCGCGCTGGGGGAGTGAACTGGGCCAATCAGGCGGGTGCGTGGCGGCGCGGGGGAGGCGGTGCCCCTTCACTCCTCCCTCCACTCCCTCCCTGCCCCGCGCTGACAGGGGGGCCTGGCCGCGCAGCCGGTAAGTGCCGCCGCCGCCGCCGCTGCCACCCACCGCCTCGGGCGTGGGGAGGAAGCCCGGGGGCACCGCGGGGCAGCGGCCGCTGCTCAACTGGTGGGGAGATGCGGGGGCGGGTCGTGTCAGACGGGTGGTCGCCTGAGGCCGCCCCCGCCCGGCCAGCCGCGAGTGTCAGTCTCAGTCGAGGCGGGGGGCGGCGGGGGCGCCTCAGTCATGGCGAAGCGCGAGAGTCAGCGAGCGGCGGTGAGTACGTGCAGCCGCCGCCGCCGCCGCCGCCGCTGCTCGGCCGGTGGGGGGAGGGGGGAGGGGCAGGCGGGGCGGCGCCCCCGCCTGAGGTGAGGGATCCGGTCCCGGGGCCGGGGTCGGGCGGGCGGGCCCGCGGGGAGGCCGGGCAGGGGGCGCTGCCTGCACGTGCGGCCCAGCCCGCCCGCGGCCCGCCCCGCGCCTGTCATGGCTGCGGGCTGCTGCCCCCGCCCCCCGGCCCACAGCCCCCGGGGTCGGGACACGGCAGCCGCGCCTGTTGCGTCGTGTGGAGGTGAGGGCCGGGCGGCCAGGGCGTGGGAAGGCGGGCCCTCTTCCCCGTCCCGCGCGAGGTCGGGGCCTCCCCCGGGTTGGGTTCCCTCCCGACGGTCGGGCTTCCCTCCATCCTGCAGCCTCTTTCCCTGCCCGTGCTTTCTCGCCTCCGTGAGTCATGACAGGGCGTCCCGCGCGGGCACCCGACGTCCCGGAGCACGGGACGTCCCCGGCGCTTTCCCAGGCCTTGCCTCTCGGTTCCGACCGCAGTGCCTTCCCCGCGATCCTTCACCCCGAGTGCCTCTCCCCGTCTGCAGCGTGGCCCGGACCCCGCCAGCCCCCGTGTGTGCGGCCGCCGTCATTTTCTGGGTACCTGGGTGTGGGACCTGCGGGATGGCTCCAGGGCTCTCTGCGTGGACATCCAGCCCAAAGCCAAGCACTACCCGGAAAGCCCGGGTGTCTCACTGGCTGTCACAGCTGCCAGCTCAGACTGGTTTCTGTTTGTTCTTATTTTTATTTTTAAAAAAAATTTTTTTTGGGGGGGGTGGTTTGCTTTTTTTTCTTTTTTAAGAAAAATAAAACTTTTCAGAACAAAGTAGATGAGAATTTTGTTGTTGTTGTTGTGATATTAACAGTGCTACAGTTACTTTCCTGAAAGTCTGGGATTTGACGCTATTGTGACATTTATTTATGTGAAATATTCATACCTAAGAATTCCCCTGTATTAAATAAAGTTTATTTTCATTAATAAAATTACCGTCAGAATTTAGTTTCTCAATTTTGTATGCTACTTTTCACCTTTTCCTTTTTTCCAGTTCTTAAAATCTCCAGTTCTACTTAACCAGCTATGATCTTAAACGAAAAGAAGGCTTATCTTGTGTAATGTTACCCATTCCCTAGACTCTAGATAACTGTAGAAGTAGTTTTAAAAGAACCACTAGGTCTGCAAACACTTGAATATACAAAAGCTGAACTTAAAGGAGGATTCTGCATTGCAGAGGGAGGAGTTTGTTTTTGTTTTTTGCAATGCAAAAGGATGATCATAGTGTTTCTTTTCCCTTGGGTTTACAGAACGTGAATTTAGAGATGCTGTGTTGTAACAACAGGCCACATGGAGCCTTACGTTCGATATTTGATAAGTATTAAATAAAAGACTTCTATTGCTCGAAGCAAGTTCTGTCTGTATTATGTATCTTCGAAGACTTTCCATTTCTTCTAATTCTGCTTTTTTTTTTTTTTTTTTTTTTTTTTTGGTGTTGAGACGGAGTCTCGCTCTGTCACCCAGGCTGGAGCGCAGTGACGCCATCTCGGCTCACTGCAACCTCTTCCTCCCAGGTTCAAGCAGTTCTCCAACCTCAGCCTCCCCAGTAGCTGGGATTACAGGTGCGCGCCACCACGCCCGGCCGTTTCTTCTATTGCTTTAAAAATTCACGTTATGTAGTTATAGTTTACCACAAAGTATTGGCAGGTCTCTGTCCTTGGAGAGTTTCCTATAAACTATAGACCATATAATGTAGACGTGAAGTCTGTATTACAGACCTGAAGTGCATTGGGAAAAGTGGTTGCCTCCCAGTTTTGATTAAGGGTAACTGTCATTCCTGAACAGTTTCAGGTAAGTATGTATAGTATTGCAGTTAAAAACAGCAACAACAAAAAACCCTTGTGATTAATTGACCAGGAGATGATATCCTAAAGGCACAGGAAATAACATCAGATAAAAGCAATGCTAGTCAAAAACATACTAAGTAAGGTGTATGAGCAGGCTACTTTAATCGGGGGCGGCTCTTAATAGGGAGGCTGAGGCAGGAGAATCACTTGAGCCAAGAGTTCAAGTCCAGCCTGGGCAACTTATTAAGACTGCATCCCGTCTCTATTAAGAAAAAAAAAATTATGATGCTTTTATAACCAGTAAAATCCTCTTCTTGGATAGAGTGCTGGCTAGAGAGAATCGGGACTTTGTCACTTAACTGTGTAGATAATATTAAGTTTCTTGACATCCGTGAGCCTTAGTTTCCTCCTGTGTAAAACTTTGTTTCCTCCAGTTTTACTATTGTAGGATTCTAAGTACCCTATGAGGTCTATCCTCTGAAATCAAAAACTTATGGGGTGGGCAGATATGAATACAGATAGAAAACGGTGTCCATGGAAAAAGCCCGTGACAAGATAAGATTAAGGAAACCATAGAATTTTCAACTTGGAAGTATCTTTAGAAACTTTAATTACAAACTTCTTATCTAATGCAACCGAATGCTTTCTACAAGGCACTGTGCTAGACCTTCCTGGTTTACCTCTGGAAACAGGATAGAGCTGAAGGAGGGGCTCGATATATGAATATAAGAGGCAAGAACTGAAGTAGAAATACAGATTTTAAAGTAAAATCTATTGCATCTATCAATAGTAAAACAAAATTTTGGTACATATGAAAAGTTAAGATTTTCTAAAGATGTGTTTATTGATCGAAATGTCATAGAAAAAAAAGCTTACCTCCGTAAATAACAGAGAAGAAAAATGAAATCCTAGAGAGTCTATAAAGAAAAACTATGAATTAATCTACTGGGGAAATTTCATCGGGTAATGAGTGAATAAAAAACACAGGTAAGAATATGGAAACTTGAGGCAGTTGGTCAGAGTAAAAACTAATGGAAGCATGTTGTAAGTGCTTGGAAAACTTCAGAAGCCAAAGATTGGAGTCAGAAGAGATTTATGGATACTGATGAGATAGAGTTATTTTAACCTTTCAAATTCTTTGAAGTTGTCTTAACGTGGGATATAGATTTCTTATATAAGATTTAGCTTTTTTACACTTATTTACGTTGTAAATTTAAAGTGCCACATTCCAGTTTTATAACTGTTCCCTAGCACTTTGTGCCTCTGTTTACTTCCTTATTTGGGCTTCACTCCCTTACTTTTCCACCTCTTGGAATTTTACCAGTCTGTGAATACTCAGGTCAAATTCCACCTTGTGAATAAAATCGTATCTTGTCCTTGTAGCCCTTAGGGATTTCTCCTTCCCATGAGATCTTAGTATAATTATTTGTTGCACTTATTTGGCATACCATGTACAACTTCCTGACATTTCCTCTACTGTATTGTCTTTAAGCTTTCAGAAACAATTTTTATTCCTTTCTTTTAGAAACAGTTGGAAAGCTGATCAAGTGACAATGGGAGACCCAAAGAAGGGGAAACCACTTTGAACTGTAATTTATTCTCTGGACTCAAAGTCATTCACATCCATTTATTCATTAAATGTATATATTATGAAGTGCTCCCTTAATTTATGATATATGTATTAAGTGCATAATAAGTGATCCCTGCCTTCATGGAACCTACCATCTAACAGTGCAAACAGATAAAGAACAAGTAAATAAACAAATGGAAAATTACAACTTATGATCAGTTCAGTGAAATAAAAGAACAGAGTGCTATGGTGGAGAAAATGGGGAGAAATTAATGTTGTATTCTCAGAGAAGGCTTCCCTCAGTTGGTGATTCTAAGTGGAAACAGAATAAGAAGACAGGTCAGGAGAGAAAAGAGTTTCTTGGAAGAGAGAAAAATATGTTTGAAGGCTATGACACAGGAAAGAACTTAATATTTGAAAGAAATGAAAAGTTCAGGATGGCAGAAGCATAATAAGGCAGAAAACCATATGAGCTGAAATGAGAGATAGAAAGCAGATTATACAGGGCCTTGTGGGGCATATTAAAGACTTACAGGTTTTACTAAAGACATTGCAGTCGTTGAAGATTTTGAATTAGAGAAGTGATACGCTTTAATCTACATTTTAAAAATGCTACTTTGAGAATGGATTGGAGAAAGGCAAGGGTGAAAGTAAAGATATTGTAATACTACAGTAGTCCAGGAAAAACATGATGGTAGCCAGATTATACATATATTTTAGAGAGGAGATGGTGAGGTGTGGAGGAGGAACAACTGACAGATTCATGATGGATTGGATGTGAGAAGAAAAGTGTCAAAAATGATTTCCTGGTTCCTGGCTTGAGAAACTAGATAGATAGTGGTGTGTGATTTACTGAGATGAAGAAGATGAGGGAAAGGAAAGATTTGGCAAGAAAACAAGTTTTGAACACCATCCCTGGACAAGTGCTTCAGAAGAAGTCTACCTTTATCTGAATGATAAGCGCCTTAGAATAGGTTTAGCTAGAAGTGTGATACCATACAATGACATATTCATATTGTGTTATTTGAGAGGAAGAAGCAAGCTTCATATTTATGTTAGAAAAACTGGTGAAATGATCTTTTTTAACAATGCACTTCAGTTTTTGAAAGTTTATTTGAATATTTTCATAATGGATTATATTAAATATGAAAATTTGAGAGAAATAAATCAATATAATATTGAATGGATATATATAGTATTGGGTGATGGTGCAGAATACAAAAGTTTTATAATCTTGATATTCTCAGGAGAGTAGCATTCTTTTCAGTTATTAGCTTGTAAGGGAGCCTGATAATTTATAATTTTTAATGAGGCTTCTCATTTAATGGTGCTTATAAGTAGAAGTTATAGTTCAGTCATTACTAGCTATTATTTCTAAAATAGCTGTCAGATACTGATGTTTCTGTTACAATTTGGCATTATGAAGTTAACCAAGCAAATATTAAGTTTGGTTTTTGTTTGATTTTTACTATATTTCAAAACATTTTAAAACTAGTAATTTTAAACATTGTTATTGCTATAAAGGGACATAGTTTGAAACCAGAAAAAAGATGACCTTTCTTGTCTAGTGGTCTTTTCATATTAGTTTACTTACTAATCAGTAGCAGTATAAAGAATATTCAATTTTATTCTATTGGAAATCAGTAACTATGGTTCTGAAAGATAACTGCTGATGTATCTTGTTCCTTTGTAAGAGGAAGGAAAAAATGATATTTTTTGATTCTGTCTTTGCAATGTTTATCTTTAAAATGGCAATCAAATAGTCACTAAAATTTTTTTCTTCCATTTAAGGAACTGAGTACCTTTTCCTAAAAAAAAAAAAAAAATCTAGGAATTTAAGATTACAGACTTGGTGTAGTCTGTTTTACAGTTGAAGCAACGGAGGTACAGAGAAACTGAGTTGCCCGGGGTTTCTAATATTAGGGAATGCTTTATTTCATGGGTTTCATAATTTAGTGAATTCACTACATATTCCAATATATGAACACACTTATTCTGCTTTGGTGAGTGTTTATTGAAATCAGTATTGTTATTGGCACCCTGAAAGCTTTCCTTATATTCTTTTCTAGTTATTCCCTTTCTGTATTCTGTATTCCCAAGATAATAGGGTGACCATTATCTTGATGTCTAAAAACCATAGATTAGGTCTGCCTATTTTTGAACTTTATTAAATGAAATCATATAATAAGTGTTCCTCGAGTAACATTATTTTTGTGAGACTAATCTGTGTTTTTCTTTTTTTTTTTGAGACAGAGTCTTGCTCTGTCGCCAGGCTGGAGTGCAGTGGTGCAATCTCGGCTCACTGCAACCTCCACTTCCCAGGTTCAAGTGATTCTCCTGCCTTAGCCTCCCAAGTAGCTGGGCTTACAAGCACCTGCCACCACGCCCAGCTAATTTTTGTATTTTTAGTAGAGACGGGGTTTCACCATGTTGGCCAGGATGGTCTCGATCTCTTGACCTCCTGACCTGCCCGCCTCGGCCTCCCAAAGTGTTGGGATTACAGGTGTGAGCCACCGTGCCTGGCCTAATCTGTATTTTTCTATATAGGAAGAGTTTATTCATTCTCATTGCTGTTGATTCTAATGTATGATGGATGTTTTTAGTTTTGCACTATTATGAATAATACTGATATGAACATTCCTACACCCATCTTTCGGTGCACATGTGCCCACGTTTCTGTCAAGTTTGTATTTCTGGAAGTGGAAAAACTGGTCATAGAAATATGTATGTTCAACTTTAGCAGTAATGCCTTATGGTTTTTCAAATTTGTTGTTCCAATTTCTACTCCTTTTAGCAGTGTGTGAGAGCGCCAGTTACTTCACATTTAATTGTATGATTTGATTAAAATGCTGCTATATTTGAAAAATTTTGTGCTCTTCTTTAATCTCTGAAGATGAGTATTTGATGATGAATAGCTATTTCTGCCTAAATGAGATACAGTACAAAGGAATGTGAGATAACAAATATAAACATTTTTGGTTCAAAAATGAGTACCCATGTTGTACCTGTTGGATTATAGTAGATTCTAACAGAACCCAGTTTTATGTTCTTGAAGATAAATGGCAAGACACACAGTGTCTTTTCTTGATCCTTAAAAAAGTTTAGTTTTTAAAATAGAATGAACTTTAGGGAATATGATGTGTGAAGAATGATGAAATATACATCTAAACCTTAATCAAAGAAATTTTATTGAATGATAGAGAATAAGAGAACTTTTATCAAGGTATACTTGATAGCTATTAGGTGGAATGCACAGAATACTTTGAAATAAGTTCCTGGGGAAGGAGGGGGGGAAATATGACAAAGATCTGTATGATTTTTGAGATTAATAGAAATTTGTTAGTAATGACCAAAGTTCCCAGGGCTACTGATAGGGGATATACATCGTTAAGTAGAGACTTAAGCTATTACTTTCTTAGTATACCTTAGGTTGAAGACTTCAAGAAGGGCACTAAGAGGCTAAATGATCTTAAGGTAGTGGGAAATTGGGCTTTATATCTTTATTTTATACCATTAGTAAGAAAAAAATGTTAAATAATTTGTAGTATTCTAAGAAAAGCAGATTTGAATTTCTCAAAGATTTGAGTGAAATCACATTTGGAGGATATAGTAGTGAAGATGTGTCAGGTTTGATTTAATTTGAAATGAAATGGATTTGGTAGACATGAAATCACTGCGTAGAAACTTACATGTCGTATTAAACTACTTTAAATGAATCAGAAAAGGAAGGAAAGCCATAGGGAAGAAAATTCAAGGTATGGTTTCATAGAAGCAAAGAAAATTTCCAGGAGGCGAAGGGGTTAATTGAACTGAGTTCAGAAGATTCTTAAAGCACTCAAAGCCTAAGTGGTATGTAATAAATGGGGACACATGGACAATTAGAGGCTTCATATAGAAGATAGATTTGTCTTTAGCTTTTGTTGTCACTTTGGTTAGTGATGATAACTTTTTTTAGTGGTCAAAGATGGATTGAGAGAGCCATTTGGATTTGTCTAGAAGGTTAGTTACCTTTGAAAGTACACATTTATGGGGACAAACTACAGAGTACAAGAAGTTAACAAGTAAATGGGTATTTAGAAAATGGAGGCAACAGATCACTTATTTTCAATATTTGGCATTGAATGGAAGAATAGAAATAGGATGATTTGGTTTACATTTGTGTTAAGGTAGGGAAGATTGGTCTGCTGATGCTCAAAGTCAGAAGAGAAGCAGGCAATTGCAAAGGGGCAGTTAAAGATCCTGGAGGAGGTGCTGTGGGAGGGCGTAAGTCTTTTTGAAAGGCTAGATGGAATTTTTTTTTTGAGGTAAAGGATCTATCTTTGGAAAAGAGCCATGTTTTCTTCTCTTAAGAATAGCTAGAAGAAAGAAGAGATAGATACAAAGATAGATATAGTGCTTCCATCTGAAAAGATGGTTATTTAGTGAATTTCAGCAGGAAAATCCCAGAAAACAAATTGTCCTTAGGTAAGAATGGGGAAGTTAGGAGTGAAGGCTTGAGGGGAGAGAACATAAAATAACTACAGTGAGATAGCCTAATAACAGAGGAATATATTTTAAAATTTCTAAGGCAAAGGAAGGGCCATATTGAAGGTAAAGGGTATAAATTAATATTAACCTTGTATTAATAAGGTGCTAATCATATAATAAATACTACAAATATAAATATGCAAAAAATGTTAATTTAATTGAACCAAGGACTGGCAATAAAATTACAGTGGTGATGGTAATACAGTATGGTAGGTTGAATGAATGAAAAAAGTCACAAGGGTATTGAAGGTGATTAGAGAACAGTATTGGAGATTATTTAAGGCAAAATAATCTGAGGAGGTCTGGAGAAGCCTATTGGTCATGGGAAAGTTTAAATGACTGTAAGCTCTTGGGAAAGCAGAAAAGAGGTGCTGGAGGTGACTGGTATGAGAGGGAAAGCTACATTTAGTTAAGCACTTACTACTGTATGTTGAGCATATTCTTTCGAAATCCTGTGACAACTCTGCAAAGTAGATGGTAATGACAATCAACCTGTCTCAGTCTTTAACTTTTCTATTTAAAGCCTTCGAAAATAATGCATTTAGCTGATACAGTGGCTCACATCTGTAATCCCAGCACTTTGGGAGGCTGAGGTGGGTGGATCACATGAGCCCAGGGGTTCCACACCAGCCTGGACAACATGGCGAAACCCTGGCTCTACAAAAAAATACAAAAATTAGCCAAGTGTGGTGGTGCATACCTGTAGTTCCAGCTACTCGAGAGGCTGAGGTGGCAGGATTGCTTGAGCCCAGGAGGCAGAGGTTGCAGTGAACTGAGATCGACCACTACACTCCAACCTGGGCAACAGCAAGACCCTATCTTAAAAAAAAAAAAATTCTGCATTTAAGTCAATTTTCTATTTTTAATATGAATTGAAATTTAGCATTAGAATAAATATTTAGGCCGGGAGTGGTGGCTTATGTCTATAATCCAGGTACTTTGGGAGGCCGAGGTGGGTGGATCACTTGAGGCCAGGAGTTCGAGACCAGCCTGGCCAACATGGCAAAACCCCATCTCTACTAAAAATACAAAAAATTAGCCAGATGTGGTGGCACGTGCCTGTAATCCCAGCTACAGAGGTTGCAATGAGCTGAGATCACACCACTGCATTCCAGTCTGGGTGACAGAGCACAACTCTGTCTCAAAAAAAAAAAAAAAAAGAATATTTAGATTTGATTTTGTTTGGGTGTAATGTTCAGGACCACTTCAGTTAAACAACTAGACCTGACTCAGTGGCAACTAGGAAATTTGTCATCTATTTTCAGTATCAGCCCAAAATTCGTTACCCTCAATCAGTTTTTATCATGATTAGAGATGAGATTGTATTTGTTTGAGACAGAGTCTCGCTCATCTCCTGTGCTGGAGTGCAGTAGCATCGATCGTAGCTCACTGCATCCTCAACCTCCTGAGCTCAAATGATTCTCTAACCTCAGCCTCCCAAGTAGCTGGGACCACAGGCACATGCCAACACACCTGGCTAATATTTAAAAAATGTTTTGGAGAGACTGGGTCTCGCTGTGTGCCCAGGCTGGTGTTGAATTCCTGGGCTGAAGTGGTTCTACAGCCTTGGAATCCCAAAGTGGAGATTATGTTTTTAAGAGTTTTCCTTTCTGTGACATGCAAAGCAAGACTAAATTAAGTGGGAATGCCAACAAAGTAAATAATTTAGTAAATGGCTATCTGCAGAGGGAGATGTTAATAATATAAGTAAGCATTAGAAGAGTGCCATTTAGCTTTGTCCTTTTGCTTATGTCCTTTGGTTTAAATTATTTTAAACCAAAGATTTCTTTGTTTTTTAAAAACCTTACATGAAAGCTCAATTTGTAAAATGAAAGCAAAATATTTCATGAAACCCAATTTGAAAACAGAGTGTTTACACAGTGCTTTATGTGTATTATTTTACAGTCATTTTTTGAGACCAGTACTGTTATAATCCCTATTTACAGATGAAGAAACTGAGCTTCAAAATGATTAAGTGTCTTGCCTAGGATTACATAGCTGGTAAGTGATATAACCAGGATTCCAGCCTTAACATTCTGGTTCCAGAGCCTGTAAAACTGTGCTATAGGATCCCTTGTAGAATTCCTTTTTGATGAAAATAGGATTCTTTCACTAAGGGATACGTGAGAATTAAAGTTTAAATTGGATTACTGGGGCTTTAAAAAAATTGTAAAAATATCTGTAGCAAAGTTAATCATTTTAACTCTTTTTTAAGTGTACAGTTCAGTGGGGGCATTCTTAAAGTCATGAAAATGATATGTTGTTGCTTAATGCTTTTGGATCTTAGCTTTTAGAATAATGTAAGGATTGAGGAGTTTACTTATTTGTTTATGTCATGGCATTATTGAATTCCTGAAAGCGTATGAGTATTTACTGTGTGGCAGGAATTAAATTAGTAGATGTTAGGAATACAAAGATGAATAAGAACCAGCCTCTGCACTCATCTTGTTTAGTAGGGATAAAGTAGTGTGTAAAATATGGAATACAAAAAAAAAATGAGTGTATAATAACTTGAAGTGTTTGAGTGTGTAAAGGCTTCCCAAAGGTGGTACCTGAGTTTAATCGTGAAGACATTACTTTATTAAGAGGAAGGCTGGTGGAAAGGGTGATGTTGTAGGCATAGAGAACATATTAATGGAGGTGTGAGAAAGTTTGTTGAATTCAGGCAACATTTCAATGTAGTGGAAACATAGATTACCTATGAGAGTGGCAAATAAGAGTGGAGGGGCATTGATAACTTTGGGAAAGGAATAAAATAGGAAGTACATATGTTGAGAGGCAAAGATAAATTTAGATATCATAAAATATGATATTGTTGATTGGTATAACATTTTTAATTTTTTAAATGAAAATACATTCAATACTATTAGATATAACAGGCTTGGATCTTGGTAAGTCGACAAGGAATCTTAATCTGTGTTTTTAGTTTTATAGGTCGATGAGAGGGAAATAGATAATTTTTGAGTACTTACTATGTTTTAGGACTTTGAATATATATATTTTTTCTTCTTTGAGATGGAGTTTCATCATGTCACCCAGGCTGGTCTCAAACTTGTGGGCTCAAGAGATCCGCCTGCCTTGCCCTCGCAAAGTGCTAGGATTACAGGCGTGAGCCACTGCGCCCATCCCGAATATTTTCTTTCTGAACTCTGCAACCTTTCTAAACCCTGTGATATAGATGGTCCAATGAGGAAACAGACTGAGGTTTGTTTGTTTTTTGTAGAGATGGGACTGTGTTGCCCAGGCTGATCTCCAGCTTCTGGTCTCAAGCAATCCTCCCACCTCAGCCTCCCAAAGAGCTGGGATTACAGGCATGAGCCACTGTGCCCAGCTTAGACTGAGAGGTTTTAAGAACCACTCAAGGTTACACAGCTTAGAATTAGCAGTTAGAATTTGAATCCACACCTAAGCTCCTTCAACTATGCCATGACTGGCTCATATTTGCCAGATATTTGTCTAATTGATTGGTGAATCTAATTTATTTTCTAATTAAACAGTCAAATGTTGTCTTAGTCCATTTTATGTTGCTATAACAGAATACCACAGACTGGTTAATTTATACAGAAAAGACATTTATTAGTTTTGGAGGCTGGGAAGTCCAAGGTCAAGAGGCCTGCATCTGGTATAAGATGGCTTACAAGCATTCACAAGAAGGCCCTCTGATGCAAGGCCTTCTGCTGCATCATCCTGTAGTAGAAAGCAGAGGGGCAAGAGAGCAAGGCATGACTGAACTTGATTTTCTTTTCTGTAACAAGCCCACTATCTTGATGACTAACCTACTCCTGTGATAACATTAATCCATTCATGAGGGCAGAGGCCTCATGACCTAATCACCTGTTATTAGGCCCCACCTCGAAACACTGTTGCTTTGAGGACTGAGTTTCCAACACCTAAACTTTGGGGGACATATTCAAACTATAGCAAGTGTATAGATAATGCAGTTGGATTATCAGAAACATGTCAAGGATACATAGAACAGAGTTACAGATGGGGTTTAATAGAGTAGTATACATGTGGAATACATGGCATTAAAGCCCCTTATGTGGACTTTCATAATGATTTTATTTATTTTTATTTTATCTTATTTTATTTATTTATTTATTTATTTATTTATTTATTTATTTATTTATCTGAGGCAGATACTCGCTCTGTCGCCCAGGCTGGAGCACAGTGGTGTGATCCCCACTTACTGCAAGCTCCGCCTCCCGGGTTCATACCATTCTCCTGCCTCAGCCTCCCCAGTAGCTGGAACTACAGGCACCCGCCACCATGCCTGGCTAATTTTTTGTATTTTTAGTAGAGACAGGGTTGCACCATGTTAGCCAGGATGGTCTCGATCTCCTGACCTCGTGATCCGCCCACCTTGGCCTCCCAAAGTGCTAGGATTACAGGCATGAGCTACCACGCCCGGCCTCATAATGATTTTATATATTTTACGTTAATAAAACACCTAAGGATTTGCTAATTAGCTACTGAAAATAATTTAGGATACTTCTGGATAAATATTACAAGTTGGATTATTTTTCTTTTAGTTTCTCATTTTTGCTGGGACTCATGCTGTTACATGTTAAGGTCATATTAGACTGAAAAATAAAGGAATGAGGGCAGTGATACGCCCACAGTTAATGTAATGACCTTTTTCAGCATTTAAAAATATTTTTCCTGATTCTTGCCCATGACCCAAACATTTTTTTTTCTTTTTAAAAGGAATTTTAGGCATAGAACATTATAGATGAGCTCCTGAAGTGGGGGGAAAAATATGATATCTTTTGTAAATTAAAAAAATTTTAATTAAATCTCAGATAAGTTTTTCTTTTTAGATATGGAGCTTACTGCTTCATAGCTTTCTTGCATTTATTCTGTAATCAGGATGAAGCTTTCTTCCCAATGAAGCTTATGTCTGTGTTTTGGTTAGGGTAGTGGTGGTGTTTTAACTATTTTCTTGGGAGACTATGAAGTTTTAAAATTTCTGAATATGAATATAGAAAATAACCCAAAGTATAGAGTATAAGACACCTTTACAAGCATCCAGTTAAAACCTGTCATTGATGAGGAAACAGGGCCGGAGTTGAATATGTTATCACATATTCAGTTACTACCAGAGATTAGAATTTTGGTCTCTGTTAAGAAGAAAACAACAATTCTAATAAGTTTTAATTTGTGTTTTGGGGCAATAAAATTTCTCTCTTGGAACCTTTTGTCCTACTTTAAAAATGTTTGTTGTGGCCTGGGCAACATAGTGAGACCCTGTCTACAAATTTTTTTTTTTTTTTGAGATGGAGTCTGGCTCTGTTGCCCAGGCTGGAGTGCAGTGGTGCTATCTTGGCTCACCACAACCTCTGCCTCCCGGGTTCAAGCGATTCTCCCGCCTCAGCCTCCCGAGTAGCTGGGACTACAGGCGCCCACTATGCCCAGCTAATTTTTGTATTTTTAGTAGAGACGGGGTTTCATTATGTAGGCCAGGCTGGTCTCAAACTCCTGACCTCGTGATTCGCCCACCTCAGCCTCCCAAAGTGCTGGGATTACAGGCGTGAGCCACCACGCCCAGCCTACAACATATTTTTAAAAATCAGCCAGGCATGGTGGCACATGCTTTTAGTCTCAGCTACTCAGGAGGCAGAGGTGGGTGGTTCACTTGAGTACAGGAAGTCAAGGCTGCAGTGAGCTATGATCATGCCACCACTGTATTCCAGCCTGGGCAACAAAGCAAGACCCTGTCTCAAAAAAAAAAAAAAAAAGTTCATTTAGGATTGTAAGTAATGATTAAGTCAATTAAGCAAAGATACATTATATGTCCATAGAAAAGAATTACTTTCAGAATACATTGGTTAGAAGTTTTCTAAGCAGCCTGGGCACAGTGGCTTACTCTTGTAATCCCAGCACTTTTTTTTTTTTGAGACAGACTTTAGCTCTTCTTGCCCAGGCTGGAGTGCAGTGGTGCGATCTCAGCTCACTGCAACCTCCGCCTCCCGGGTTCAAATGATTCTCCTGACTCAGCCTCCCAAATAGCTGGGATTACAGGCATGCACCACCATGCCTCACTAATTTTGTGTTTTTAGTAGAAATGGGGTTTCTCCATGTTGGTCAGGCTGGTCTCGAACTACCGACCTCAGGTGATCTGCCCACCTCGGCCTCCCAAAGTGCTGAGATTACAGGCATGAGCCACCATGCCCGGCCAATCCCAGCACTTTAGGAGGCTGAGGCGGGTGGATCACCTGAGGTCAGGAGTATGAGACCAGCCTGGCCAACATGGCGAAACCCTGTCTCTACTAAAAATACAAAATTAGCTGAGCGTGGTGGAGGGCACCTGTAATCCCAGCTACTCAGGAGGCTGAAACAGGAGAATTGCTTGAACCCAGGAGGCAGAAGTTGCAGTGAGCCGAGATTGCACCATTGCACTCCAGCCTGGGTGACAAGAGCAAAACTCCATCTCAAAAAAAAAATTGGGTCACAGTTTGGGATTTGCTATCCAGACATCTTGTACTCTACCTCTTTTAAAATAGCTAAGTATACTACCAAAAGCTAGATTCTATAGCAGAGCATGCTTCATCTTCATGAAAAAACAATCGTACGTGGGCCATAATATACATATAATGGAATATTAGCCTTAAAAAGGAAAGATATTCTGACACATGCTAGCTACAACATGGAAGAACCTTGAGGACATTATGCTAAGTGAAACAGACCGGTCACAAAAAGACAAATCCTGTATGATTGTACTTATATGAGTTGTCTAGAGTTGTTATATTCATCGAAATGACAGTAGATGGTGATTGCCAGGAGTAAGGGTTAAGAGAAATGGTGGGTAATGGGTATGGAGTTAAAATTTTATGGCTAGGCACAGTGGCTCACACCTGTAATCCCAGCACTTTGGGAGGCCAAGGTGGGCAGATCATGAGGCCAGGAGTTCGAGACCAACCTGACCAAAATGGTGAAACCCCGTCTCTACTAAAAAAAAAAAAAAAAAAAATTAGTCGGGCATTGTGACGGGCGCCTGTAATCCCAGCTACTCGGGAGGCTGAGGCAGGAGAATTGCTTGAACCCGGGAGGCAGAGGTTGCAGTGAGCTGAGATCATGCCATTGCACTCCAGGCTGGGTGACAGTGAGACTCTGTCTCAAAAAAAAAAAATTGTGTGTGTGTGTATGTATATATATATATATATAATTAAAAAGTTCCAGAGATTGGTGCACAACAATGAGAATATACTTAACACTACCGAACTGTATACTTAAAAATGGTGAGGATGGACTTGGTGGCTCATGCCTGTAATCCCAGCATGTTGTGAGGCCGAGGCGGGTGGATCACTTGAGGCCAGGAGTTTGAGACCAGCCTGGCCAACATAGCAAAACCCCATCTCTGCAAAAAAATACAAAAATTAGCCAGGTATGGTGACACATGCCTGTAATCCCAGCTACTTGGGAGGCTGAGGCACGAGAATCTCTTGAGCCTGGGAGGCAGAGGTTACAGTGAACCGAGATCGTACCACTGCACTCTAGCCTGGGGGACAGAGTGAGACGGTCTCAAAAAAAAAAAAAAAGTTAGAATGGTGACTTTTGTTACACGTATTTTACCACATTAAAAAAGGTTTTTTAATGGGCCATAAACTCAATGTCCAAATAATCACTGTTGCTATTTTTTTTTAAAGTTTCACAAAATATTTTTTTAAACCCAGTTTCTGCCTTATGTAGCATTCCCTCTCCCCCACCAAAAAAGTTTGTCATTTTCATGAATAAATACTTATTATCTGATACTGTGTGCTACTATTTAGTAGATACTAAGGATACATTACATAAAAATTACTGACTTAAATTTTATGGGGAGTGTAGGCTTTAAGATAATATGTAAACTATAGAATGTTAGCTAGTACTAAGTCAGAAAAATAAAGCAAGGAAGGGGGAGTGTGAAGCATTGGAGAGGGAAATAATGACATTTTAGAAAGGGCAATCAGGAAAGGCCTCACTAGGAATGTCACTTTTGAGAAAACTTACTGTAATGAAGGAACAGTATATTGAGCAGAGGGAACAGTAAATACAAAGTCCTGGAAGAACGTATATTCCTGACTTTCAAGATTGTTTTTAATTGTAAGATCCATTTGACAAAATGTGCTACTTTAACTGTCAAGTATACAGCGCAGTGGCATCAACATCATTCACAATGTTGTACAACCATCACCACTACATGTTGCCATTTTTTTATCATCTCAAGGCACTGTACCCATTACCAAATAACTTCTACTCTCCCCTTCCCCTAGCCCCAATAACCTCTAATTTAGTTTTATGTACCTCTGTCTCTGTGAATTTTCCCATTCTAAATACTTCATGTAAGTGGAATCATATTTGCTTTGTGTCTGCCTGCTAATATCTCTGAACATAGTGTTCTCAGGGTTCATCCATGTTGTGGCATGTATCAAAACTTTATTACTTTTTATGACTGAGTAAGATTCTATTATAAATATCTGTTGATGGACACTTGGATTGTTTCCAGCTTTTGTCTATTGTGAATAATGCTGCTATGAGTGTTCATGTACAAGTTCTCTGTTTGAGTCCCTATTTTCAGTTGCTTTTGGTGAATAGTATGTACCTAGGAGTGATATTGCTGGGTCATAAGGTAATTCTCTGTTTAACTTTTTTAAATGTTTGCTTATTTAGGCCAGGCGCGGTGGCCCATGGCTGTAATCTCAGCACTTTGGGAGGTTGAGGTGGGTGGATCACCTGAGGTCAGGAGTTCAAGATCAGCCTAGCCAAAATGGTGAAACCCTGTGTCTACTAAAAATAAAAAAAAAATTACCCGGGCATGGTGGTGGGCGCCTGTAAGCCCAGCTACTCGGGAGGCTGAGGTAGGAGAATCGTTTGAATCCAGGAGGCAGAGGTTGCAATGAGCCAAGATCGCACTGTTGCACTCCAGCCTTGGTGTCAGAGTGAGACTCTGCCTCCAAAAAAATATATAAAATTTTGCTTATTTAGTTTATTGTTTGTTTTTGTTTTTTAGACACAGGGTCTCACTCTGTCACCTAGGCAGAAGTGCAGTGACGCAGTCAGCTCACTGCAGCCTTGGCCTCCTGGGCTCAAGCAGTCCTTCTGCCTCAGCTTCCTGAGTAGCTGGGACTACAGGCACACGTACCCGTCTGGCTTGTTTAACTTTTTGAGGAACCACCACACTATTTTCCACAGTGGCTATACCATTTTACATTCCTATGAGAAATGTATGAGGGTTCCAATTTCTTCACATCTTCTCCAACACTTGTTGTTTATTTTTTATACCATTCCTGGTAGGTGTGAAGTGATATCTCATTGTGATTTCTGTTTGTGTTTCACTAACGACTGATGTTGAGTGTCTTCATGTCCTCCTTGGACATTCCTGTATCTTTTTTGATGAAATATCGAATGAAGTTCTTTGCCCATTTTTAAATTGGGTTGTCTTTCTGATACTGAGTTGTAGGAGTTCTTTAAAAATTCTGGATATTAAACCCTTATCAGATATATGATTTACAAATACTTTCTTGCATTCTGTTGGTTGCCTTTTTATTATCTTCTGCTACCTTTGGGTTTAGTTTGCTTTTCTGTTTCCTTAGGGGTACAATTAGGTTATTAATTTAAGATATATCTTTAAAAATGTAGTTGTTCACAGGTATAACTTGCCCTCAGAGCATTGCTTTGATAAGCACTGGGTCTGATAAGTTTTGCTATATTGCGTTTCAATTTTCATTTGCGTATTTTCTAATTTTCCTCGTTATTTCTTCTTAGACCCATTGATTGTGTGCTATTTAATTTTTACATATTTGTGATTTTTCTAATTTGGCTTCTGTTATCGATATTTAGGTTTATTCCATTGGAGTCAGAGAGGACAGTTTGTATACTTGTAATATTTTAAAATGTTTTAAGAATTGTTTTGTGGCCTACCATATGGCCAATCCTGGAGAATGTTTCATCTGCACTCCGGAAGAATGTATATTTTGCTATTGTTGGGTAGAGTGTCTGTATATGTGTGTTAGGTCTAATTGGTTTGTAGTGTTGTTCAAGTCCTCTTTTTTTATTGATTTTCTGTCTGGTTGGTCTATCTATTATTGAAAATGAGATATTTAAGTCTCCGACTATTGTAGAACTTTCTACAACTATATTGTAGAATTATTTGTTTTTCCCATCAATTCTGTGTATTTTTACTTCATAAATTTTGTGGGTCTGTTAGGTGCATACATGTTTATAATTGTTATATCATATTGGTAGATTGAGTCTCTTTCATCAGTGTGTAATATCCTTCTTTGTCTCTTGTAACCTTTCTCTCTCTGTCTCTCGTACCCAGCCATTTTTTTTTTTTTTCAGGCTAAAGTGCAGTGGCACAATCATAGTTCACTGTAACCTCCAACTCCTGGGCTCAGGAGATCCTCCAGCCTCAGCCTCCCAGTTAGCTAGGACTATAGGTGTGCACCATCACACTGGCTAATTTAAAAATATATATATATATATTTTGTAGAAATGGGGTCTTGCTGTGTGTCCCAGGCAGGTCTTGAACTCCTGGCCTCAAGCAGTACTGTTACCTCAGCCTCCCAAAGTGCTGGGATTGTGGCAGGTATGAGTCACCGTGCAAGGCCCTCTTGTAACCTTTTTTTACTTACAGTATTTTGTTTGATACTAATATCCCAGCTCTCTTTTGGTTACTATTTCTGTGGAATATATTTTTTCATTTCTTGTTTTTTATCCTCCTGTGACTTTGTATTTAGAGGGAACCTCTTGTAAACAGTATATAAGATGGATTATGTTTTTATTTTCATTTTTATCCATTCTGCTAATCTTTTCCTTTTAAGTAGAAAATTTCATTCATTTACATTTAAAGTAATTATTGATAAAGAAAACATACTTCTGTTATTTTGCTTTTTGCTTTTTAATGTCTTGTATGCTCTTTTTTCCTTAATTCATCCATTACTGCCAATTTCTTATATTTAGATTTTTTTTTTTTTGGTAGCATTCCTTTTTGATTTCCTTCTTTCCTTTTCTGTATATTTTTTAGTTATTTCCTTAATGGTTATGTTGCGGATTATAATTAACAAAAATTATAACAATGTATTTTAAATGCCAAGTTAGTTTCAGTGGTATACACATGCTCTGCTCCTAAACATCTGTCTCTTCACCTTTATATTGTTATTATCAAAGATTACATCGGTCTACATTGTGTGCTTGTTAACAGAAATTTAAATGGGTTATCTATTTGCCTTTAGGATCATATTTTTTAAAAAGGCATTACATACCAAAGGTACAATAATGCTGGCCTTTATATTTACCTATATAATTACCTTTAGCAGCATTCTTTGTTTCTTCATATGGCTTCAAGATACTCTCTAGTGTCCTTTCATTTTATCCGAATGGATTCCCTTAATCATGTCTTTTAGGGCAGTTCTACTAATAACAAACTCCTTTAGCTTTTATTTATCTGCATGGGTCTTAATTTCTCTTCATTCTTAAAAAATAGCTTTTTGCATAGAATTCTTAGTCAACAGTTTTTTTCTTTCAGCATTTCAAATATTTCATGTCAGCACCTCTGGCCTTCATGGTTTCTGATGAGAAATCCACTTGTATCTTGTTGAGGCCCTTGTGTACTTGATGAGTCTTTTTTCTCTTGCCACTTTCAAGATTCTCTTTGTCTTTTGACAAATTGACTATAATGTGTTACGATGTGATCTCTTAGAATTTATCCTCCGCGGAGTTTGGTGAGCTTCTTGGATATGTAGATTAATGTCTTTCATCAAATTTGGGGAGTTTGGGGCCATAATTTCCTCAAATAGTCTTTCTGCCCTTTTCTCTCTCTCCTTCTTCTGGGATGCCCACAATGTATATTTTATTCTCTTGATTTTGTCTCATAGGTTTTTTTAGGCTTGATTCACTTTTCTTCTTCATTTTTCTTTCTTTTTCTTTTTCTTTTTCTTTTCCCTCCCCTCCCCTCCCCTCCCCCCCTCCCCTCCCTTTCCTCTCCTTGTCCTGTCCTTTCCTTGTCCTGTCCTTTTCTGATGGAGTATTGCTCTGTCACCCAGGCTGGAGTACAGTGGCATGATATCAGCTCACTGCAAACTCTGCCTCTCGGGTTCAAGTGATTCTCCTGCCTCAGCCTCTCCCAAGTAGCTGGGATTACAGGCGCCTGCCATCATGCCAGGCTAGTTTTTATATTTTTTTAGTAGAGATGGGGTTTCACCATGTTGGCCAGGTTGGTCTCGAACTCCTGACCTCAGGTGATCCACCTGCCTTAGACTCCCAGAGTGCTGGGATTACAGGCGTGAGACACCACGTCCAGCCTCTTCATTATTTTTTCTTTGTGATCCTCATATTGGAGAATCTGGTAATTTCAATTCTTCTATCTTCAAGTCTTCAAGTTTGCTGATTATTTCTTCGGTTTGCTCAAATCTCCTGTTGAACAACGATAATGAATTTTTTATTTCGGGTATTGTACTTTTCAGCTCTAGAATTTCTATTTTGTTACTTTTAAGATGTTCTATTTCTGTATTGATATTCTTATTTTATTCATATGCTGTTTTCCTGGTTTACTTTCATTCTTGGGCCATGGTTTCCTTTAGCTCTTTGATCATATCTAAGACACTTGATTTCAAGTTTTTGACCATCAAATCTAATGGACTTTCTAAGGGACAATTTCTGTCAACTTTTTTCTTCCTTTGGATGGGCTTTCTTATTCTTTGTATGCTTTCAGGGTATGTGTGTGTGTGTGTGTGTGTGTGTGATTGTGGGCAGGGGTGCACATACACACGTGTGTGTGCATATGTGTGTGAGAAAACCAGACCATTTGATACTGTGATGTGCTAACTTCAGAAATAAGATTTACCCCCTCCCTTAGCATTTGCTCGTCTTGATTGTTGAAGGCTGGAGTCATTCATTTAGACACTTTTCAAACTATTTTCTGTAGTGACTATATTGGTTGTTGTCTGAGGTTACTGAAGCCTGTATTACTTAGGTTTGTGTTTAGCCAGTGTTTTAATACAGATTTCCTTGAATGCTGGGAGTATTTTCTTTTCAGCATTCTCTTGGTTGTTATAAATATTTGACTGTTTTCCAGAGTTCTGATAAAGTTGGTTCTGACACTTCCTGCTTGTTTTTGGTGTTTCTGTGGAGAGACAGGTGTTTGGAGCTGTCTAGTCTGTCATTTTGCTGGCATCACTCTCTCATGCTTGGCTTTTTAGTGACCTGAGGAGGCCATTGTGGCTGAAGCAAGGGGGTGAGCAAGAGAGAAGTGCAGCCAGAGCTGAAGGCAGAGAGCTGTTCTGGTGGTGGTGCAGGGCTGTGCTTACAAGTCATAGTAAGGATTTCAGTTTTTCATGTGAGTGACATAAAGAGTCATTGGAGGGTTGTGAGCAGAGGAGTGTCCTGAATTAACTTGCATTTTAATGAGATCACTGTTTTGAAACAGGGCAAGGTAAATAGCAGGCTGTTAGTTGCCAATCAAGTGTCCAAGATGAGAAGTCAAGTAGTTTATTAGGTAAATGGGTCTAGATTTAAGGTAGTGATATATAATTAATAGATGTAAGTTAGGGAATTGCCAATATAGAGATTTTATTTAAAACCTTGAGATTGGATGAAATCACCTTGGAAGTGATTATAGATAGAAAAGAGAAGAGGTTGGAGTCCTCAACATTTGTAGATTGTAGATTGAAATCTGTAAAAAGAGAATGAGAATGAGAATGAACACTCAGAAAAGTAGGAGAGAAACCAAGTGAATACCATATATAACAATTAAATGAAGTTAAGTGTTTCAAGGAGGATTCCATGATAACTACATCAAATGCTGCTGATAGGTAGTGTTAGATGAGACGTGAAAAACGACCCTTGTATTTCGTTATGTGAAGGTCCGTATGCCCTCAGGTCAGTTTGGTGAGATGATGGGAATAAAACAATTTCAAGAGAGAATGGCAACAAGTAAATTGAAGACAATAAACCTAAACAGATTCCTCAAGTTTGTTGTAAAGAGGAAGAAAGAAGGGGGAGGAAATTGAAAGGATAATAAATGGGATCAAGAGAGGGGATATTTGAAGATGAGAGAAATAGCAGCTTGTTTGTATACAGATGAGAATGGGACAAATTGATGACTCAGAAGAGAAGAAAGAATTACTGGGGCAATGCCTTTGAGTAGGCAAGTAGGTGGGGAAGGAAGGCAGAGGAAGGAGAGTTTTAATTTTTTATTGCTTATTACAAGAATCAAACATTTTCCAACTTAAATGTAAAACAGTGGAGGAAACTTTTTAAAAGTAATTTCCTTGGTTTTTTCTTCGTTTGTTTTGGAGACAGGGCCTCTCTCTGTTACCCAGGCTAGAGTGTAGTGGCTTAATCATGGCTCACTGCAGCCTCAATCTCTCAGGCTCAAGCGATCCTCCCACCTCAGCCCCCCAAATAGCTGGGACTACAGGAATGCACTATGCCTGGCTAATTTTTTTTTTATTTTTTATTTTTAGTAGAGAGAAGGGTCTCATTTTGTTACCTAGGCTGGTCTCGAACTCCTGGGCTTAATAAGCATTCCTCCCACTTCAGCCTCCCAAAGTGCTGGGATTATAGGTGTGAGCCACTGCACCTTGCCAATTTCCAGATTTATTTATGATATGATTGAGGAAAGCTGATCAGAAATACTTCAGCTTGTAGGTAGGAAACACAGTTATTCTGGCATGTGAGTATCTGTATGCTAGCTGGTAAGGTGCCCAGGAAAGGGGAGATCAGATCAAATAATGAATATACAACTGAATGGAAAGAGTATAAGTCCTTACCTGCTTTAATCCTTACTGGATACAGAGTTAATCAGTTCTTGTTACCTTTTAAAGGGCTAGCCCTAAATAATTAAGGGACAATATTGAATTCATATTAATTTAATATTAACACCCTTTCAATTGATATTTATTACTCAAAAGTATCTGGGCTTCCTAATTTTTTGATAAAAAGTAAGAATTCTAGATATCCTAAATTTAAATTTTCAAATTTTACTAATGTTTTACTAATATTTCCTGAGCTGTGACATTCTAAAGCTGACTGTTCCTCAAACCAAACATCACTTACTATTATTACTGATTATAAAAACATCTTGCTTTTGTATGGAAAACAATTTAATATGCAATGTATCACTTAATCATTGTATCAAGTATGTAGGATAGGCAGAGGGTTTTGTTGATTCTTTAGTTTTTATATTTCTTCAGGTCCCTAATATTAAGGAGCTTTGTGGATGATACTATGCATCTTCTAGAGAAGCAGTCCTCAACCTTTTTGGCACCAGGGACCGGTTTCGTGGATGGGGTAGGGAAATGGGGTGTGGTGGATGGAGGGAGATGATTTCAGGATGAAACTGTTCCACCTCAGGCATTAATTAGATTCTTATAAGGGAGCACAGCCTAGATCACTTACATATGCAGTTCACGATAGGGTTCGGGCTGCTATGAGAATCTAATACTGCCGCTGATGTGACAGGAGGCGGAGCTCAGGCAGTAATGCTGGCTGACCTGCTGCTCATCTCCTGCCGTGCAGCCTGGTTTCTAACAGGCCACGCACCCATTCCATCTGCAGCCTGGGGTTTCGGGACCCCTGTTCTAGAGTTGTCATTTGTGACAGAGTCAGTAAAAATCATTTCAGTAAATTTTGAAGTTTTAAATTTTGATTGATTAAAATGATCTTGATAGCTTACCCTGTCTCAAAAAAATTTTTTTTCCTGAGTCATTTAAAAATATGTCTACTCTAGAGTTCTTATTTATTTTAAAATTTTTCCAGCGCTTAATTTTTACTTATATTACTAGCTTATTTTAACATTGTTATAAGTTTCAAAGTTGTATTAGATAAAATATTTTCTTTGAGAAGACACAGACTTCCACTGTAACTTAAATCATCCAAAGTAACTTCACCTACTTAATTTTTTCTCAGAAAGATCTACCTTGCAAATACTTGCCAAGTAAAATTAGTTGGTAATTAGATTGAATAAAATCAGTTTTGTTTTTTTTTTGAGACAGTGTCTCACTCTGTTGCCCAGGCTGGAGTGCAGTGGCACAATTATGGCTCACTGCAGCCTCAACCTCTCAGGCTCAAGCAGTCCTCCCACCTCAGCCTCCCAGGTAGCTGAGACTACAGGTACACACCACCATGGCCGAGTAGTTTTGAAATTTTTTCTGAGATGGGTGTCACTCTTGTTGCCCAGGCTGGTCTCAAACGATCCTCCTTATCTAAAAGATACAACAGAAA
Organism: Homo sapiens; assembly: GCF_000001405.40. Classification (NCBI taxonomy): domain Eukaryota; kingdom Metazoa; phylum Chordata; class Mammalia; order Primates; family Hominidae; genus Homo; species Homo sapiens. Next base: position 53,155,477 of record NC_000016.10, read on the forward strand.
ATTAGAAGTTTCAAAATAATTTTACTTATATAATTTTTATTCTTAAAGTAGCTTTATTGAGATATAATTCAGATACCATACAATTCATTCATCTAAAGTGTATATTTAGTGGCTTTTAGCATACTCAGAGTTGTTTATCCATTACCATAACCAATTTTAGAGCATTTTCGTTACCCCCAAAAGAAATCCCATAACCTGTAGCTATCACTCACCAATCACCAGTCCTTTCTACCCACCCACCATGCCACCAGCTCTAGGTGACCCACTAATCTATTTTCTCTCTATATATACTTGCCTACTTTTGACATTTTATATAAATCGAGTCATATAATATGTGGTATTTTGTGACTGACCTCTTTCACTTAGCATAATGTTTTCAGAGTTCATTTTTGTTGTAGCATGTATCAGTACTTAATTTCTCTTTATTGTTTTTGTTCCTTTTTTTCTAGGATTTTGACACTTCATGACATGTCATTATTTAGAGCAATAATGAATATTGACCTGTTTTGGATTAGTTGATGACCTTCGGAAATGATCCAATAATATCTACTATAGAGAAGCTGAATATACTCCATTTGGAGTGAACAGCCCGGATTGTTACAGAATTTTCAAGATGACAGATCCAATGATGGACTTTTTTGATGATGCCAATCTTTTTGGTGAGACCTTAGAAGGTTTGTCAGATGATGCATTTGTACAACCAGGACCTGTTTCACTAGTTGATGAATTGAATTTGGGTGCAGAATTTGAACCGTTGCACATAGATTCACTGAACCATGTTCAAGGTACTCCAACACATCAGAAGATGACTGATTTTGAACAGTTAAATCAATTTGATTCAATAAAATTTCACCATGTTAATCAATCTTTTGGTAGCCCAGCTGAACATGTGTTATCTCCACACTCTCAGTTTAATTGTTCTCCAATCCATCCCCAAAACCAACCCAATGGTTTGTTTCCAGATGTATCAGATGGCAGTCCAATGTGGGGCCATCAGACAGCTACTACCATTTCAAATCAAAATGGATCTCCTTTTCACCAACAAGGACATTCACACTCTATGCATCAAAATAAAAGCTTTGTGGCACACCATGACTTTGCCTTATTTCAGGCCAATGAACAACAAACACAGTGTACTTCACTACGCTCACAACAAAACAGAAATAATCTCAACCCAGGGCAGAATTCTCTTAGCCAGTCTAAAAATTTTATGAATGTTTCTGGTCCACATAGAGTCAATGTTAACCACCCACCACAGATGACTAATGCATCTAATTCACAACAGTCTATTTCAATGCAGCAATTTTCTCAAACGTCAAATCCTTCAGCACACTTCCACAAGTGTAGCAGTCATCAAGAAGGAAATTTTAATGGACCTTCCCCAAATATGACTTCTTGTTCTGTCAGTAATTCACAGCAATTTTCTTCACATTATTCCTTTTCCAGTAATCATATATCACCAAACAGTCTACTTCAGTCCTCTGCAGTTCTTGCATCTAATCATACAAATCAGACTTTATCTGATTTTACTGGAAGTAATTCCTTTTCACCTCATAGAGGAATCAAGCAAGAATCTACTCAGCATATCCTAAACCCCAATACATCATTGAATTCAAATAATTTCCAAATATTGCATTCATCACATCCTCAGGGTAATTATAGCAATTCAAAATTATCTCCTGTGCACATGAACTTCCCAGATCCTGTTGACTCAGGAACTCAAATGGGCCATTTCAATGATCATGTAGAAACTAATGGCTTTTCATCTTTAGAAGAGAATTTACTTCATCAAGTGGAATCTCAAACTGAGCCATTCACAGGACTTGACCCCGAGGACCTCCTTCAGGAGGGTCTTCTTCCTCACTTTGATGAGTCAACATTCGGACAAGATAATTCAAGTCACATTTTAGATCATGACCTTGATCGGCAGTTTACTTCGCATCTGGTAACACGGCCTTCTGATATGGCTCAGACTCAGTTGCAAAGTCAGGCTCGGAGTTGGCATTCATCATTTTCTAATCATCAGCATTTACATGACAGAAATCACCTATGTTTACAGCGACAGGTATGTAGCTCTTTGCTTTTATTTTGGAGATTTGGGGGTAGGGCGGACTGTTAGTCATTGGGTTAATTTTATATGAAACATAGTCAAGATTTCTCAAACTTGGTAATTCCATTAAGTGAACATACATATTTTGATATAGGTTTATATTGTTTTACAAGTCTTGTATTGAAAGTGATTCACTGATATGCTCAAAGCAATAGATTAGCTTCTATATTTAGAAAATTATAAGGTGTTAAGACTTCTTTTGTGATGTTTATGAATACCTTTGAGAGAAAGTTATTTTATCAAAAACAACTTAATAATCATAATTAAAAGGGAAAAACCAGACTGGGAAAATTTTATTGCAAATACAATTAACATTGAGTTAATATTCCTATAAAAAGCTTTATAAATTAGCAAACTTTTAAGACCTCAGTTGATAACTAGATAAAACATATAAGCTGAAATTCACAAAAAGGAAATTAAATTAGTAAACAAAACCAGAATAATATGCAGCTTTAATAATAAAAAATAAATTTAGAATGGTTTTATTTTTACCTATTAGAAAAACATGTTAAATGTTAATGCTTAATGCTGACAAATTTATGGTGAAATTGGTACCTACATGGCTTTGTTAATTAATGCAAATATTTTGAAAAGCAATTTGGTACTAGATTAAAGAATATAAAAATTCTCCATTTTAATAACCCAGACATAGCAGAAGTATATACCCAAAGATATTTGTCTTAATATACTTACAAGGGACAGCTGAAAAAAGCATAGCTCATTATTGTAATCACGATAGACCATAGGCACTAAAAAGATTTTGAACACTAACATTGAGAATATGTTAATGATGGAGAAAAGAGCGTAATTCAAAATTAAGATCACAGTGAAGTAAGGTTAAGAGTGTGGCCTTTGATACCAGACTACCTGGTTTAGAATTGTGGGTCCTGTTACTTAGTAGTTGGGTGACTTTGACTTAGATAATTTCCGTGCGTCTCTTTTTCCTCATCTTTAAAATGTGAAATAATAAAGGATTAATAGATTTATAACATGTAAACATGCTTAGACTATGCCTAGCATATAGTTAGAAATTAATACTTTTTTTTGTTTTTTTTTAATTTTTCTTTTGAGACAGGGTCTCACTCTGTCACCCAGTTTGAAGTGCAGTGGCACCATCAGGGCTCACTGCAGCCTCAACCTCCCTGGGCTCAGGTGATCCTCCTGCCTCAGCCTCCTGGGTAGCTGGGACTATAGGCATGTGCCACCATGCCTGGCTTTTTTTGTATTTTTTGTAAAGATGTGATCTTGCCATGTTGCCTGGGCTAATCTTGAGCTCCTGTACTCAACCAGTCCACTCTCCTCGGCCTCCCAAAGTGCTGGGATTATAGACGTGAGACACTCTGCCCAGTCTTAAGTGTTTTTATTAATTATACTTTTTTTCATAGTAGTATGAAAATATGTATATGGGCCAGTTATGTTAGCTTATGCCTGTAATCCCAGCACTTTGGGAGATTGAGGTGAGAGGATTGCTTGAGACCAGGAATTCCAGACCAGCCTGGACCATGTAACGATACTCTGTCTCTACAATAAATACATTTTTAAAAAATTAGCCAGGTATGATGGTGCACTCCTGTAGTCCCAGCTACTCAAGAGGCTGAGGTGAGCAGATAGCTCAAACCCAGGAGTTCCAGGCTGAGGTAAGCCATGATCACACCACTGCCAGTCTAGGCATTAGAATCAGACCCTCTGAGAAAAAAAGAAAATTTGTATATGAAAAAAATACCAGAAGAAAATAGGTTTAAGTAGTGCAGTTTTTCCCTTACTTTCTACAATTTTGTCGTGAACATATTACTTTTATAATAAAAAATTAATGTAATATTTTATGTTTTTAAAAATTCTCTTGTTAAATTAAGGATTCATAAAATGCTTCAATACCTTGGTTACCTGTGAGATTCTGTGGACAATGAAATATACCAAAGTTCTTGAAATTAAATATTTAGGGATCCATTTTTCATTTTAAAGCCTTGAAGTATTTGAAAAAGAAAAAATCTTTGTCTTTCCCATTGGATTGACTATAGTTCTATTTCTTTTTTCCTTTTTTGAGAAGGAGTCTCACTCTGTCTCCCAGGCTAGAGTGCACTGACACAATTTCCACTCACTGCAACCTCTGCCTCCCAGGTTCAAGTGATTCTCCTCCCTCAGCCTCCTGAGTAGCTGGGATTATAGGTGTGTGCCACTATGCCCAGCTAATTTTTGTATTTTCAGTAGAGACGGGGTTTCAGCATGTTGGCCAGGCTGATCTCTGGTCTTGAACTCCTGACCTCAGGTGATCCACCGGCCTTGACCTCCCAAAGTACTGGCATTACAGGCGTGAGCCACCATGCCCGGCCACTTTAGTTCTATTTCAGAACGATATTTCAGCATATTTTTTGAAATGTCTAGGGAGATGTAGAAACATTTAAAAGACACTTATAAACCCTCCATGTCCCCCTCTTTTTATGACATGAGTTGAGTATTGTGATTTTGCTCCCCCTACTGGAGGAAGATCAAGCATCTCAGAAGGACCCTGGGAAAACTCTCCACTGATTGAACTTAGGTGCATCTATCTACTTTGTATGTAGGTTTCTGACTAGTTTGACCAATCATTTTTGTCCAGTGTATACTTGAAATTATGAGAGCTTATTGATTTATTTTTAAACATTTTATTCTCCTAAGACTTTATCATTTTGATTCATGTCTTTTTGTTGCTTTTGTTTTGTTTTTTAATTAATGCATTTCTAAACATGTTTCCCGGGCTTTAAAAAGTAGTAAGGACTCCTTTTTATAGATTTGGAATGAATGGAGGATAATTATAAATAACTAAAGCAGTCTCTAATGCTAGCATGTAGATAGAGAGCACTCCATCTGAGAGAAGTTATTTTCAGACCTACCTTAAATCATCTTATTCTACACTGATAAATACGGTTTTAAGTCACTCACTTTTTTGTTTCAGTTTTTTTTTTCTTGTTTTGTTAACTTGTTCTTTTTTCACATGTCCAAAAACTGATAAAGGGCAGTTTGTTTGGAATTCTTTTTTGACTTACTGAAAGTCTATTCTCGGCCAGGCGCAGTGGCTCACGCCTGTAATCCCAGAACTTTGGGAGGCCGCGGTGGGTGGATCACCTGAGGTCAGGAGTTCAAGACCCGCCTGGCCAACATGGTGAAACCCCGTCTCTACTAAAAATACAAAAATTAGCTGGGCGTGGTGGCCCATGCCTGTAATCCCAGCTACTTGGGAAGCTGAGGCAGGAGAATCGCTTGAACCCGGGAGGCTGAGGTTGTGATGAGCCAAGATCACACCATTGCATTCCAGCCTGGGCAACAGAGCAAGACTCTGTCTCAAAACAAAAAAAGAAAAGAAAGTCTGTTCTCGACCAGGTGCCATGGTTTATGCCTGTAATCCCAACACTTTGAGAGGTTGAGACAAGAGGATGAGTTGAGCCTGAGAGTTTGAGGCTGCAGTGAGCTGTGATTGTGTTGCTCCACTTACCAGCCTGGGTAATAGTGAGACCCTGTCTCAAAAAAAGGAAAAGAAAAAAGAAAAAAACACTCTGTTCTCAAGTTTCCTATTACTTCTTAGTTTAAACAGTGATATTTGGGATTCGTTGATTGTGAGAGTGAAAAAGAGAGATGGATTGGTAGAGAGGATTATTATGATTATTGTATGTTGCATATCAGTTTTATATGTACTGAATTATAGGTCACACATCTTAAATATATGAAATGCAAATGATTTAATATGTGGAATTCATGACAAATTTTGACAGAGCATAGACTTTTTTACCTATATAATTTTTGCATGTTCTGTATAGTTATGGTACTACATAGCTGAAATGTTATATTAATAAGGAGTTCTTATATTATTATGATGCTTCCACAGGTTCTATGGAAAGAAATTTTTTTCTGGGTTCTTTGTTGGGCTTCTTTAACTCTCTTAATTGTAGTAATTTCATTTTAGACTAAATTAACATCACTACATGTGTATAAAAGTTAACAGATTTAAACATAATGAAGTGGCATAATTTTTTAGTTTATGAAAAATAATTTTGAGGTATGTTTTGTTAGAGCCAAAACAAGACATTCTTTAACCTACTGTTTAAAAAACCATGGATGACAATCTATTTAGAATTCTAGAACGCTTTAGTGAGAATGTTGAATATTTAAAGAATATTTCTAAGCCTTGCTTTTTTCTTTCTTTTTTGTTTTTGAGATGGTCTCACTCTGTCACCCTGGTTGGAGTGCAGTGGTAGATCTCAGCTTACTGCAACCTCTGCCTCCTGGGCTTAAGCGATCCTCCCGCCTCAGCTTCCCAAGCAGCTTGGCACCACAGGCATGCACCACCATGCCCCACTAATTTTTGTATTTTTTTGTAGAGATGGGGTTTTGCCATGTTGGCCAGCCTGGTCTCGAACTCCTGAGCTCAAGTGATCCACCTCAGCCTCCCAAAATGCTGGGATTACAGGTGTGAGCCACTGTGCCTGACCCAGCCTTGCTTTTTTAAATTTCCCAACTATAGTGGGGTGATTGTAGATATCACTTCAAATATCTCAGCGTACGCTAAACTATGTGTCAATTGTTAACAACAGTGAATATTGCTGATTTGACTCTAGAATTTTACTGCTTAGAAAAGAGAGAGGAGCCAGGACACAGTGGGAAGAGAGGCCAGAGGGAGATGAAGAATAGTAGGGTTGTTGGGAGGAGGAAGAAAAAAGAAAAAAAGTGAGAAGCTATAGCAAGTGTTTCCAAATGTAAGTATGTACAAGACTAACATAGGGAAAATACTAGCTTATTTATCATCTCTAATTTTTGGAGCAAAGGAATTTTGAGAGAATAATACTCTGAACTTTTTATTGCTCTCATAACAAATATTTTCTGCTGTCTTTATAGCAGAATCTTTAGTTTTTGTCTTATTCGTGAAGTGGAAATAACATGTGGAGCACTGTGTGATCTCTCAATGTTTGTAAATTAAGTTTAGTGTAAAAATTCTGTGTAAGTGAAACATGTTATGAGGGATGGCAGAACTGGCATTCGAAACAGGAAATAGAATTTTAAGATATACTCATACATAATGTTTTATTGCCTTTTGTATTTTGATAGATTTTGTAGTTTATTACCTTGAATTATTATTTCTTTTCCTGAAGATAGAGAAATTTACATTACTTATAAACTTAAAAAAAACTTGTAAAAGAAAGATAGGTTTGAGCAGCACATATAAGCCTTTTTTTTTTTTTTTTGGTGGGGGACAGGGTCTTTGTCACTCAGACTGGAGTGCAGTGGGGCGTGATCATGGCTCATTGCAGCCTCCATCTCCTGGACTCAAGCAGTTCTCCTGCCTGAGCCTCCCCTGTAGTGAGCCACCAAGCCTGGCTAACTTTTTTTATTTTTTGTGGAGACAAGGTCTCACTTTGTTGCCCAGGCTGGACTCAAACTTCTGGCCTCCAGCAATCCTCCCACCTCAGCCTACCAAGGTGCCTGACAAATTTAATAAATGGTTGTTATAAAAAAATGGGTATCAAAAATAATGTGAAGAATAAGTCGTTTGTAATATTATTACCAAAAGATAATCACTGTTGCTGTTGTGTTATGTAAGATTCCAGTGAGATCTCTTGTTTGTCCTTTTGCCATTTCCCATATACATATTTTTAATTTTTTATTTTTTGTTGAGACGGAGTTTCACTTTTGTTGCCCAGGCTAAAGTTCAATGATGTGATCTTGGCTCACCACAACCTCCACATCCCAGTTTCAAGCAATTCTCCTGCCTCAGCCTCCCAAATAGCTGGGATTACAGGAATGCGCCACCACGCCCGGCTAATTTTGTATTTTTAGTAGAGACAAGGTTTCTCCATGTTCGTCAGGCTGGTCTTGAACTACCGACCTCAGGTGATCTGCCTGCCTCGGCCTCCCAAAGTGCTGGGATTACAGGCGTGAGCCACTGTGCCTGGCCAATATTTTTGAATTTTAAAGAAACAAAATTGAGATCATATAGTTCACACTTTCTGGCAAATTGCTTTTTAACCTTCCAATGAATATGATGCATACATTTTCCATGGCATTAAGTATTTTTCTAAAAATGATTTTGAGTGGCTGAATAATTTGTAATGGTTTAGCAACCATTGTAATGTTGCTAAAGTTCCATATAAAAGTAAGGTTATTACTGAGATCTGGAAAAATCTGAATCAAGGTGATTAAAATATCTTCATATTTTTATCGCATATATTACTGTAATAATTGAATTTAAAGTAGAAGCATAGTAATAAAAAATTAGAATAGGTAAGACATATAGCATTTACATTGTGCCAAGCACTGTTCTGAATACTTAACATATGTTATCACATTGATCCATCACAACCATCCTTTTATTTGGATATGATTTTTTTCCTTCAATCTGCATGGTTGGAAACTGAGATACAGAGAAGTTAAGTAATAAACCCCAAGTCACACAGCCAGTAAATGGCCATACTGGATTCAAACCCTATTTGACTCCATTATTTCTGGTCTTAACAACTTTCACTTTACTTAAAAGCATATTAATACATTGTAATATTTAACAATAATGTACTAAATGATTTCTTCCCTCTTCTGCCATTGAAAAATTAAAAACTGGCTTTAGAATCTTTAAGTGGCAAAGACCATGCCTCTCATGTTTTCTGGCTATATTCACAATCGTTTATCTATTAGCAGAGGAAGAACCAATGCCAAAAGAAAACAAACAAAAAAGCTCAACTAGGCCAGGCATGGTGGCTCACATCTGTAATCCCAGCACTTTGGGAGATGGAGGCAAGAGGATCACTTGAAGTCAGGAATTCAAGACCAGCCTGAGAAACCATAGTGAGATCCTGACTGTACAAATATATATTTTTTTAATTAGCTGGGAGTGATGGTGTGCACCTGTAGTCCTAGCTACTTAGGAGGCTGAGGCAGGAGGATCACCTGAGCCCAGGAGGTTGAGGCTGCCGTGAGCCAGGATTGTGCCACTGCACTCCAGCCTGGGTGATAGAGCAAGGCCCTGTCTCAAAAAACAAAAAACAACCATAACAACAAAAAACTAAGAAGTGTTCTGTTTTTTGTTTTTTTTTTGGAGGGGGGGGTTTGTTGTTGTTGTTTTTGAGACAGAGTCTTGCTCTGTCACCCAGCCTGGAATGTAGTGGTGCAATCTCAGCTCATTGCAACCTCCACCTCCTGGGTTCGAGTGATTCTTGTGCCTCAGCCTCCCAGGTAGCTGGGATTACAGTCATGCACCACCATACCTGGCTACTTTTTTGTATTTTTAGTAGAGACGGGGTTTCTCCATGTTGCCCAGGTTGGTCTCGAACTTCTGACCTCAAGTGATCTGCCCTTCTTGGCCTCCCAAAATGCTGGGATTATAGGCATGAGCCACCACTCCCAGCCATGTTCTGACATTTTTTATAAGATTATGTGTAAGATGATAGCAACAGATGCCCTAAAGGTAAATCCAATAATTATCTTCAAATATTTTGAAGGACTTTAGAGGTCATTATTAGGCCGTGTAAGTAGAAGTCACAGAAAAGCAGACTGTCATTTAATTTAAGGAAGAAGTTTGAAATAAAGCTTTTCACTGAAAGCAGGGAGATGGAATAGCTTAGATATGTCACAGAAAGAATTTCTGTAGCAGGTGGAAAATGGACTAAATTGGAGGGTTATTTCAACTCTTAAGATTCTATGGTTGTAATTTTAGGTTTTATTATAGGATATAACATTCATATTGCCTATTTAGCTCCTGAGTGGCAATTACAAAAGGTGAAGAAAGGTAAACACATGACAAGTCCTCCACTATCCAATTATGTCAGGAAATTATTTGTTATAGATGAATAAATTTTCCAGATAGATGGAATATATTTTAGCAAGACTCAAAAACTTTAATTACATGGATCTTTTCATTTCCCCCACCCCAGAAGGTAATGGTGGTGGTGGTAGAATGCTCTGTTAGAACAAGATGAAAATAATTTTAAAGGGAGGTCTCATATGTTTACATTTTTGACAGTTATTCTTAATACCTCCAGGAATTACCCTAACTTAATGTATTCGATTGAAATACATTAGATATTTGAAAATCATCTTAAGCAGAAAGAGTTAATTTTATATATATTAGTTATTATAAAAGAGAGGAAAACCTATATAAAACTAAAGCAATGCTCACACCCAAGCTATTTGCTGTTTTTTTTCCTAAGGTACTTTAGTTATAGCATACTATTTTAAAAAATGGTACCTTTTCCTAAGTCAAAAAAGCATCAGATGTACGCACAATTAAAACACTTGTCACTCTACTTTTGCCCTAAGCAAAAAGAAGAAAAATGACTTATAAAATATTTAGATTGTCTCCTTGAATGATTAAAACTTTTATAAGGTACCATCCCTCTATTTTTCAGAATTTGTTTAAATCTTTATGCATTTGGCATGGTATTACTTATAAAAGTTTCAGAATTCCTAATTGTCTGACTAAGCCAAAGCATAAAATAGAAATTCTGTCTAGGAATTTCTTTCAGTTGTTTTTTCACTTAAAGTGGACTACTTCTTGGTTTTGTTATTTCTGTCAGATCTTCTGTATTAAAATGTTCTATTTTAACTGGGAAATTATAGAATATTAGCTAGTTCTGAAATACATCCTAGTTATTAAACTATGTAGTATATTGTAGAAGAGTTAAGCTTTGTACTGCCTGTCAGGAATCAGAGTAACAGACATTCCTGTTGTTAACATTAGCTTTAAGGCTATTGACCTCTAGCATGCATACTTAAGGGTAAGAGGTGAACAGAAAGTAAATTCCAGGAGTGTGGAAAACCCAGCTATTGGTGAGAAATTTGTGGATTAGTGCAGTATATGAAGAAAGACTGAAGCCAAACTTCAAAATAGGTCTCAGAAAATTTTGTTGTATTTAATTGTATTTAGGAGGTACATTCCCAGATACCTTAGGACTACTCAGTCACTTATTTATCATTATTGATACATGAAATATAAGATAATTTGTTAGGACCTACAGAGTCATCAAATTTATTCCTATGATTGTAACATTAATACAAAGCTGTTTTGAAATACTTAAGTATGAATGACAAGGTTTCTCTATTTGGGCAATTGGACTGAAATGATTTTAAATTAAGGAAATGTTTTAATACAATATGGTGTGGATATAGTTAGGAAGCATGGACTGCAGTTTCTTGTTAAATAAAATCTGATCATTTGCTTTGGTCAACTATGCAAATACTTTGCACATTTACTATGTAAGGAATACTTTACAAATTATGGAAAGAGGATAATCTTTGAGAGCTGTTTTTCCTACATAAGTATGTGTTTGTATGCCTGAAAACAGTACAGGTTTACATTGACCATTTCATGGGTTCATAGAATTTTTGACCTGAACATGGTTTCACTCTATCCTCATATGCAAAGAATAAACAGGGTTAGAAAGATCATGACTTGCTTGCTGTCACATAACTAGTTAGCATGTTCCTTTCATAGATCAAACTGTGTAGTGTTCAAAGGTGATCAGAAGTGACAGCAGTACCCACACTATGGACAGATACATATTTAATAGGCCATATTATAAAATACAATTGTACCTGGTTGTCTTTGATTATTGAGAAATACTTTTTAGTTTTGTATGTGTCAATTTTAATGTCTAAATTTTTTATCTCTGTGTTTAGTGTTTAAAAATGTAACTTTACTGTACCTTGTCAAATGTAGGTATAAATTGTATATACATGTGAATGAATTTTAAATAACATCTGTGTTTTAGAAATGTTGACTTTTTAGCTCTTCTATTTGTTCAGTATTTATTAGATGTCTGCCATATGTAAGAAATTATGCCAGGCACTGAGGTTGCAGAGATGATTAAGAGAAAATTGTCCTACTTTCCTATTGTTCTATATTATAATTTCAGAGATGTTCTCTTTTCATTTCTGATTCATTTCCAGTTGACAGTGGTTTCTAGCACTTTCTCTTAGCCCTCTAGCTTAGTGATTTGTAATGAGTAATTTACAAACAAAAAATTAATTTTCATTCTACTTAAAGAAGGTGTTCCTCTAAGTTTCTAGCTTAGCTCTTTGTTTCATGGCATTTGACAATCTGTAATTATTTGATTCTTCAAATACATATTATATACATAATATAGTGTATATCATATATACATATCATATATAGCTATCTAAGGTCCAATTGCTTTTGTAAATGACAGTGCCAAGAAAGTGGACCATTCTCTTTTTAGTTTCTATTCTACCTATATTTATTACAAATTATCGCAAAACTCTTACAAAAATGTGCTATGGGATTCAACTTTTATGAGATTTTTGTTAAAAAAAGGGTTATTGGTCACTTAGACAGATATTCTTAGAAGATTGTATTGTAGGATAAATTTCCTAGGATTTTTCCCCCTAATTACATTAAGTGAAAGTAAGATTTTGGAAGTAATTTTTAAAAATAATATAGGAAACATTGAGTATAATTAGAATTAGAAATAGTAATAACATTTGCTTTATTTATTTATTTATTTATTTATTTTTTTGAGACGGAGTCTTGCTCCGTCTCCTAGGCTGGAGTGCAGTGGCACGATCTCAGCTCATTGCAACCTCCGCCTCCCGGGTTCGAACAATTCTCCTGTCTCAGCCTCCCAAGTAGCTGGAACTACAGGCGCCTGCCATCATGCCCAGCTAATTTTTGTATTTTTAATAGAGATGGGGTTTTCACCTTGTTGGTCAGGCTGGTCTTGAACTCCTGACCTCAGGGGATCCACCTGCTTTGGCCTCCCAAAGTGCTGAGATTACAGGCATGAGCCACCACATCCAGCCTGCACAATATTTTTAAAAGTGGTTTTACCCACATTATTTGAGTTTTTTAGTAGTACATTGGAATATATATAGATATATTAATATAAAAGTTGGTATTATTTCATGGAATTTACAGATTTGAGGTGTTGAGAGGGAAAGTAACCTCTAATGTAGATAGCTACTAATGGTTTAGTAGAAACTTGGCTCTAAATTTATTATGCATTCTATGGTACCTAACTGCCTTTTACTCACAGCAAAAAAATAACAAAAGTTCATAGAGCACCTATTGTGTATTAGGTTGGTGCAAAACTTTCAGTGGCAAAAATTGCAATTATTTTGCACCAACCTATCAGGTATTGTGCTAAGTACTTAAAAGTACAAGTATAAAGAGACTATTTTTGGGAGTGGAGGGGCAGACAGGGTCTGGCTGTGTTACCCAGGCTGGAGTACAATGGTGCAATCACAGCACACTGTAGCCTTGAACTCCTGGGTTCAAGAGATCTTCCCACCTCAGCCTCCTGAGTAGGTAGAACTGCAGGCGTGGGCCACCACGCCTGGCGAATTTTAAAATTTTTAAATTATAGCTGTGAGTCACCAGGCATGGTGCTTTGGGAGCACCAGCACTTTGGGAGGCTGAAGTGGACAGGTCACTTGAGCTCAAGAGTTTTGAAACCAGCCTGAGCTTCTTGGTGAAACCCTGTCTCTACTAAAAATACAAAATTAACTGGGCGTTGTGGTGCATGCCTGTAGTCCCAGTTACTCGGGAGGCTGAGGTGGGAGGATCGCTTGAGCATAGGAGGTCAAAGCCACAGTGATCTGATATCATGCCCTGCACTCCAGCCTGGGTGACAGATGAGACCCTGTCTCAAAACATATAAATAAATGAAATAAAACTTTTTTGTAGAGATGGATCTCACTATGTTGCCCAGGACAGTCTTGAACTCCTGGCCTCAAGCAGCCCTCCCACCTTGACCTCCCAAAGCACTGGAATTACAAGCATGAGCCATGGCTTCTGGCTAAAGAGGACTTTAAGGCTAGATCTCAACTGGTGTTTTTGTTATGTTACAAGAAAAAAGGTAGCTCCAAGTCAGCTTAAACAATATCAGAAATGTCAATATTATGAATTTCTTTAAAATATCTGTATTGAAAGTCTCATTTTTTCTAATCTTTTATTTTGAAAAAATTTCAACTTATCAGAAAGGTGAAAGAATAGTACCCTTTACATATATTCACTAATTGTTAATTATTTTGCCACATTTGCTTTCTCTTACTATTTTTATTTCTAATTTTTCTTTGGCTGAACCATTTGACAGTAAGTTGTAGACATCATGGAGATGTTGCCCCTAAATATTTTAACATGACTCCCTTTAGAATGGGAACATTCACCTCCATGAATATAAGACTTTTACCACAACCAAGAAATATAACATAAAATAACATTATATACTATATAGTCCAAATTCAAAATTTTTAACTTGTCCCAATAATATTCTTTAGAGAGATATCTGGTTTAAATTTCAGGATCCAATCAAGGGTCAGGCATTACATTTAGTTGTTATGTCTCTTTAACCTCCTTTAACCTAATACAAGTGTTCCCTGTCCTTTCTGTTGTTCCATCCTAACATGACATTTTTTTAAAATACAGGTACAAGCCAGTTACCTGTATTTGTTTGGTTATTCATAATTCAGGTTAAGCAGTTTTTTTTTGTTTTTTTTTGTTTGTTTTTTTTTGGTGAGAATGCTGTATATATGATAGCTATTGGATCACATTAAGACACATGATATTAGTTTGTCCCATTATTGGTGATGCTTGATTTTCTCAGTATAGGTATCTTTTCACCTTTGTAATTAATCACGGGGATTTTTATATAAAAGAGTTAGATTCATGGATTTTTTAAAAAATCAGTTGTAAAAATCAGTGTGTTAAAAATCATTGTACTATAATATGTTATAAAAATGTGTTTATAAAAAATGTGTTATAAAAATTAATGTGTTAAAAATCAATGTCGTAACCGATTGCCATCATTATTCTTTTTGAATATTTGGCCAGAGGAAGCCCTGTCAAGCCAACTCTGTGCTATTTTAACAGATGCTCATTAATCTTTAAGTACTTCTGGTGCAAGAACTTTGTAATTACCCTGCCTTAGACCTGGAATGAGCCATTTCTTCAAGGAGCTCATTTGCTTTTTGATTGACCTTGTAAAATGCATCGTGCAGTACTAGTATTTTGTAATTTCGTGTGTGTGTGTGTGTGTGTGTGTGTGTGTGTGTGTGTGTGTTGGAAGCTTGTGGTTATATGAACAAATTCCAGAAATTCTGATTGAATTTCACAAGTGCTTTGTCAACATCTCTGATTTTGTTTAGGCCCTTACTTAGTATTTTATTTAAGTTAAACTGATATTGAGCGAAGGGATTTGTGTTTTTTTAGGTTGGACACAAATTTTTGAGAACATAACTGCTAAGCACTGATATTCTAAGACAGCTTTGTCAATAGGATATTATAGATGAATTCAGAAAGTTTTTTGAACACTTATCATAAATAATACACTATGTTAGGCATTCTGCTTTTCTTGCAACTCAGGAAGGAAGTAAGGCCCATATAACAAATATGCATAACAAAAGGTAGTCCCAATGCATGAACCTCTAAAATAATGTGTATTAAAGCAGCAGTATAGACACAGATAATATATATAATAATTGTTGATAGATACTAAAATATCAGTTATGCTTTTGTGTTTCTCCTTTTAGGATTGGCATATTTTAAATCTATTAATAAAAACAATTTAGGCCAGGTGCGGTGGCTCACACCTGTAATCCTAGCACTTTGGGAGGCCAAGGTGGGTGGATCATGAGGTCAGGAGATCGAGACTATCCTACTATCCTGGCTAACACAGTGAAACCCCGTCTCCACTAAAAAATACAAAAAAATTAGCCAGGCATGGTGGCGGGCGCCTGTAGTCCCAGCTGCTCGGGAGGCTGAGGCAGGAGAATGGTGTGAACCTGGGAGGCAGAGCTTGCAGTGATCCGAGATCACGCCACTGCACTCCAGCCTGGGCAACAGAGCGAGACTCCGTCTCAAAAAAGTAAAATAAAATAAAAATAAAAACAATTTAGTTGAAGTTTCTATTGACTGCCTAGTGTATGAAAAGAGATAGACATATGACAACTAGAAAAGTAATACATGTCCACTGAAAGTATTCAGGAAACAGTTTAGAAAGCCCAAAAGGACCAGACGCTGTGGCTCATGTTTATAATACTAACACTTTGGGAGGCCGAGGCAGGTGATCACTTGAGCTGAGGCGTTTGAGACCAGCCTGAGCAAAATGGCAAAACCCCGTCTCTACAAAAACTACCAAAAAATGTAGCCAAGTGTGGTGATACGCACCTGTAGTCCCAGCTGCTCAGGAGGCTGAGTTGGAGGATTACTTGAGCCCAGGAGACAGGGGTTGCAGGTGACAGAGGGAGACCCTATCTCAAAACAAACAAAACCACACACACACACACACACACACACACACAGACACACACACACACACACACACACACACACACACACACACAGCAGGAAAGTACCCCCTCATCCCACCAATTAGAAATAATCACTTTTTATGTTTTGGGGATATATGCTTTTAGTTTTGTACTCTATAACCATTTACCTATTTGTTTTCTATATCAAATTTTCAGCTTTATGGAGATAAAATGGACATATAATAAACAGAACATATTTAAAGTATAGAATTGGGTAAATTTTGACATATGTATATACCAGTGAAATTAATATCACAGTGAAAATACAGAACATACTCATTACCCCCAAAAGTTCCCTATTGCCTCTTTGTAATTCTTCCTTCCATCTCCTCCTTCGCGCACCCAGACAACCACTGATCTGATTTCTGTCACTCTATGTCCATTTTCTGGAATTTATATATAAATGGATTCAATAGTATGTACAGTTTGTATAGCTTCTTTTACTCAACACAATTATTTTGAGGTTCACCCAGTCATTGCAAGTAAAATAATTCATTCCCTTTTATTGTTAAAATAATATTTCATTATATGGATCTACTATAATTTGTTCGTTCACCTGATGATGTATATGATTTCCCGTTTGGGGTTATTATCAATGAAGACACTATGAACATTTTTATGTAGTCTTGTGAAGACATACATTTTTATTTCCATTGGGTAAATACCTGGCAATGGCTGGGTTTTTAATAGGTATATATTTAACTTTTTACGAAACTAGGAAAATATTTTTCTAAAGAGATTGTACCATTTTACATTTCCTCTAACAGTGTCTAAGAGTTCCGTTCGCTCCACATCGTTGTCAGTGCTTGATCTGATATGGTCACTGTTTTTAATTTTAGCCATACTGATAGGTGAAGATAGTGGTATCTGATTGTGGTTTTAATTTGTATTTCCTTAATGATTCATGATATTGAACATTTTTTTCATGTGCTTATTTCTATCCATATATATCCTTTGGTGAAGTCCCTGAAATTTTTGCCCACTTACAAAATTGGGTTGTTTGATTTGTTATTGTGTTGTAATATTCTAGTTGTCAGATATCTATTTTGCAGATATATTTTCTCCCAGTCTGTGGGTTGCCTTTTTTTTTCTTAACAGCATGTTTTGAAGGGCAAAAGTTGTTAAAGTTGATGAAGTCTAGTTCATTACTTCTTTTTGAAAATAAAATTGTGTTTTGTTTCATGTTTAAGAAATCTATGCCTGCCCAAGGTCAGTGAAGATTTTCTCTTATGTTTTCATGTAGAAGTTCTGTGTTTTTCTTAAATGTTGGTACAGTTCACCATTGAAGCTATTCAGAAATTTTCTAGATGGGAATATTTTTAATTATAAATTTAATTTCTTTAATAGGTGTAGGTCTCCTTAGGTTATCTGTGTCTTTTTGAGTGAGTTTTTGGTAGTTCATGCTTTTCAAGGTATTTTTCCCATTTCATTCAAGCTGTTAAATTTATCAGTATAATGTTTTTCATAACATTTCCAGCCTTTGAGTATCTATACAATTAATTATGTACATTTCTGATAATGGTAATTAGTGTCTCCTTTTCTTCCTAATAAGTATGGCTATAGGTTTACCAGTTTTATGGAATTTCATTGGGTTTTCTCATTTTTCTGCTTTATAGTTAACGGATTTATGCTATCTTCATTATTTCTTTCTTTTGCTTTGTACTTAATTTACCTAATTTTATTTTTTTTTTTTAAGACGGAGTCTCGCTCTGTTGCTCAGGCTGGAGTGCAGTGGCGCGATCTCAGCTCACTGCAAGCTCTGCCTCCCGGATTCACACCATTCTCCTGCCTCAGCCTCCAGAGTAGCTGGGACTACGGGTGCCCGCCACCATGCCCACCTAATTTTTTGTATTTTTAGTAGAGATGGGGTTTCACCGTGTTAGCCAGGATGGTCTCGATCTCCTGACCTCATGATTCACCCGCCTCAGCCTCCCAAAGTGCTGGGATTACAGGTGTGAGCCACCGTGCCCAGCCAAATTTGTTATTTTTTTTAATGTGGAAGCTAACAAACATCATTAAGATCTTTCTTCTTATTCTATTATAGGCATTTGATGCTATACATTTCCCATTAAGTGTTGTTTTAACTGCATCTCACAGATTTGTATTATGTTTCATTTTTATTCAGTTATTCAAGATAATTTTGAATTCTGTTTTAAGTTTTGAATTCCCCCTTTAATTTCTTCTTTGGCCCATGGATTATTTTGAAATGTGTTATTTAGCCTCGGCAACATGGCAAAACCCACTCTCTACAAAAAAATACAAAAATTAGCTGGGTTTGGTGGCATGCACCTGTAGTCCCAGCTCCTCAGGTGGCTGAGGTGAGAGGATCACTTGAGCCCAGGATGTTGAGGCTGCAGTGAACCAAGATCGTGCCACTACAGACTGCAGTCCAGCCTGGTTGATGGAGTGAAACCCTGTCTCAAAAACCAAAAAGGAAGGAAATGTGTTATTTAATTATATTTGCTTTCTAGAGACCTTTCTAATTTAATTCCATTGTAATCAGAGTACATAATTTGTATGTTTTAAATTTGTTTACATTTATTTAGACTTGTTTCTTTTACATGTTTTACATTTGTTTACATTTATTTAGACTTGTTTCTATGGCTTCTATTAGTGGCTTTGCATGTATTCTTTGCTCTGTTACCTACTTTGTCTGATACTAATGTAATCATTTCTGTTTTGTGTTTATATTAACATGGTATATCTTTTTCTGCCCTTGTACTTTTAACCTATTTATGTATTAATTAATTAATTTTTAAGACAGAGCCTCACTCTGTCACCCAGGCTGGAGTGCAGTGGCGCGATCATGGCTCTGTGCAGCTTCAATGTCCTGGGCTCAAGCAGTTCTCCCACCTCAGCCTCCCAAGTAGTTGGGACCACAGGCACGTGCCACCATGCCCAGAAATTTCATTTTATTTTTTCTAGAGATGCAGTCTTACTTTGTTGCCCGGGCTTGTTTTGAACTCCTTTGCATACCTGATAATGTTTGAATAAATGCCAGATGTGAATTTCACCTTCTTGAGTAATGGGAAATTTTGTATTCCTCTAAATATTCTTAAGTTTTGTTCTGGGATGCAGTTAAGTACTTGGAAATCATTTTGTCCTTTTGAAATACACTTTTAAGCTTTTTTAGCCCGGACCAGCGCAATCTTTTGTATAGGGCTAATTTTACTCCCCTACTGACACAATCGCCTTGTGAGTCCTCTACCGGATGACAGTTAAAGTTTTTTACTGTGGCTAATGGGAACATGCTGATTTTTTTCTGGGTTTTGGGTAATCTTTTCACGGACAATTGCTGATCACTACTCATCTAGAACCTTTAAAGGGCACCCTCTGAAGATCTCTGGAGGTCTTTCTCTGTGGAACTCTCTCCTTTCTGGAACTTTGCCATATAAACCAGTTACCTTGGGTTCTTGGCTTCAAGTTCTATCTCCAACTCAGGGAGCCTGCCAGATTTTACCTGCACTCCCTGTTCTATTCTGCAGTTTGCAGTAAGCTGGGGCAATAGTAGGTCTTAGTTGTCTTGTCTCCTTTCTCTTAGGGATTGCTGTCCTGGGCTGCCTGATGTACAATATCTAAAAACTATTGTTTCATATATTTTGCCTTGTTTTTCAGTTGTTTCAAGCATGAGAATAAATCTGGTCCCTATTACTCCATCTTGGCCCTAATCGGAAGACATACATCATTTTAATGACTGCATAATGTTTCATAATATGGAATTGTCATAATTGTTTATTCTTCTTTGACAGTATGATAAGCATCTTTATAGATACATTGTTGTGTATAACCATGATTAGATTCCTGGAAAATAAGGCAAATATACATTTTCAAAGCTTTGATATGAACTGACAAGTTTTCCTTTGAAGATTTATACAAAGCTGTAACTGCTTTTGAGCAATTATACTCAAGTTCATGGCTTTACATATATTTTCTCATTTAATCTTCACAATATCTCTGAGTTAGATCTTATCATCTACTGTTTTTACAGATAAGGACATGAAGCATAGGATGGTTAAATGGCTTGCTCAGAGTCATACAGATAGTGGCAAAGCAAGGATTCAAAGATAGGAGGCAGGACTCTGGGGCCCATACTACTGTCTGTCGCCTTAGAATATGGGGATATTGAAGCTGGAAGGAACCTACAACCATGTATCAGTTTCTCCTGCTGTTGTAATAAGTTATCACAAACTTAGGTGTCTTAGAACAACACATATTTATTATCTTACAGTTCTGGAGATCAGAAGTCTGAACTGGATCTCACTGGACTAAAATCAAGATGTCAATAGGGTTGCAGTCCTTTCTAGAAGCTCTAGGGGATGATCAATTTTCTTGGCCAGTTTATAAAGGCTGCCCACATTCTGTGGCTTGTGGCACCATTCCGTCTTTAAATCCAGCAATGGCTGGTCAAGTCTTTCTCACGTTGTATCACCCTAATGTTTTTGTTTTGTTTTGTTTTTGTTTTTCCTCCGTCTTCCACTTATAAGGACCCTAGTGATTACATCGGGCCTACATGGATAATTTAGGATAATTTCCCAGCTCAGCTGATGAACAACCTTAATTCAATCTGCAACTTGAATTATTTGCCATATTACCTAAAATATTCACAGGTTTTGAGGATTAGGAGATTGATACATTGAATAATCAGGCCATTATTCTGCCAACAACAAGCCATAAAGGTCAATTAGAAGATGCTGCTTTAACAAAAAATTAACAAGGGACTGATTTATGACTTTATGACCTCATGACCTCACATTATGAAAAGCCTATTTGAGTACCTTTCTTTTCTGCTCAGTTTCTTCTCACTTCTGCTTATGCTAGGAATTATTTAGTGGTATAGAGTGAAGTGATTTAGAGTTGGGTTACTTGAAATTTATAGTTCCAGATTTCCCAATAATGCATATTTGAACAATTTAAATAAACTGAGCAATTTTTGAAAGAAGCAAAATTGTCATTCATTCAGCAGTTATTTAGTAAGCCCCATCCTGGTGCTTTGTGCCAGGCATTGTACTGAGTACTTTTTATGTGATCACATTTTATCCTCACAACAATCCAATGATGTTAGTGGTGACATCTTTATTTATTTAATTTTATATATATATTTTTTGAGACAGAGTCTCACTTTGTCGCCCAGGCTGGAGTGCAGAGGCGCCATCTCGGCTCAATGCAGCCTCCGCCTCCCAGGTTCCAGTGATTCTCCTGCCTCAGCCTCCCAGGTAGCTGGGATTACAGGCACATGCCACCATGCCTGGCTAATTTTTGTGTTTTTCATAGAGATAGGATTTCACCATGTTGTCTAGGCTGGTCTCAAACTCCTGACCTCAAGTGATCTGCCTGCTTTGGCCTCCTAAAGTGCTAGGATTACAGGTGTGAGCCACTGCGCCTGGCCGACACCTTAATATATACATGAAGAAACTAGGTTCTAGGTACTATAGCTTCTAAGTCACAGACTTAAGGCATGAACCCAGATTTGAGAAAAGTAGGTATTAGGAAAATATTTTAAAAGTAATGATTTGTTTGTACGTCTGGATCTGAAAGGGAAAAAAACGAAAAAGACATGATTTGATCCAGTATTTTTTAATTAATGATGATTCCTTACATTAAGGCTTTTAAATTTAGTACTAGAAGGAGCCTTAATCATTTAATAATTTTTAATTTTTCAGTTGGAGAAACTGAGGCCCAGATAGAGTCTACATAGCCTTTTAGTGGCATAATCCAAAGAGGTTTCCTAATCCTATTTTCTTTTCTATTGCTCTTGTTATTACATAACTATTTCTTAATCCATTTTTATGCAGTCTTACTCCTAATTTTTGTTGGTTTCAAGGAAAGAGTACAAATGAAAGCTCTCATTACCGTGTGCCTAAATATTTGAAAGTTCAAAATCAAGCCAGTAAACTATGTTCTTTCCTTCATCCTTGATAAATGGAAGCACTGATTTGAATTTAGCATTCTTGGACTCTCTGGAGTTCTACATCCAGAATCTGGCAGAAGCAGGCTATTCTACTCTATTCTACTTGTCTTTCCAATCCTGGTTCCATCCTAAACCCCAAGAGGCCTCATGAATACACATGAACTTCTCAGGCTATGTATGTAAGTGCCATCTTTTTCTCCCCATCTCTTTGGCCTAAGCATGCACATACTGGCAGTAAAGTTCATCCTTGAGAGAACACACATAGGGAATAGGCTCAGGCAGGTTCTGCAAGTGGGTATGAGACTGTTGGGGCAGAGAATTTCAGAGTGTCAGGGACCTGGAGCATGTTCCATAAGATGGGAAGGGTGATATATCCTTTTGACCCCAGGAGGACTATGGCAAAAGAACCAGACCCTCTAAATTGTGAAGCCCAGGGAAGGAACACATCTTGTCAAATGTAAAAGCCGGTGTTTTCTTCATGAACAGTGACACAGATTTGTGAAGTTAGTTGGTGAGAGATGTGGATAGTTTGTCTGTGACCAGAATCATGATTTTCTCTCTATGGAAATCAACCTCTACTTTGGGCTCCATATCTTCTGTCAATTCAAGTAATTTTGGTTTATTAAATACTTCTTGTTTTTGTTGGTTTCTTTTTTTTTTTTTTTTTTTTTTTGAGACAAGGTCTTGCTCTGTCACCCAGGCTGGAGTGTAGTGGCGCAAACATGGCTCACTGTACCCTTGACCTCCTGGGTTCAAGTGATCTTCCGTGCTAAAGTGATCTTCCTGCCTCAGCCTCCCATGTAGCTGGGATCTCCCAGTTAGCTGGGCGTGGTGGCATGCCTGGCTAATAATTTTTTTATTCGTTGTAGAGATGAGACTCTCACTGCCTTGCCCAGGCTTATCTTGAACTCCTGGGCTCAAGTAATCGTCCTGCCTTGGCCTCCCAAAGTGCTGGGATTACAAACATGAGCCACCTCACCTGGCCTTATTAAATACTTTTAAGAATTTATGGATGACTATAGTTTTAAAGTTTTCTTCAAAGCAAAGCTATATATGTACTTGGGATTCTGGACTTTAAATTGAAATTGGGCCAGGCATACTGGCGCACACCTGTAGTCCCAGTTACTTGAGAAGCTGAGTTCAGAGGATTGTTGAGGCTAGGACTTTGAGGCTGTAGTGTGCTATGATCCTGCTTATGAATAACCACTGCATTCTAGCCTGGGCAACATAGCGAGACCCTGTTTCTAAAAAAAAAATTAAAAACGAAATTGTCTTATGAATACATATATGTGAATCACTTAGAGTCAATAGTTAAGATTTTGCCGTATTTGCTTTATTTGTGTATATAGGATAGATTTTGGTTTTGGCTTTAAAAGTAAATTGCAGTTATCATGAGACTTTACCTCTAACTATTTTATTAGACATCTCCCAAGAATGACATTCTTCTATACAACTAGTATCACACCTAAGGTAACTGCTAATTCTATATCATCTAAAACCTAATCCAAATTCAAGTTTTCCCAGTTGTTAGAACCAGCAGTTAATTTTTTTTTATCATTTTCACTTAAAATATCAGCTCTCTTAAAATATCAGTTTTGATCACTATATGAGAATTAAAAACACTATTTAAAATTGTTGGAGCCATGTTTATTAATTGTTAACCTCCTGTCTTATACATATTTATGTCCCTCTGCATCATCTTAAAGGGGGATCAATAAGTATTTGTCAAATTACATTAAAATGAATTATTTGCAGTTTATTTTTTGAAGCCTATTATAAATAATGTATCTTGTACCCAGTCATACTGTTTTGTCATTTAAAAAATTAATAATTAAGCAGCCAGGCACAGTGGCTCAAGCCTGTAACCCCAGCACTTTGGGAGGCCAAGGCAGGCAGATCACCTGAGGTCAGGAATTCAAGACCAGCCTGGCCAACATGGTGAAACCCCATCTCTACTAAAAATACAAAAATTAGCCTGGTGTGGTGGCACGCACCTGTAATCCCAGCTGCTCGGGAGGCTGAGGCAGGAAAATCACTTGAACCTGGGAGGCAGAGGTTGCAGTGAGCCGAGATGACACCACTGTACCCTACCCTGGGCGACGGAGTGAGACTTCATCTCAAAAAAAAAAAAAATAGTAATTAAGCATGGCATACAGATTTTTATATATTTTCTCATCAGCACAGTGCCCTTTGAAGAGCAGTGGTCATTATGAGTTTCTCTAGGAAGTTCTTGAATTGTTACCTTACCTTCTTTTTTTTTTTTTTTTGAGACTGAGTCTTGCTCTGTCACCCAGGCTGGAGTGCAATGGTGCCATCTCGGCTCACTGCAACCTCCACCTCAGCCTCAGCCTCCCGAGTAGCTGGGATTACAGTTGCCCACCACCACGCCCAGCTAATTTTCGTATTTTTAGTGGAGCTGGGGTTTCACCATGTTAGCCAGGCTGGCCTCGAACTGCTGACCTCAGGTGATCCACCTTCCTCGGCCTCCCAAAGTGCTGAGATTACAGACATGAGCCACCGCCCCCGGCCTTACCTTTGTTTTAATGTGCTTTCCCAATTTAGTTTTTCCTTCTGGGAAAATGTTGGTTAAAACTGGGGTAAATGGAAAGGATTTGCATAATTTGAGGACAGCAAGTTCGATGCTAAGGATCTCCTTAAATTTATTTTATCTTCAGGGGAGAGAAATATGACAAGGATTATAAATATTTTGAAACTTTTAGTGATGTATTTAGGGGAATTATAGAGACAGTACTTTTTAAGAAGAGACTTATTGAAATGTAGAGAAGGAATATATTTAATTTTCAGCACTGTGGATTTCTTAAGTGCATATCAGCACCACTCTGATCTCTATTAGTGGTATGGTTATTGAAACAGACATCTCTTTTTTTATTTTTTTAAATTTATTATTTTTTTTTGATACAGTCTCGCTCTGTCGCCCAGGCTGGAGTGCAGTGGCGCGATCTCGGCCCACTGCAAGCTCTGCCTCCCAGGTTCACGCCATTCTTCTGCCTCAGCCTCCCCAGTATTAGCTGGGACTACAGGCGCCCGCCACCACGCCCGGCTAATTTTTTGTATTTTTAATGGAGACGGGGTTTCACCGTGTTAGCCAGGTTGGTCTCAATCTCCTGACCTCGTGATCCGCCTGCCTCAGCCTCCCAAAGTGATTGAATTACAGGCGTGAGCCACCTCGCCCAGCCTGAAACAGGCATCTCTAATAAGTATGAGAGACACGATTTTTTTTTTTTTTTTTGAGACAGAGTTTCGCTGTTGTTGCCCAGACTGGAGTGCAATGGTCCGATCTCAGCTTACCACAACCTCTGCCTTCCGGGTTCAAGCTATTCTCCTGCCTCAGCCTCCCGAGTAGCTGGGATTACAGGCATGTGCCACCACGCCTGGCTAATTTTTGTATTTTTAGTAGACATGGCGTTTCTCCATGTTGGTCAGGCTGGTCTTGAACTCCCGACCTCAGGTGATCTGCGGGCCTTGGCCTCCTATAGTGCTGGGATTATAGATGGGAGCCACTGCACCTGGCCGAGAGCCACAATTTTTTGTTTCTTTTTTTGAATTTTAACTTTTGATTGAAGGTGAGAATAAGTGAAACTTGTCATGTAAAGTTTTTTGAGGAACCGCAATTACTATGGTACAGTAATTTAAGTAATTTAAGTAATTTGCTTAAGTAATATACTTAAGCAAAAATTAGAGTGCTTATATGAAACTTACATATAGGAATGAGCAGACCAATATAAATGTCAGAAAAGGTTAAAACTAAGAGAATTATTTTTAAGTTTCTGTGTAAACTAAATTTTTTTTGGAGTAGCTTGGATATACTTTTGAGAGCTTCATATAGGCAAATCAAAGTGCTTTTTTAACATGTTTTCTATATGTAACACAAGTTTAATGTCTCAACATGATATTGAATGAGTTAACATCTAAAGCACTGTTTAATTTATTTAGTTGATAGTAATAATCCTCAAAATGTTACTGAGGGATGAGTATCTCTGATTAAAAATGATAAAACAGGGCTGGATGCGGTGGCTCACACCTGTAATCTCAGCACTTTGGGAGGCCGAGCTGGGCGAATCACCTAGGGTCAAGAGTTTGAGACCAGCCTGGCCAACATGGTGAAACCCCAGCTCCATTAAAAGTACAAAACTTAGCCAGGCATGGTGGTGCATGCCTGTAATCCCAGCTATCGGGAGGCTGAGGCAGGAGAATCACTTGAACCTGGGAGACAGAGGTTGCAGTGAGCCGAGAGTGCACCGCTGCACTCCAGCCTGGGCAACAGAGCAAAACTCCATCTCGTATATTTTTACTATGCATGATTAATTAAGCATGCACACACTCATGGCAGTTTTCTGGTCATTATGTCATAGTATTTGCTTTTACTGCAGAACAATTGGTGGATTTTTAAGGCTTTATTTTTATTTTTATTTTTGAGACAGGGTCTTACCCTATCACCCAGGCTGGAATGCAGTGGCTTAATCATGGATCACTGCAGCCTTGATCTTCCAGGCTCAAGTGATCTTCTCATCCCAACCTCCCAAGTAGTTGGGACCACAGGCATATGCCACCACATCCAGCTGATTTTTTTAAAAAATTTGTGGAGATGGGGGTCTTACTATGTTGCCCAGCCCAGGATGTATTTTTTACTTAATGATTTTATTCTTCATTGGTTAGTCCAATTTATTTTACCTTCAGAGGATAGTCTTTTGAAGATACTTCATGAAAATTGACACTATCTGGAAAAAGAGTATGATAAGGACTCTTGATCTGGGTCATTTGATACAAAAGTATCTTGAATGCAATTTTTGTTATTTCAATAGTATGTTTGAGTTACAGGTTTGTGTTATAGATGAGCCAATTTTTTTCCATATTTCTGAGTTTTAGAAAAACACTTCACTAATCAGACTTTAATACTTAAATCTACATAGGAATTTGAGCTAAAAGGAGGAAATCCAGCCTAATTAAATTAAAAAGTACATTTAATTTTTATAATTATTTTAAGTGATATTTCATACATATTCTTAATTCTTTTAAGAAAGGAATGAATGTTTTAGAGACTTACTTTTCATTGAAATTATTTTGTGGAATTTGAAATCCCCAATAAGATCAAGTGTTTTAAGTTTATATCATATATGTATGAATGTGTGAATATACGAATGCATATGAATATATGTGAGACTATATATTAGCTAACTTTTTGTTTTAGGTTGCATGTCCTTTCAACAATTACAATCAACAACGATTCACCTTCATAATACTTTCTAAAAGCTGTTAAAGTCAAAATGATGTAGTCATTTAAAAATATCAGCTTCTATACTAACACTTGAATCAACATTAATTTATATGTTGGTACTTTAAAAATAATGTAGCTGCGCAAAAACAGAAAAGTGTAGAAGGTAGTATATAAACATCAGAAACCTACCACCTAGGTTTAACAAATGTCGTATTTGTTTCTTTCCTTTTTTTAAGAAATAAACATTATGGATAACCATTGAAAACCTCAGGCCCATTGACATTTTTTTCCAGAGCAAACCACTATTCTGATATTGTCTTATTTTTCATTGTCATCTTTTCAGTATATGTTTCTGTAATTTCATCATAATGCTGTATATCCATAAACATCTAGGAGAGAAAGGGGAAGGAACAGGGAGGATGGTTATATCTGTAACAGGTTATTTATTTAAAAGACAGAGATTTGAAGCAAAAGAAGGTAAATATTAACATTTATTCCCGTTTAATGAGTGTCAGTTTATTTTCTCTGTCTTAAAAATGTTATATAATTAAACATTAACAACAAAGCAAAATAGTAGCTTTGGAGTTAGGCAACCTTGGGTTTAAAACTCCTTTCTAATGCCGAGTACAGTGACTCATGCCTTTAATCCCAACATTTTGCAAGGTCAGAGTGAGAGGGTCGCTTGAGGCCAGGAGTTCGAGACCAGCCTAGGCAACATAGCAAGACCCTGTCTGTACAAAAAATACAATACAATACAATACAATACAATGCAATACAATGCAAATACATCTCCTTTCTGCTACTTAACAGCCATGTAACCTTGGGCATGTTTGTTAATCTTTCCAAACTTTAGTGTCCTCATTCATAAAATGTGGATAATATTGGTACCATCCACACAAGATTGTTTTTCACAGGTACCTGGCTAATTTTTTTTTTTTTCTTTTTTTTTGAGACGGAGTCTCGCTCTGTCGCCCATGCTGGAGTGCAGTGGCGTGATCTCGGCTCACTGCAAGCTCCTCCTCTTGGGTTCATGCCATTCTCCTGCCTCAGCCTCCCAAGTAGCTGGGACTAAAGGCGCCCGGCACCACGCCCGGCTAATTTTTTGTGTTTTTAGTAGAGATGGGGTTTCACCATGTTAGCCAGGATGGTCTCGATCTCCTGACCTCGTGATCCTGGCTAATATTTTTTGAGTGCCTATTATGTTCTAAACTCTGTACAGTATTCTATTTAATCTTATCTCAATCACTAAAAGAGATAGATATGGCACTAAAAGAAAGGATACATATGTATGTGTTTATGTAGTGATTTGTGTCTTAGACTGTGTTTGTTGTTACGGTTTTTGAAACAGGGTTTCACTCTGTTGCTCAGTCTGGAGTGCAGTTAAATTTTCATGGCTCACTGCAGCCTCAACCTCCTGGGCTCAAGCTATCCTCTCACCCCAACCTCCCTAGTAGCTGGGACTACAGGTACACACCAGCATGCCCAGTGAATTTTTGTTTTTGTTTTTGTTTTGTAGACATGGGGTTTCACCACAGTGCCCAGGCTGGACTTGAACTCCTGGGCTCAAGTGATCCTCCCACCTCAGCCTCCAAAAGTGCTGGGATTATAGACATGAGCCACAATGGAGTGGTGTTTAAAAGATAGTTAGATGGGTGCCATGTAGAAGGCCTTGGATGCTGATAAGGTTTGGCTGTGTCCCCACCCAAAATCTCATCTTGAATTATAGTTCTCATAATCCCCACCTGTCGTGAGAGGGACCAAGTGGAGATATTTGAATCACAGGGGCAGTTTCCACCATCCTGTTCTGGTGATATTGAGTTAGTTCTCACGAGATCTCACAAGCCCCTTTTATAAGGGGCTTCCCCCTTTGCTTGGCTGTCATTTTCTCTCTCCTGCCACCATGTGAAGAAGGACATAATTGCTTTCCCCTTCTGCCATAATTGTAAGTTTCTTGAGGCCTCCCCAGCTCTCCGAAACTGTGAGTCAACTAAACCTCTTTCCTTTATACATTACCCAGTTTTGGGAAGTTCTTTATAGCAATGTGAGAACAAACTAATACAGTAAATTGGTACCAAAGAGAGTGGGGCACTGCTGTAAAGATACCCAAAAATATGGAAGCAGCTTTGGAACTGGGTAACAGGCAGAGGTTGGAACAGTTTGGAGGTCTCAGAAGAAGACAGGAAAATGTTGGAAAGTTTCAGACTTCCTACAGACTTGTTGAATGGCTTTGACCAAAATGCTGATTGTGATATGGACAATTAATTCCAGGCCAAAGTGGTCTCAGATGGAGATGGGCAGATTGTTGGGAACTGGAGTAAAGGTCACTTTTGCTATGCAAAGAGACTGGTGGTATTTTTCCCTGCCCTGGAGACCTGTGGAACTTTGTACTTGAGAGAGATGATTTAGGGTGTCTGGCAGAAGAAATTTCTAAGAAGCAAAGTGTTCAAGAGGAAGCAGAGCATAAAATTTTGGAAAGTTTGCAGCCTGATGATGTGATGAAAAAAAAGTAACCCATTTTCTGGGGAGAAATTTGAGCCTGCTGCAGACATTTGCATAAATAACAAGGAGTCGAATGTTAATCAAGACAATGGGGCAAGTGTCTCCAAGGCATGTCAGAGACTTTCGTGGCAGTCTCTCCAGTCACAGACCCAGAGAACTAGGAGGGAAAAATGTTTTCTTGGGCTGGGTCCAGTGCCTCCCTGCTGTGTGCAGCCTTGGGACTTGGTGCCCTGTGTTACAGCCATTCCAGCCCTGGCTAAGAGGGGCCAACGTACAGCTCAGGCTGTTGCTTCAGAGGGTGCAAGCCCCAAACCTTGGCAGCTTTCACATGGTGTTGGGCCTGCAGATGTGCAGAAGTCAAGAATTGAGGTTTGGGAACCTCTGCCTAGATTTTAGAAGATACATGGAAAGGCTTGGATGTCCAGGCAGAAGTGTGCTGCAGGAGTGGAGCCCTCATGGAGAACCTCTGCTAGGGCAGTGTGGAGGGGAAATGTGGGGTCACAGAGCTCCCACACAGAGTCCCCACCGGGGCACTGCCTAGTGGAGCTGTGAGAAGAGGATCACCATCCTCCAGACCCCAAAATGATAGATCCACTGACATTTTGCACTGTACGCCTGGGAAAAGCTGCAGACACTCAACAGCAGCCCATGACAGCAGCCAGGAGGGGAGTTGTAGTCTGCAAAGCCACAGGGATGGAAATGCCCAAGGCTGTGGGAGCCCACCTCTTGTATCAGCATGCCCTGGATGTGAGACATGGAGTCAAAGGAGATCATTTTGGAACTTTAAGGTTTAATGACCATCCTGTTGGATTTTGGACTTGAATGGGGCCTGTAGCCCCTTCGTTTTGGCCAATTTCTCCCATTTGAAACAGATATGTTTACCCAATGCTTGTGCCTTCATTGTATCTAGGAAGTAACTAACTGGCTTTTGATTTTACAGGCTCATAGGTGGAAGGGACTTGCCTTGTGTCAGATGAGACTTTGGACTGTGGACTTTTGATTTAATGCTGAAATAAGACTTCGAGGGACTGTTGGAAAGACATGATTGTGTTTTGAAATGTGAGGATATAAGATTTAGGAAAGGCCAGGGGCAGAATGATATGGTTGGGCTGTTTCCCCACCCAAAATCTCATCTTGAATTGTAGTTCCCGTAATCCTTATGTATTGTGGGAAGGACCAGGTGGAGATAATTGAATCATGGGGGTGGTTTTCCCCATCCTGTTCTTGTGATAGTGAGTTAGTTCTCACAAAAGATGATGGTCTTATAAGAGGATTCCCCCTTTGCTTGGCCCTCACTTTCTCTTTCCTACCTCTACATGAAGAAGGACATGTTTTCTTTCCCCTTCCACCATGATTGTAAGTTTCCTGAGGCCAACCCCAGCCTTATAGAACTGTGAGTCAATTAAGCCTCTTTCCTGTATAAATTACCCAGTGTCAGGCAGTTCTTTATAGCAGTGGGAGAACAGACTAATACAAATGCCAAGTGAAGACTTGGAGAGGGAAAATCCACAATAAAATCTATGCCAGATTAAACGAGTTTTGAAATGGAACAAAACAGAGTTAATAATGACTAGGTGGAGAAGGTCTACAGTCAGTGGAAAAATTAAAACTAGAATTCAGAAGATGTGTATTTCGAGAGTATCAACAACAAAGTGATAAGTGATAGTTGAAGCTATGAGACAAGATAATTCAAGAAGAAAGTGTAGAGGGAGAAGCCAGGTGCAGTCACTCATGCCTGTAATCCCAGCACTTTGGGAGACTGAGGCAGGAAGATCACTTGAGGCTAGGAGTTTGAGACCAGCTTGGGCAACATAGCAAAATTGTCTCTACAAAAATAAAAATTAAAAAATTAGCTGGGCATGGTGACACACACCTGTAGTCCTAGCAGGAGGCTGAGGTGAGATGATCTCTTGAACCCAGGAGTTCAAAGTTACCGTGAGCTATGATCACACCACTCACTGCAGCCTGGGCAGAGCAAGACCCTGCCTCTAAGAAAAAGAAAAAAAAGTGTAGAGTGAGAAAATGAGAGTTTTGGCCAGAGTCTTGGGGAACCTGCATTTGTGAGGCATAATGAATAAAGAAGAACCAAGGAATTAAAGAAAGATAATCAGATTTAAGACTTTGTAATGTTCCTGAATTCATAGAAACAGGTTTCAGAAAAAAGTGATGAGCAACAGTGTCAAAAATTAAAAGATATTGAGGAGGGGAAAAACAAAAGATTATTGAATAACTATAAGAAGTAACTGGTGACCTTGGGAAAAGGACTTTTTGTATATTATGGAGGAACAGGAATTAAATCAATGGGAATTTATAAGTAGTAAGAAAATCAGGATATCAGCTATAGTCTACTGTTTTGAGATGTCTGGTTGTGAAAGGAAAAAGAGTAATCTTGAATATTAAAATGTAAGAAAAGCAGAAATGAGTGTTTCAAATGTTAATGTTTTCACCACTCCCAAAAGAAATCCCACATCTGTTAGCAGTCGTTCCTAATTTATTCCTAACACCCTAACCCTAGGCAACCACCAATCTACTTTCTGTCTATGGATTTGCCTATTCTGAACATTTCAAGTAAATGGAGTCATGAAATAATGTGATTATGATGGGCTTCTTAGCATAATATTTTCAGAGTTCATATATGTTGTAGCATGTAACAGCACTTCATTTTTAATTGCCAAATAATATTCCATTGTATGGATATGTACCACATTTTATTCATTTATTAGTGATGGATATTTCAGTTGTTTCCACTTCTTGGCCATTATGAATGATGCTGCTATGAATGTTCCCATACAGGCTTTCTTTTCTCTTGCATATATTCCTAGGAATGGAATTGCTGGATTATATAATTCTTTCTTATGTTTGACCTTTTGGGTAACTTTTATATTTTTCCAGAGCAGCTGTACCATTTTACATTCCCACAGGTAGTGTATAAGGGTTCCAATTTTTCCATACTTGCCAATGCCTGTTTTTATGTCTTTTTTTTATTGTAGCCATCTTGGTATAAAGTAATGTCTTGTTGTGGTTTTGATTTGCATTTCCCTGATTGCTAATGATACTGAGCATTTTTTCATGGGCTTACTGGTCATTACCTTTTTTTTTTTTTTTTTTTTTTTTTTTTGAGATGGAAGCTGGCGTGCAGTGGTACCATCTCGGCTCACTGCAACCTCCACCTCCCAGGTTCAAGCAGTTCTTCTGCCTCAGCCTCCCGAGTAGCTGCAATTACAGGTGCTTGCCACCACGCCTGGCTAATTTTTTGTATTTTTAGTTTCATCTTGTTGGCAAGGCTGGTGTCAAACTCTTGACCTCAGGTGATCTGCCCACCTCAGCCTCCCAAGGTGCTGGGATTACAGGCGTGAGCTACCGTGCCTAGCATTGTATCTTTTTTTTAGAGAAATGTCTATTCAGATCTTTTGCCCATATTTAAATTGGGTTACTTATTTTTGTTACTGATTTGTAGGAGTTATTTATATATTTTAGATACAAATCTCTTATCAGGTTTTTTAAATTGAAAAAGCTTGACATCAGATATTTGATTTGCAGATTTCCTTGGGTTTTTTTTTCATTTGAAAGATCGTAGCTTCCAAATATAAAGATTAAAGATAATTTTATTTCTTGCTTTCCAATCTAGGTGTTTTTTATTGCTTTTTCTCTTCTAATTGCCCTGACTAGAATTTTCAGAACAGTGTTGAATAGAAGTGACAAGAGTAGATAACCTTGTCTTGTTCATGATCTTAGGGAAAAGCATTCAGTCTTTCACCATTAAGTACTGTATGATGTTAGTTGTGGGTTTTTCATACATGCCTTTTATTATGTTGCAAAGGTTTCTTTTTATTCCTAGTTTGTTTTGTGTTTTTATCATGAAAAGATGTTGAAACTTTGTCAGATTCTTTTTCTTCATCGCATTTAGTTTTTATTTGTGATCATTTTAGTTTTTATTCTTTATTCTGTTGATATGATTTTCAGATATTAGCCTTGCACTCCTAAAATAAATCCTACTTGTCGATGGTATGTATCTCTCTCTCTATATATATATGTATTATATATATTTTTTTTTCCTGGATTAGGTTTGCTATTATTTTGTTGAAAATATTTGTGTCTGTATTAGCAAAAGATACTGCTCTGCAGTTTGAATTTATGATTTGTACTAGCGTTTGCTGTGTTTGTATTTTGGCTTTAATGGGTCATCCTGGATAATTGCATTAAACTGAACAATTAGCAAAATATTTTTATAGCCTTTTATCAGACTTTAGTGCATTTGTAGACTGTGCAATTTTTTCCATGTCTTACAGGATGATAGCGGAGGTATAAATGAAGATATATTTTATTCAAATATTTGAGATCAACAAAATAGACGGAAAGCTAATGTTGACAGTATATGTGACCTGTAATCATTTAAGTACTTTTGTACTTGTTTTTTTGCATCTATATTATGGGGATACACTTTAATATTACAT
The DNA here is from genome assembly GCF_000001405.40 of Homo sapiens. Taxonomy (NCBI): domain Eukaryota; kingdom Metazoa; phylum Chordata; class Mammalia; order Primates; family Hominidae; genus Homo; species Homo sapiens. The sequence continues at coordinate 53,189,967 of NC_000016.10, forward strand.
TTATTATCCCTCAACCTCTTATTTAAAATACTTTTGAGTATTCTAAAAATGTCACATTGAACCATGATTTTCCCCCAACCCTACCTCCCAAACTAGAACAGAACCAACAAACTTCTGGTCCACATTGGTCCCCAAATTATTCTTAATATCACCTTTCCCATTGAAGAGCAAATTACTGATTAAATCTCTCTATTTGTAAGATTATAGCAGTTTACAATATGGCTTTCTTTCCAGATGGTAGAGGTGGGTGGAGACAAACCTAATTTCTTTCTCAATTAAAAACGTTTTATACTAGAAGAAATAAAATGGGTTTTGAAAGATATAAAAGAGTTGTTTTTGTCTACACTGAGAATCAAAAATTTTATAGTTTTGCTACCCAATCCATTCAAGCTCATTTTCTGCTCGTTCTCTGTGGACTCTGAGAATGAGCCTTTAATATGTTAAGCTTTATCATGACGCGCCAAGGAGGAGGAAATACAAGGCTGCATCTCAGAATTTTACATGAATCTGAGTGTTTTAATATCTCACAATTTCCTGGAATATAACTTACGAAATTTTTTTCTACACAGTTATTTCACTTGTTATGCCTTTGGTTATGCTTATCTTCCTCCATTGAATATCTTATTATCTCATCATTATAAAAATTAGCTTATTTTCTGAGAACACTTTCAAGTCTTCCTTGCCCCTCTAGTTTATATTGATTTACCATTTTCCCCATATCTCTGGTGTGTTTCCCAGAGAGTCTGTTTTTTGTACCTCTATGTAATAGGTTATTAGCAAATATTTTCTAAATTGAGTATCTGCCACTAACAACAGGCCAGCATAAATTATAGAAATTAGTATAATATAATCTAATTTTACTTTGTAGTCAAATAATTAAAACTAATAAAAGAAGAGGAGTTATTAAACAGATAAGTCAGGGTAAAATTAATCCTGTTACATATGTCCACTTAGTAAGTACATTTTAAAATCAATTTTATTGAGGCATAATTTACATACAATGAAATGTACCCATTTTAAGTGTAATCTGATGATTTTTGACAAATATATACAATTAGGTAATCATTACCGCAATTAAGATATAAAATGTTTTTATAACCCTAAAAAGTTCCTTATGCCCCATTGCAGGTAGTCTTCCTCCCATCCCTGGCCCCAGGCAATCACTGATTTACTTTCTGCCACTATAGATTAGTTTTGCCTGTTTTTAATTTCATATAAATGGAATCATGCTGTACCTACTTTTTTCTTTATGGCTTTTTCACCATTTATATTATTTTAAACATTTATGTCTTCTCATGTATCAGTTCATTTCTTTCTCATTCTTTCTTTTTTTGAGTTATAATTTACACACAGTCAAAAGTCACTCTTTTTAGTGAACAGTTCTAACTGACAGATATATACATATAAGTAGCTACACCAGTAATCAAGATAAAGAATAATTACATCAGCCCTCAAAATTTCTTCCTACCTCTTTCAACCACCACTGCTGGCAGCCTCTGATTTGTTTTTTGCTCCTATAGTTTTTCCTTTTTGAGAATGCTATGTAAACGTTATCATACAGTTTGTAGCCTTTTGAGTCTGGTTTCTTTTATTCAGCATAAGGCATTTGTGATTCAGTCATGTTGTCTAAGGCAGTAGTTTGTTCCTTTTTATGACTGATTGGCTTTCCAGTTTATAGATACACCACAATTTACTCATATGCCTCTTGATGGACACTTGGAGTTTTTACTAATTTATGCCTATTATGAGTAATGCCTCTAAGAACATTCAAGTTCAGTCTTTTTGTGGATATATGTTTTCATTTATTTTGGGTAAATATTGTCAGAATGGGGTTACTGGGTCACAAGTTTATGTGTAGCTGTGTAACAAATTGTGACCTTTCAAAAGTGGTTGTACTCTTTTACATTCCCACCAGCAGTGTATGAGAGTTCCAGATGTTCCTTTCTCTTTAGTTCTTGGTATTGTCAGTCTTTTTAAATTTAGCCATTGATTAGATGTGTATTTGTATCTCATTATGATTTTAATTTGTGTTTTACTGATGGATGATGTTGAGTATCTTTTCATGGGCTTATTGACCAAAAATGAGTGAGACTCCATCTCAAAAAAAAAAAAAAAAACAGTCAATGTCTCTAACATGGCTGAGACCTATAAAAGAGGTATATGTGCCTGCACACATGCGTGTGTTTATTATGTTGTGTTTGGAACAGGGAAGGAGAGTTAAAGTAGGAGTTTGAAGATCCAGCAGTAGATTATAGAAAGAAGTCTAATTGTGTGGGACTAAGCCACATACAACACCGACTCCTGAAAACAGATGAGTGAAGAAATAGCATCCAGAAATCTAGGAATAGGTACTATTTAGAGACTTAAATAACAGTCATAGGACAGGACTTCAAGGGTAGCTACTGGGATTAAGGGAAAGGAATAAATATCAAGATATTAACCTAGATTTAGAAGTCTAGTGGTATTAGCTTCTTAGTATGAGAATGGAAGCCTAAAGAACATGTAATTTTGTTTTAGACAGGTTTATTGGAAAATAATTTACATCCAGTAATATTCATCTTTTGTGTCATATAGTTCTGTGAGTTTTGAAAAATGTGCACAGTTCTATAACCTTACCATAATCAAGACACAGATTATTGCTCTCATCCCCACAATTCCCTCATTCCCGTTTGCACTCAGTCTTTCCCCTAACCCTAGACCCTGGCAACCAATGATTAATTTTTTTCTTTGCAATTCTGCATTTTTGAGAATGTTGTATGGATGGAATCATGCAGTATATTGTGTTACTAGTCTGACTTCTGTTTAGCATAGAACATTTTTGTTCCCTGTATCAATAGCTTTTTCTTTCATGTTACTGAGTTATATTCCATTATATAAATGCACCACAAATTGTTTATGTATTCACAAGTTAAAGGGTATTTGGGTTGTTTTCAGGTTTTTGTAATTATGAATAAAGCCTCTATAAACATGTATATACAGCTTTTTTTTGTTAACCATATGTTTTCACTCTCGGGTAAATATATAAGTGTAAAATTGCTGAGGGTCATATGTTGAGTGTATGTTGAACTTATAAAAAAATACTAAACTGTTGTCCAAAGTGGTTGTACCATTTTGCATTCCCACCAGCAGCATATAGGAGTTCCTGTTGCTCCATATCCTGTCTAGCACTAAATATTTATTTTTAAAATGTTTTAACCATCCGGCCGGGCACGGTGGCTCATACCTGTAATCCAACACTTTGGGAGGCCGAGGCAGGTGGATCATGAGGTCAGGAGATCGAGACCATCCTGGCTGACACGGTGAAACCCTGTCGCTACTAAAAATACAAAAAAATTAGCCGGGCGTGGTGGCGGGCCCCTGTAGTCCCAGCTACTCTGGAGGCTGAGGCAGGAGAGTGGCATGAACCCGGGAGGCAGAGCTTGCAGTGAGCCGAGATCACGCCACTGCACTCCAGCGTGGGTGACAGAGTGAGACTCTGTCCCAAAATAAGAAAAAAAAAAATCTTTTAACCATCCAAATAGATGTAGATTGATATCTCATTGTGGCTTGAATTTGTATTTCCCTAATGTCTAATAATCTGAGCATCTTTTCTAGTGTTTATTCGCAATCCTTTCATCTTCTTTGGTAAAGTGTCCATTCAAATCGTTGGCCCATTTTAAAAATTGGAGTCTTTGTTTTCATATTTATTGGGTTTTGAGACTTAGTTGTATAAGGAACATTAATCTTAATCACAATAATGAACACTAACATTTACCGAGTGCCTGCATGTCAGATACTGTTCTGAAATCCTTTAGTTGAATGATCTCATTTAAATTCACAGCAACCCTGTTAGATTAGATACTATGATTATCCTCATTATACAGATATTGAAACTGTGCTAAACATCGGCTAGGTTTTAGAGATACAAATTGAATGTGACCTTGGCTTGTAAATAACTATAATATACTATAGTAATATTACTGTTATAAAACAAATATTACTGTTGTAAAATTACGTAGAGTAAAAGTGATATCTAAAAGTGAATTTTTGAATGGACATTTGCTAGGCTACCTTTTGGAGAAAGGGCACTCTTGACAACTAGATCAGTAAATTCAAAGTTTTAGGTAAAATATGTCTAAGAAGGCTGGACACAGTGGCTTATGCCGTAATCCCAGTGCTGTGAGAGGATCACTTGAGCCCAAGAATTCAAGGTTCCAGTGAGATGAGCTGTGATCATGCCACTGCACTTCAGCCTGGGCAACAGAGCGAGACCCTGCCTCTTAAAAAAAAAAAAAAGTCTAAAAAAACTGAACTTAGTTCAGCATCACTAGAATATAAAGTAAACCCCGAGGCTGGGTGCAGTGGCTCATGCCTATAATCCTAGTACTTTGAGGTCAAGACAGGAGGATCACTGAGCCCAGGAGTTTGAGACCAGCCTGGGCAACATGGTGAAACCTTGTCTCTATAAAAATACAAAAATTATCCAGGCATAGTGACGCAGGCCTGTAGTCTCAGCTACTCAGAAGGCTGAGACAGGAGGATCACTTGAGCTGGGAGGTGGAGGCTGAAGTGAGCGGAGATCGTACCACTTCACTCCAGCCTGGGTGACAGAGTGAGACCCTGTCTCAAAAGATAAAATTTTAAAAATAAAGTAAAACAAGCATTTGAAAATTGAAAATGTAACTAGAGAGAGAGATGATGGTGTTATTCAGAAATGTGAGTATAGATTTAAACATTGTATTTCAGTTTTCTCTTCTTCACATTTTGATTGTGGGTTTTGAAAAATTGTCTTTCTTCCTGATCCCGCCTTTTCCCATCACCAATAACACTGATTAAGGTAATTCTCAGGCCTCTTTCAGCATTTCATAGATTTCTCCTGGTATTAGAGGAAATAGGCAATAGTATATTTCTCTGTTACTGTTTTCTTAATGAAATATATCTGGAATGTCACAGTAATAAAATCAAGAAAATAATTTGTTTTTAGTGTCAAGACATTATTGCATTAAGAGAACAGTTGGTCTTTTCCTTAAATACCTGTAAGAATGATTGTTTACTCAGATTAATGATAAGATTACAAAATGTTCTTCAGTTTGAGTTATAATCTTTTAATATAAATTTTCTTGAAGTATAATGTACATACAGAAAATACACAAATTAAAAGTGAACAATTTGATCAATTTTCAGACATTAAACATCATCCATTTAACCAGTATCCAGACCAAGAAATAAGATATTAGCACAATTCTAGAAGCCTGCTATGGCCTAAAAGCTTGCTACTAGTCACTATGCTTGGTCATCAAGGGCAACCACCATTCTGATTTATAACCTCATAGGTTAGTTTTGCATGTTATTGAACTTTAATTATGTTGGACATATACCCAAGATTGGAATTGTTCAATCATTGGGTATACGAATATATTTTCTATTAGTTACAAATTACCACATATTTAGTCTGGCTTAAAATGGCACTCATTTATTATCTCATGGCTTCCTTGGGTCAGGTGTCTGGGCACAGCTTAGATGGGTTCTTTTCTCAGGCTCTCACAAAACTGCAACCAAGGTGTCAACTTGGGCTGCAGTATCTCATCTGAGGCTCAGGGTCTAGGCTTATGAGATTGTTGACAAAACACATTTCCTTGCAACTGTAGAACTCCAGCAGCTTGTTTCTTCAAGGCCAGCAGGAGAGTATCTCTGAGCTCAGAGAAGGCCTAAGCGCTCTCTTTTTTTGTAACTACTTTTTTTTTTTAAGTTTTATTTTGAGGTAATTGCAGATTCGCATGCAGTTGTAAGAAATAAAACAGAGAGATTCAATGTATGCTTTTTTTTTTTTTTTTTGAGATAGGGTCTCGCTCTGTCATCTAGGCTGGAATACAGTGACCTCAGCTCACTGCAATCTCCACCTCCCAAGTTCAAGCAATTCTCACACCTGAATCTCCCAAGTAGCTGGGATCACAGGCGTGTGCCACCATGCCTGGCTAATTTTTGTATTTTTAGTAGAGATGGGGTTTTGCCATGTTGGCCAGACTGGTCTTGAATGCTTGGCCTCAAATGATTCACTTGCCTCAGCCTCCCAAAGTGCTGAGATTACAGGCATGACCCACTGTGCCCAGCCTCCGTATATCCTTAATTCAGTTTCCCACAAGGGTAGAATCTTGCAAAACTATAGTACAGTATCACAGTCAAGAAACTGAGTTGATACAATCCATCAATCTTTATTTAGATTTCCCCAGTTTTCCATGCTCTCATCTGCATGTGTTTGTGTGTTTATTTTCATGAAATTGTATCACATGTATAGGTTCATGAAACCACCACCAAAGCCAAGATACAGTTTGGTTCCATCACGACAAGGATGTTGCTCTTTTGTAACCAAACCTACCTCTCTCCTACCCTAATGTCCCATCCCTAACCTTTGGCAACCACTAAGTAGACTGAAATAGGCATTAATTATATTTGTAAAATCCTTTCACTTTTGCCACATAGCCTGTGGTATTCCAACATTTTTACAGGTTCAGCCCACAATCAAGGGGAAGAGTTTTACAAGAGCATGGTTCATTGAGGGTTTACCTTATAATTCTGTCTGCCACAATAAAATGATTAGCCTTGGTAGATACTAGAACACCTCATTTTTAAAAGCAGAATATTTGATTTAATCGTAAGATTCCTTAATATAAGTAGATGACATAGTAATGAGAAGTGCTTGGGAACAGTGCTTGTTGAACAGTACACTTAGTTCAACAAGTACTTGTTAAATGAATATTAAATGAGTGAACCAATCAGTCTTCTAAGTTTTAAAGACAATGATCAGATCCAATCTAGGATTGCACTTTTCTGTAAATTGTAGGGCAATTTTAGAGCTTTCTAAGCCAAACTAAAGTTTTATGTGAATCATCTCCAGTGAAACTAAGTTTTGTTTTTTCTCATATATTTGTACCTTCAGTTTTCTTGAGTTGAAGATTTATGAGTTAATGATTAACATACTTCTTCAGAAGAAAAGTATAGAATAGTGATTGTCAAAGGTAGGTAGGCAAGAAAGATGCTTCTCTCCTCCCAGAATTTCAGAGAGAATTTACTAGTCCATGCCATTCCACTCCTTTCACTCCCAACTAAGTGTTGAGATGGATTACTGTGATGAATGTGTTAATTGTGTTAAAAATAAGGGAGTAGAAGAGAGAAAAGGCTGAGATATACTGGCAGACTAGTAGAAAGGTTATGGAATTTGGCTAAGACTCCTTCATTTTAAAATGGGAATAACAAGTACCACTACCACCACTATAGCCATTTCCTAGGAGTTTGGAAGAATTAAATGAGATAACATTTAACAGATTAAAGTCCTCTGTAAACTATCAAACATTGCACAAATGTTAATTTTCATATCTAATCCTGTGTCCTGTTTTTAATTATAGTAGGATTTGAGTGACATTTTTTACTCAACAATACACGAACAAATTGATGTTTGTGTAGTCTACCTGGTCTTTATTCAGTGAGGTTGCAGTAGAAAATCAGGTTCCCAGTGCACCTCAGGGTACTTTATATAACTAGGAAAGTATTTTATATCAGGACTCTATTATGCTGTTATGGAAGATAAGATAACCTTATTGCATGTTCTTGATTATTTTAAATATTAACACTTTTTTGTAGTATCTTAAAATCCCAGAATTGAATGGGACTAAGCAGCCTGTCTAGTTCAACTCATTCTGCTACGTGAATATTCTAGCTTTTTTTTTTTTTTGAGATGGAGTCTCGCTGTATCACCCAGACTGTAGTGCAGTGGTGCGATCTCTGCGCCGCAACCTCCGTCACCCTCCTGAGTAGCTAGGATTCTCCTGCCTCAGATCCTGAGTAGATAGGACTACAGGCGTGCACCACCACACCCAGCTAATGTTTATATTTTTAGTAGACACGGGGTTTCACCATGTTGGCCAGGCTGGTCTCGAACTACTGACCTCAGGTGATCTGCCCACCTCAGCCTCCCAAAGTACTGGGATTACAGACATGAGCCACCATGCCCGGCCTCCCTAGCATTTTTGGTTTGAACTCTTTCTGTGATTGGAATTACGGAAACCCTCTCCCTTCCTACATAGCCAATTATATTTTCTCAAGCGTATCGACTCTCCAACCATGGGTTTTTCTATAGTACTCCACCCTGTTTTTCCATCTTTAGAGCCTTCCAAAAGCAATATGAACAGAGTGTTTGGGAGGGGGTTCTAAAGGGAGGGAACATGCTGATGAAGAGTATTATTAACTATGATTCCCTCTGCATTTTACTCATTGGTGATAGTTTCACACTACCAAGTTATAAATTTCTTTCTGAGAGACTACACGTCCATTGTTCTAACATCAAGTAGCACCTGACTCATAATAAGCATTCAATTTTTTTTTTTTTTTTTTTTTTGAGACAGAGTCTCGCTCTATCGCCAGGCTAGAGTACAGTGGCGTAGTGGTGCGATCTTGGCTCACTGCAACCTCCGCCTCCCGGGTTCAAGCGATTCCCCTGCCTCAGCCTCCCAAGTAGCTGGGATTACAGGCTCCTGCCACCACACCCGGCTAATTTTTTGTATTTTTAGTAGAGATGGGGTTTCACTGTATTAGCCAGGATGGTCTCAATCTCCTGACCTTGTGATCCGCCTGCCTCGGCCTCCCAAAGTGCTAGGATTACAGGCGTGAGCCACCACACCCGGCCTCAATATTTGTTTAAAGAATTGAACTTCTTTCAAGCCTCAAAAAATAATTTCTATTCCATGTGATATTTTAAACGGACTGTCATGCAGTTCCTCTTCTTGTGTCCTTTTTCTCTTAAGTCAAACATGCTCAATTGTTAAAAATGTATGTAGGAATATTGAATCTTGTCACATAGATGTGTTCCTCTGTACAGATGGAATGGGAACGCCTAGGATATTTAAGGAAGCAGTTTTCTTAGTTCAGATTTCCTATAGATAAGTCTTTGATAGCATGGAATTATTGCCAATCCTAGTTTTCATTATTTTATAAGTCTTATAAAAATGTAAAAATCTTTTTAATTGGAATTTGCATTTGAATATAGCAGATGAAGATCTCTTTATTTTGCCACCAAACTTTTTTTTTTTTTCATTGAGAAGCATTACTCAGAGTTAGCCAAACTGCAAAGTTAGCACAGTCCCAAGACTGTCCTCACTTCTGACACCAGCTACAAGTTCTGGGGGTTCCCAAAAGTACCCTCAGTTTCAATAATTTGCCAGCAGGACTAACCAAACCCACTGAAAACTGTTACAGTCATAGTTACACTTTTATTACAAGGAATCTCCAAAATAGGACAGATGAGAGTTACTGTGCCTAGCCCCATAGATGGATTTTTATTGAAACCACTTAACAACTCTATATCTTAATATCTGATCCTGTTGCTTCTCTGTATATAGTCATTTATTGATTCCCTGATTCATTTAGCATATATTAATATATATTCATATAGACAAACATGTATATATATTTTGAAAATAAAAATTTCACCTTTTGTTTTACTTAAAGTCATGTTTTAAATTATTTTTAGGTTTTTAAAGTTTTATTTTTACAGATTTAGATACATAGATATTTGAATAGTGGTGAAGTTTGGGCATTTAGTGTACTCATCACCTATATAGTATACATTGTACCCAACTGGTAGTATTTCATCCCTGACTCTGCTGCCACCCTTCCACCTTTTAGAGTCTCCAGTGTCTGTTCTTTCACCCTGTATGTCTATGTATACCCATTATTTGGCTCCTACATGTAAGTGAGAACATGTAGTTTCCATTTGCTTCTTAACCTACTGTAGTGTGGCTTCCATCTCAGCTACTTCCATCTTGACCATTAAACTATTCTTACCATAAAACTGGAATATCTTACAGTACCAGAAAATAAGGAAGTGCTTGAAATACGGTGGGGTTATGAACACAGGAACCAACTTGAAGGAGCTGTAAATGGCCAAAGTTAGGACATTTTGAACAAGTAAGTAATCATAGTGTCAGATTATAAACCATAGAAAGAAAGTAATATCGGCTGGCACGGTGGCTCATGCCTGTAATCCTAGCACTTTGGGAGGCCGAGGCGGGTGGGTCACCTGAGGTCAGGAGTTCGAGACCAGCCTGGCCAACATGGCAAAACCCTGTCTCTACTAAAAATACAAAAACATGAGGCTGGGCACGGTGGCTCATACCTTTAATCCCAGCACTTTGGGAGGCTGAGGTGGCTGATCATGAGGTCAGGAGTTCGAGACCAGCCTGACCAACATGGTGAAACCCCATCTCTACTAAAAATACAAAAATTAGCTGGGTGTGGTGGTGTGCACCTATAGTCCCAGCTACTTGGGAGGCTGAGGCAGGAGAATTGCTTGAACCCAGGAGGCAGGGGTTGCAGTGAGCCAAGATCACACCACTGCACTCCATTCTGGGCAACAGAGCAATACTCTGTCTCAAAAAAAAAAAAAAAAAAAACCACAAAAATTAGCCAGGCATGGTGGCGGATACCTGTAATCCCCGCTACTTGGGAGGCTGAGGCATGAGAATTGCTTGAACCCAGGGAGTGGAGGTTGTAGTGAGCCAAGATTTATGAGTCTATATTGGTACAAATGAATGAATAAATTAAAAGGAAGAAGAGACAGCTCTTGTTTAGAGTAGAATTCCAATTGAAAATGTGGAAGGAATTATGGAAATAGAAACTTTCCATTAGGCAAATACCACAGTAATGATTGTTATGGGCAAGAATCAATGAATGCTAGAATTATTGGGCAAATGTATATGGGAAACAGGATATTTGCCTAGTCTCAAAATATCTTCCCATAAAATATGTATTAATTATAAAAAAAGACATTTACATGGAGAATAAATTGGCAGACACTACTTTAACCAAGTAACCAAGGGTAACATCACCAATAATAAGACACTGACATCATCTACTCTCTGATATGATGTACTGAGAAGAGCACAGTATCACATCACAGCAATAACAATAACCATACCTAATATCTCTCAGTATTTGTATGCCTGACACCATGCTAAAGCACTCTACAAGCATTATCTATTAGGTTTCACAAGAGCCCTATTAGATGAATACTGTTATTATCTACATTTTTACAGTTGAGGAAGCTGAGGCCCAGATAAATGATGGAACTGGAACCAGAACCCAGGGCTGGCTGGCTCAAAAACCCATGCCCTTAATCACAATGTTATGCTGAGAATAGCTTTAAGTATTGGGGATAATTTATGGACTGATAAATTCAGCATATTTAATGTTTTCAGCAAGTAGTGAACTTGGTGAGGTTTGTGATTTGATGTTTTAAAAATATACTTTTGACTTATTTGGAAGCAACAAGTTTGCTTGGAAAAGTACTGCATACTAATGTAAAATAGATTAAATACTATTTGTTTTTAGATCATGTATGACCTTTTTCTAAGCCAAAATATTTTATCAATTATTCTGGCATTTTTATCAAAACCACTTAGTACCCCTATGTCTTAAAGTGTGATCCTGTTCTCTCTATATAATCATTTATTAATTCCCTAATTCCTTCAGCATGAAGTCTAGATATTTTAACATAACCTATAACACCGTTGATAATCTAGTCTGTTATATTTTAGTCCTTGTTGCTTATCATTCTCCCACAGGCATCTCCTTTGCTTGTCATGCCAAACTACTTGTTATTCCAGAATATAAATTTTTAAATTTCTTTATTATATAGCATTTCAAGTGACACAGAAGTAGAATATCCATCTCCCAGCCACCAACAGCTGTCAATTTATATGGCCACTGTTGCATCTGTACTACCATCTAATGAATATAGCCACCCCCTCCATGGATATTTTTGAAGTACATCTTAGTCTTATCATTCATCTAAAAATACATTGATTTATACATCTAAAAGGCAAAAATTTGGGGGGATCAGTTTGAGGTTTTTTTTTTTGTTGTTGTTGTTGTTTTGAGACAGGGTTTTGCTCTGTCACCCAACCCAACTTGAGTACAGGGGCTAATCATAGCTCACTGCAACCTCAAGCTCCTGGGCTCAAGTAATCCTCCCACCTCAGCCTCCCAAGCAACTCGGACTACAGATGTGCACCATCACACTTAGCTAAGTTTAAATTTTTTTTTTTAAGAGATTGTGTCTTGCTATGTTGCCCAGGCTGGCCTTGGACTCCTGGCCTCAAGCAATCCTCCTGCCTTGGCCTCCCAAAGTTCTGGGATTACAGGCATGAGCCACCATGCCTGCATTAGATTTTTGTCTTTAAAACACAACTACAAAACCAGTTTCACACCTAAAAAAGATAACCATAATTCTCATATAATCAAATATCTGGTCAGGGTTTCTATTTCTCCAGTTGCTAAGTAAATTTATTTTTACAGTTGGCTGGTTCAGGCCAATATCTAAACTTAGAAAACATATAAACCAAATGCAATGCTCCACATGTTGCATTTTGTTGAGGTCTTTTAAGTTTCTCTCTCTCTCTTTTTTTTTTTTTCTGTTTTGTCATTCCAATTAGTCTTAAGTCTCATCTACTCTGTGGTTGCCCTTTTCTGTTTTGTTTCTTACAGTTTCTTTGTTGAAGAAATAGAGTCCTTTGTCCTATGGAGTTTCCTACACTCTGGATTTTACTGATTACATCCCCATTTTGCTGATTACATCTGGATTTTGTTGATTGCATTTAACAAGTTCCTTTTTTCCCTGTGCTTCCTGTAAGCTAGATGTACATTTGTATTTAAAAAAGAAACAAAACTTGTATGAACATCTACTGTTTGCCTGGACTTTTATGTGGATGCTTAAAATAAAGCCAACCCTTAAAAAGTATTACTGTATCAATGCAAATTAAGATTATGACACTTAAAAAAAAAAGGAATGTCATGGTTATCTAAAATTGTAAACCTGGGTACTACTGCGAGTCACAAGACGAAAATAAACCTTTTAATTTGTGAGCATGGTAGTTCACAGATGTGAAGAAAGTGAAGTGAAATAATTGTTCCACTTCCATGAAAAACTCTGAAAACAAATCTAAGGGTAAAATTCAGGAAAAGTTTGACATTATAATTTGCTCTTGGATCAGTTTTTTTCTCTTTTCTCTTTAAACATGTATTTATTGATAGTTTGAAGAAAAATGTTGTATGCATTAAATAAAAATCAAAAGAAGCCACCATACTAATGTTTGACACATATTACTAAAATTAACTACAAATCTATTGTTTTTAGGTTGATTTAATATGAATATTTAAGTAAATAATTATTATGCTTCTATTTTAAAAATAAGGAGACTAAAAACCAGTACACCAGCTTACAATAAACAATTTAAGAGAAGTAAAATGCCTTATTAAATTATCTTTATAATACCAAATTACTTTAAGATACTTTCCTTTTGACTGCAGAGGTTTTAATTCTTTCCTTTCTTGGCTTCCATGGCACCACTGTCTCCTGATACTTACCTTACCATTCTTGCATTTTCTTGTTGTTTTCCTTCAATAGCTCCTCTTCATCTGCTAGCTCCTGGAACTTGTTGTTTTTGGGTTTCACCACTGGTTCTCTTCTGTTATTCTACATTGTCTCTCTAGGCAGATAAACTCATTCTTGCTCAAGGCTTGCTATCTTCTGTTTTATGTCCTCTTCCATTGAAACTTCTATCCACCTAGTCCTCCAAGCCTAAAGCCTAAGAGTCTTCCTCTCTCTTGAGAAAGGTTGGGAGAATTTTAGCTACAATGCAGTTATATCTCTGTTGTTGAAAATTTATTGTTCTGTGTTTTATTTTTACTAAGGAATTATATCTGGGACCTTGCATTTCTTCATATTTTAAAAATATGTCAAGTAGAGCCAGGCGTGGTGGCTCACGCTTGTAATCCCAGCACTATGGGAGGCCAAGATGGGCAGATCACGAGGTCAGGAGATCGAGACCATCCTGGCTAACATGGTGAAACCCCGTCTCTACTAAAAATACAAAAAAATTAGCCGGGCGTGGTGGCGGGCGCCTGTAGTCCCAGCTACTCGTGAGCCTGAGGCAGGAGAATGGCGTGAACCTGGGAGGCGGAGCTTGCAGTGAGCCGAGATCACACCACTGCACTCCAGCCTGGGCGACAGAGCAAGACTCCATCTCAAAAAAAAAAAAAAAAAAAAAAAAAATATATATATACACACACACACACACACACACACACACATTTATGTCAAGTAGAATGTTTCTTTATCTAGATAACGTGTGTGTGTGTGTGTGTGTGTGTGTATAACCTTCACCACCCCAGCCTGCCAGGAGAGGAACCTGTTCTCTGAGTGTACAGTGGTCATGTGATCATTTTTCCCTTCTCTTTTTGAAAATTTATAATTTCTACTTATATCCACACACTAGTGATCCAGTAATTTTATTAATACAACTGAAATATTGGAAATGGAGGAATTTCCCAATATGGCTGTTGGTTACATGTGAAATTATTTCACCAGAGGAGAAAGGACCTAAGTCCCCACTCAGATTTTAAAACCTCTAATTTCTTGCCCAAATCTCTTCGCTTCTTTTCCTCATGAAGGAAAAGGCGAGTAACAGGTAGTGTGAAAAATTATAATTTTATTAGAGGCATGAAGTGCATGCATAAGGGTCTGACACTATCCTCTTCTACTCTATTTGTTTTTTTGTTTTTGTTTTGTTGTTGTTTTTTTAGTAGTTGTCTGGACCCTTTAAATGTGTATCATGACTTGCTATTAGGTCATGACCTGTCTTTGACAAACACTTATACTATAAATCTTTGAGTTTCCCCAGTACTGAAATATGATATATAGAGTCTTCCATATATTCCTTCCAGGTGCTATCAAAATAACATATCACATATGATATCATCTCTTGTACTATAGGTTTTCTTTTTTAATGAATATTTGGATATGATATTAATATATGTGCCTTTTATGTATTTTTTTGTTTATATGTTTGTTTGTTTATTTGTTTTGAGACAGAGTTTCGCTCTGTTGCCCAGGCTAGAGTACGGTGGCATGATCTCAGCTGACTGCAACCTCCACCTCCTGGGTTCAAGCGATTCTCCTGCCTCAGCCCCCTGAGTAACTGGGATTAGACGTGCGCCACCATGCCCAGCTAGTTTTTGTATTTTTAGTAGAGATGGGGTTTCACCATGTTGGCCAAGCTGATCTAGAACTCCTGACCTCAAGTGATGCATCCACCTTGGCCTCCCCAAGGCTGGGATTACAGGCATGAGCCACCGCGCCCGACCTATTATTTTAATCATACAAGCTCATGGGGAGCAAGGCCTGTGACTTTATTTTAAATTTTTAAATACTTTGTATTTTGAAACTTATCACACTTACAGAAAAATTGCAAGCATAGTACAAATAAATTATTTTACTCCATTTGAATAGGGTGCAGACCTAGTAATCCATCATCCCCAAAGACTTTGGTATATGTTTTCTACAGATCAGAACATTTCCTACATAACCACAGTATAACAAGTAGAAAGTTAATAAAGCAGGAGCTGTGGGGACTTAGAAGAGGAAAAAAACCAAAAATACAATTAAGTAGATTTGGCAGAATTTGATGACTGCTTAGATGGTGGGGGGAAGGGCAGAAAAACCATAACATTGTATGTTTGTGTGTGTGAATTGGGAAATGACCAACATTAAAAATGTTCAGTTACTTAACACCTCTGTTGATATTCTGTGGGAATATGGTTTTAAAATGCTGTATTCTAGTAGCAGAGGAAATATTTCATCATAGATTTATTAAGGTTTATTAAACAGTTGGGATTCTGAGTCAGGTAGTAGAATCTATTGAAAAACTTTATAAGAGAAGTGAGTTGTTTTGGAAATCCTCTTAGGTTCTTTGAATAGTGTCAGTGAATTATAAGGGTAATGGAAGAAAACAGCAGGAGGATCTGCATCTTACATTCCAGCCCTGACTTCTCTCTCTGATGATCCAGTCCCAAATTTCAAATTGCTAGAGATCTCCATTTCAAACTCAGTATGAAAAGAATTAAACTTGTTATACACACATACACATTCTTTCTCAACTAGGTTTCCTATTTCTTTTACTTTTTTTTTTAAATTAAGACAGAGTTTCACTCTTGTTGCCCAGGCTGGAGTGCAATGGCATTATCTCTGCTCACCACAACCTCCGCCTCCCAGGTTCAAGCAGTTCTCCTGCCTCAGCCTCCTAAGTAGCTGGGATTACAGGCATGCACCACCAGGCCCAGTTAATTTTGTATTTTTAGTAGAGGCGATTTTTCCTCCATGTTGGTCAGGCTGGTCTCGAACTCCCGACCTCAGGTGATCCGCCCACCTCGGCCTCCCAAAGTGCTGGGATTATAGGCATGAGCCACCACACCTGGCCTTCTTTTACCTTTTCTTGGTCGAGAAACCAAGTGCTGGCTCTTCCTGCTCCTCAGCCATGCCTCACCTCTGTCTAGTTGATTTCTACACTTTTGAAAGGGCACCGGGAAAAAAAAAAAAAAACCATCCTAGCCTTATTATTTGGTATCTCTGCAATTTTGAGAATGTTACTACTTTCCTTTGTCCTCAAATTAAACTCTGTAAATTATGATAGTTGAACCAAACATGATTAAAATATAATGGTTAAGAGTGTGGTCTCCCTAACAAGACCCCCTTGTCTTTTAATCCCTGCTCCACTATTCAGTAGCTGTGTGATCTTGGGCAAGTCATTTCTCTATCCCCCAGTATCCTCATATAAAATGGGAATAACAGTAGTACCTATCTTACAGGGTTGTTCTGAAGATTGAGTCAATATATAGGAAATATTAGGAATAGTGCCTGGTACATAGTAAGCACTACATTTTAGCTCTTATTGTCATAATGATTTTTGTAATTGTTTGCTCTCTCAGTTCCATTCTGTCTCTTTGTAATGCTACTATCAGAGTATTTCTCTCATTAGCCAGCCCCTTGTCTCCATTATCACTGTTATTACCCTATTATTAATCAGGATTACATTAGTTATTAAATGTAAAATAGAATAATCCCTGGCACTTAGTAAGTAGTCTGTAAGTGTTATCTCATTATTGTTATTATTTTCACATTGATGACATCTCAAGTCAGATCCTTTCCTCGTCCTTACTTGTCCTCTGCCTTTAATCTCTCATGCCATCCAGATGGGTCTTTCTAGAGCCCTGTTTAGATAGTGTTGTTTCTGTTTTGAGGCCTTTGGTACCTAAAAGGGGCAGAGGGGAGAACCCAATGTTGTTTTATAGTGATATCAGATGACTAACCAGGACCAACTGAAAAAATGGCATTGATGAAAGAGGTAAACTTGAATTTTAAAGCAGTGAAATTTTGTTTTAGTGATTTAAGGGCATTGCTTACTAAAATAGAATCAATTTTTATAGAAAGAAAAGTTGTACTGATGTTCAAATTCAAGTTGACTTGCTATGGAACTAAACCTACAGTTTTACCTGAAAAACTCATCAGTGCAGTTAAAATAGAAGGTTAGGAGGAAAGGTCAGAAAGGTTTTTTATGTTACGAAAAAAATGTATTCATCCATGTTAAGACGATGAAACAATTTTAACATTGTTAGTAATCTTTATAAACAGTTCTCATTTGTTCATTTCAAAATTTTAAGCTTCTTTTTATAATTCAAATGAAAATAGCTTCATTTCTGTATTTTCAAAATAACACTGTTAGCTTTTTGTTAGAAAAATTATAAGAAACCTTATCTAACTTCTTAAACTTATTTTGGGTTCATTTGCATGACCTCTTTAACCCTTTGCTAATCTTCAGCTATTTCATATTTTAAATATTTTAGAGTATCTTGGAGAAAAGTATTTTTTTCCAATAAAAATTGCTTTAGATTTTGTTTTTTTAAAATATTGATAGCCACATAATGCCATTTTACCACAGTTTAGTTCTCAGGTGATTTTTTTTTTTAATCAGATTTTTATGTATATTTTTTAAAACTTTACTGCAGGAAATGGCAGAGTGAGAGTTAATGTGTTACATGGAGGGAAGAACAGTCCATTGGGGGTTAAATTGCAGAGTCTAATGGAATAATAACTGGTAGCACCATCTGCTGGCCTACTTCCGCAGAAGGAGTCAGTATTTTTAACGACATCTCTAATATTCATGCTGATGCATTTTGATGCTTTGTGCATTCATTTCTTTCTGTGCTTTGTTGGAATCTGGCTATCTGCTTACAGCTATTGAGGAAACTCAGCTTTTTAGGAGTGTTTACAGCCTTTTTCATACCTAAATAGGATGAACAGTAGATATAAACTTGCCAAGGCAGAAATGTGTTGATAAATCAAAATGTGTATTTGTGGAGGGTTGTGCATCTCTTGGTTGCAGCTTGCTAAATAGGCCATTTAGGAATCTTCTTTCAATGCTTTTTTCTTGAGCACTGCCTGGGGTGGTGAAAAAGCAGAGGGCAAGCCTTTGTCTGACGCCAAAAATGTCTTCAGTGAAGAGGCCAAGAGGAAGGGTAAGTGAAAGCCTGAATGAGTGGGAGGAGGAGGGGTTCTTTGGGCTAAAAGGCTAATGGGATTGAATAACCTTCCTTATTACTGGCTGCTGCTACGGGAGTCGTACTGCATCGCCATCTTGAGCTTGTTGCTGTTTCCTCGAGTCTTGGTTATTTGTTATAGCCTGTAGGCCTTAAGGTGGCATTTTAGTGAGCAATTCTAAACCCTCCTTCCTTTCCCAGTGCTGCAGTGCTGCTATGAAACCTTTGATGAGGCAGGTATAGAAAAAATATCCAGTGAAGCACACTGGAATCAGCATGAAAATGTGTTTGGAAATTCCTGATGGTTTTTTCCTTTGGTATAGTCAGAGGCATGTTTACGGGTAAGAACATAACAAAACTGTGATCTAAGTATATGTGGATGAATGCGTGTTTGAAGAGGAAATTCTTTTTAAAATGCTCTTGATCTGCTTCCTGTGATATTGCTAAATATTAATAATTTTAATGTAAAACTGTAAAACTTGTTTATTTCCCAAATTGCTTGAGCAAAATAATTATGATATAGAAAAAGAAAAAAAATTTTCACATTTAACTCTTTCATGGGAAAACTAAAACTTTCTCTAATTTTAAGTATGAGAATGTCTGTTTACTAACTAGCTATGTTGCTGCACTTAAATATTAAATGATTTCAGGTTGTAGTCGTAAAGCAGAGGTTTTATTTTTCTAAAAGCCATAATAAACTGTATGGAGTAATTCTAAATTAAAATTATTTAAAAATTTATTAATGTTCAGAATTTTGGAGGGAAGAGGAAAGAAAAGACTTTTATTCCAAATGCACAGAATATTTATGGGATAAAATTTGAATCAACTATCTTTACAGGACAAAACTTGAATCAACTAACCAAGAATGCTATGAAAATATCAATGAATCTATATTATTCTTCTTTAACCTTCATTTTTAAAAGTAGCAATTGAGCTGTTTATATCTGTACTAATTTCTTGATAAGCAAAATGTTTTAAATTTGTTTGTAGCACTCACATATTTGCTAATGTAATTTTACCTCTCTAAACATAATTTAAGATTTTCAGATATTTGTGACAATTGTTTTAGATGTACTTTGGTATATTCTATAAAAAATATTTTTGTTTCTGTAGCCTCCATCTTCCAAGAAGAGCGATGGTTCTGGGACATATACTAAGTTGCAGAATACCCAGGTGAGGGTCATGTCTGAGAAGAAGCAGAGAAAAAAGGTGGAATCAGAAAGCAAGCAAGAAAAGGCTAATCGTATAATATCAGAGGCCATAGCAAAAGCAAAGGAGCGTGGGGAACGCAATATTCCACGAGTAATGAGCCCTGAAAACTTTCCTACTGCTTCAGTTGAAGGAAAAGAGGAAAAGAAAGGTAGAAGGATGAAATCCAAGCCAAAGGACAAAGACAGCAAAAAAACAAAAACATGTTCTAAGTTAAAAGAGAAGACAAAAATTGGGTAAGTTGGTTAAGAATTAAATTTAATTCCTTTCAATGTTCTGTTAAAGTTCAAACTGTCCAACCATCTACTTTTGATTTGAGTATATTTACTCCCATATTTGAGTTTTAAATTGTTGGCTACTATGTGTGCTTTATTTCATTGCCGAATGAATTAGATAATATTCCAGGATCTCCCAAATTTTATGGTTCTATGAATGTAGAATGTAGCTTTTTGTATGTTAATATTATTAAAAGGGATTTAAAGTAGTAAAATATTTCAGTATACGAATCAGGAAAAGGATAAAAACAAACAAAATGAAATCCATATTGCTGTGCCAGTTTCATATTCACTTTCTTTACAGAGCATGCATTGAAATTCTTTATAAGATTCTTTTTCTCTTGGTTGTACTTGTGCCTCACTGAGCACTCATAGTTTGGAAACATGAAATGTAATATTTTCTTAATAAAACCACAACTTTGGACTGAATGAAATGGCAAAAAAAAAAAAAAAACACTAATACCATATAAATCAACAATAAGTGGTTGCCAGTTCTTACTGATTTACTTCCATATAGTCTGATTTACTTTACGTAATAAAGAGGCCAGGTGAGGATTAATGCTCCAAGAGAATTATAAGGACAAAGAATTGCTCTAGGAGGATATATTAATCCTATGTATTTTACTGCTTATCCAAAATATTTTCAAAAAATAAAATACAGTAAATGTTATAATTTGCTTTATAGGTGTATTTGCTTAGCATGCAAGGGTAAGCATAACTAAGCCAACATAGTTTAGAATTGTTTTTTCAGGACTGGTTATTTTTGAGGACTTCATGTGGAAATTTGACATAAAGGGGTCAATCTAACTTTTCTCTTTTTCACAAAAAGTCCGCAATAAAGAATGTCTTTATTGTGAAAATCTTCATTTGCTCAGAAATTGTTGATATATTATATAGATATTTAGAACTAATGCAATTTTATAAATCAAATGAATTCTTAGCATTTTAAATGTAACCGCCAAATTATTTAGTTTGGTCCTTATGTCATTCAGGTCCAAACGATTAAATAATATGGGCTCTCTTGTTATAATAGATTAATAATCATATTGATTTTGCATTTTACTTGCAGACAGCTAAAATGAAATTTGAAAGATTTCTACTTCTTTTATTGTTTTTTTAGAGGTTTTAGGTATGAAAGTAACTTATTTTTCCAAAGCTCTGCCCAGTTTTAATTCAGGAAATCCCATATTTAGTCTTTTGCTGAACCAAAATTTAATATAATTAAGGGTTTCCAGTTTTAACTTGTTCAGAGATCTAGACAGAGTAGAATACTATTTGGAAGAGTAACGTTTTGAAAAACAATGCATAAAATGAGGAAATTGGTTGATAAACTTTTAAAAGTTACACTAACCGTTACTTGCCTCAAACTTGGGAAGGAACAGCTAAAGGCAAAAGATACCAGAAGTAAATCTAGTTTAAGAAAAAACATTGTACATAAGAGATAACTAGAAATAATTAAATTAGAAACACAGATTTTTAGAAAAGTGAATTAATATAGTAAGGGGAGTAGTAACACTGAAGCGGAGTACTGACTAGTTTTGTGATATCTGTGTTTTTGTTAGGAGTAGGTAAATTATTCATAGTAAATTATTTTAATATTGCACAACATTGACCAATTTTTCTAGAGGTAGCAAATTCTAGAAAACAAAATCGATAAGAATTGTACTAGAAATTTTTTTTTGTTTTGGCTAAATACATGGTAAAATATTGAGTAGTTGCTAGAAAAGAAAAATTGTTGAAAATATAGGCCTTTTTGATAGAAGAATTTATAAGTCGCAGGCAGATAAGTGAATTGATAGAAGAATTTATAAGTCGCAGGCAGATAAGTAGTATTGAAGTTTGCATATGTATTACTAAGCTGTTAGAGTAAAACAGTGTCAATCATTTATATCAGTCAAAGACAAAAATTATTGTCATGTTGGAGGAAAAGGCATAGTTGGAATAAATGAAATTCATATACAATCCAGAATTCCAGTATTAGCCAATGAAATATTTCATTACTGTGCTTTCCAATAAGCCACTATACTTTGTAATTTTGAATTTGGTGAGTTTTAAATTTTTGAGTGAAGAATCATTTAAGTAAAGTTCAGTTGCATCATTTCAACTAGCACCATTTTATAATTAAACATCTCATTTAAAATTTTTTATTTTTCTATTAATTTTAGGACAATTGGGCTGTTCCTAATACCAAATTATTGATATTAGTTAATTTGGAAAGCAGTGCAACTTAATCAACAGCAGTGTAAAATATAAATTTTAAAATTAATGGCTGGGCGCGGTGGCTCATGCCTGTAATCCCAGCACTTTGGGAGGCCGAGGCGGGCGGATCACGAGGTCAGGAGATTGAGACCATCCTAGCTAACACCGTGAAACCCCATCTCTACTAAAAATACAAAAACAAAATTAGCCAGGCGTGGTGGTGGGCACCTGTAGTGCCAGCTACTCGGGAGGCTGAGGCAGGAGAATGGCGTGAACCTGGGAGGCAGAGGTTGCAGTGAGCCGAGATTGCACCACTGCACTCCAGCCTGGCTGACAGAGCGAGATTCCATCTCAAAAAAAAAAAAAAAATTTTTTTTAAAGTAACTAAATTTGTAAACAATAATTTATGGTTGATGTCATCAGGGTTGGTGTTTATTTAACCCATATATGTGATTTGATGTAATCTAGGAAGACTAATCTGAAGAAAAGCAATACTGCCCCTGCTTGCTAATGTGCTTGAAACCTTTTCGTTGTCACTTTTACAGATTAACTTTTTTTCCAATGCAAAGAATAGAATGTCCTTTTCGGAGCACTTTCTTAGAGTCTCATTTCATTTTTACAATTCTGTGAGTTAGAGTGGGCATACAGTGTGATAATGGGGTTAAATTCTTTGCCTCTGGAGCCAGTTGCATTTGTTCAGATTCCAGTTTCATCACTTACAAGCAGTGTAATCCTGTACAAAAAGCTAACATCCTCATGCTTTAGGTTCCTCCTCTGTAAAATGGGGATAGGATAGTACTTGCCTCATAGTGTTATTTTGAAGACTAAATCAATTAATATACAAAATAGTATCTGGAATATGCTTAGTGTTCAGTAAATGTTAGTCATTATTGTTTTCTGACAACATAAATAGCATAGCTATTTAAGGAAAAAGCCAAGGCCAGGAGCCACACCCCTTCCTTCAAGCCCACACTCATTCAGCTACCTCAGTTCTCTTTCCATTAAGGCTCTGTTCCTAAATAAGATCAGCTTAAAAATTAAGCAGGAAAACACAGTTGCTACTTGTTAAGGGGAATAATAGATTAACTTATTAATGGCTATTTTGACATGACCATGCCTCTGTTGATCAGGTTAGCTAAAGTAGCATTTAGGATAGATACAGTTTGAAATGTGTCTGGAGTTTGAAGGAGTTGCTTGTGGCTATGTGGAAGGGTGTGAGTTGAAATGGAAATGGCAGGTGCAAAATGAAGGGTGAGGTAGGCCTGGAAAACTTTTATCTGCTTTGGTGTTTTTTATGATCTTGGCAGTCAGGTTCTAAAAGCTGCCTTTCATACAAAATAGTGAGTATTCCTTCAGTAATAGTAGGTACATAATAGATGCTCCATGAATGGAATGGGATGAATTTTATGGGATGGATGGATGGATGGAAAGAAGGTTAAATATTAAATGATACCAAAGGGTTGAACTTGATCTGTTAAATTGAAAACAGAAATGGAGGCTAATCCATTCATAAAACCACAGGGATATAACTAATAGTTTAGTAATATTAGAGAGTTAGGATGAATTTTACTGATTTATTTTAGAATCTAGGACTTCCAGTAGAATTTTCTTATGGCCCTGTTTGGTTTTAGATTATCGAATGGGATTTCACATGATTCGATAGAAGTATTTTTAAACCTATGATTTATTACTTTGACATTTAAATTATGTTTCCATGTTGTCAGTTGGAATTTACTTCTGTTATAGATTTTCTGGCTGACATAAGTAGAATGCTTTTGGTTACTTAAAAATGTTTTCATAGCCCTGTAAATTTAATCAATTATTGTCCTTTATGATTAAACTCTTCCTTTTTGTATTAACCATAATTATCCTTTGTATGTGTTACAGGAATAGTAGTTATCAGGTACTACAAATAACTTCTAGTTAAAACAGAACATGTCTAAATTTGGAGATATTTATCAAACTCTAGTAGGAATTAAGTATAAGTCATGTTATGAAGAAAAACAATAAAACATTAATTTAGATCTCAAAATGATATTGTGTCTGTATTTGCCTCCAAGAAGAAAGGAGGAAAATAACATTTGTTAATTACGTGCTATCATATATATGTACATACATGCATAGGTGTGTATTTTTAACAAAACTAGCATCTATGTCCACATGTATGTCTTTAGAGAGACATTCTTATCTATAAAAATCTAAAGGAAAAATAAGATGAACAAAATCTGAGGGAAAAATAAGACATATCATTAGAAATTGTCACTTCATAGTTCTTGTTAATAAAGTGACGTATGAAGCCCTGCTTGCAAGGTTTTCAAAATAATAGGAATTTTGAAATAATATATGCTCGAATTAAATATAAATGTGTTAATTGTTTATTGGTGTATGATAAACGAAAGAGCAGTTGTCAAAATGCATGGTTTAAATTTATTATGAATTTTTTATTATTAGGCATACCATTAGTAGTCTCCCTGTAAGTTCTACGGTTTTTTTAAAGCCAAGCAGATAAAATGTTTTGCTGATTTTACTGCTTGCATGTAAATTACAAAACTTAGTAAAAATCTGAAGCATCTTTATCCTCAGAAAGAGTTGATATGTATGTAACTTATTGCGAATTTCAAATAAGATTTACAGTTTCATTTTTAAGAATGGTACCTTTATATGAATCATGCTAGTAAGGTTTATCATTGACAAATAGATGTACCATATTTTATTGAATCTAAAGTGTCATTGATTATAAAACAGACACACCATTAATTTTATGTGTCAGTAGAAGACAAATATTGCCAGTTAAAACTATGGCATGTCATTGATTATTAAATGATTCCTGATTGCAGAGATGTTCGTAAAAAACAATATATATCTTTTTTTTTTTTTTTTGAGACGGAGTCTCACTCTGTCTCCCAGGCTGGAGTGCAGTGGCACATCTCCGCTCACTGCAAGCTCCGCCTCCCAGGTTCATGCCATTCTCCTACCTCAGCCTCCCAAGTAGCTGGGACTACAGGTGCCCGCCACCACGCCCGGCTAATTTTTTGTATTTCTTTTTAGTAGAGATGGGGTTTTACCGTGTTAGCCACGATGGTCTCGATCTCCTGACCTCGCGATCCGCCTGCCTCGGCCTCCCAAAGTGCTGGGATTACAGGCATAAGCCACCGTGCCCGGCCAACAATACATATCTGTTAAGAATTCAACTGTGCTGATAAATGTATTGGCTGATTAATACGTAGCTAACAACTTGGATCCTTATTTCTTACTTACATTAAATACA
The DNA here is from genome assembly GCF_000001405.40 of Homo sapiens. Taxonomy (NCBI): domain Eukaryota; kingdom Metazoa; phylum Chordata; class Mammalia; order Primates; family Hominidae; genus Homo; species Homo sapiens. The sequence goes on from NC_000016.10 coordinate 53,215,320, forward strand.
TCAGTAAATTCAGCCTTTCTGAAAAAGGATGTCCAACTTTAAACAGGAAGTAATAGTCTAAGTTCCCAAAAGCTTATAATACAATGTAACTTTCGCATATTTAAGGATTACAGTTTTAACTCCCTTTTAATACATGCTTGTTTTTCTAAGATGAGTTTAAGCTTGGGGTCTTGAGTTGAACTTTAAATGGGCATCATTTCACTGAGCGTGTGTATGTGTGTGTGTGTTTTGAGTTTATATTTGAGGACTTAAAAATAGGCTCAGTACCTTTCACTGAGCTTGCAAAGAAAAAATAATGTGACATTATATTTTTGCCTTTTTTTTCTCTTATGATGAATTGGATGTATTAATTACAACAAATGGACTAATTGGGTAAGATTCATTGTTTGTCCAATTATTGGAATGAGAGAATCAACAGGGGGCAATTACAGATTGATGCAGTGTAGAACACAGCTTGTTGCACAGCAAGTAGTACTAACACTTGGGCAGGATTGAAATAAGTGCATAAATTACATCTGAAAATCAAATATAGACATATTAAGTATAAACATTGTGGTTTTCTACTGCCTATACTTATCAAATGAATTTACATTTCAAATTCATACTTTAGTTTGAAATTGCCCTTTGCTGTCAGAAACATCCTATGTTTTGATATTTAGGTTTTTTCCTTGCCTGAGTATCTGTTGCTACATTTTGCTAACATTGATAACAGATCCTTTTAATGTTTTCAAGACCAAAATTTGCATAAAGCTTTTTATTATTAATATATTCTGTATCACTTTGTTGCTTTCTTTGGGGATATTTCTCCTTAGACTAGCAAACTATCAGTTTATTTGAAGCATGTATTTATAATGAAATTTTATTTTAGAATTAATATAGTAAACTCTTTGTAATCCATGATGGAAGAATGGAGTGTTCTATAGCAATTGGGTGTTTTGCTTAACTGATTTTATTTTTTCTGCTACTGAAACATCTGATTTCCTTCAGATAACATTTATGGCTATCTGTTGTCATTGTATACATAATAGAGATTTCTGATTTTATGAAAGTCAGGTAAATTTTAATCTTTAAAATTTACTAAAAGATAATATAGTTTCATATTTCTCTTTTGTCATTATGTTAATTGATATTAGATATCTGTTAACTGGTTGGAGTATATGTGTCATTTTATTTTAAAATCAATAAGGTATGTTGGAACTCATAATCTGAGAATAAAGGGATCATCTTTTGGAACTGAACACTGCCTGTCTGTATGGTGGGACCAATACCTACCTGCCTTGCCTGTCTCAGAGTTTTTCTCAGAATCAACTGAGGTACTGTAGGCAAAAGCACTTTAAAATTTTAAGTGTTCTATAAATATAAAATAGTTGTATTATTCTGAATATTTGTTTCTAGAGTTTTCTATACTAATTTTTACTCTCCGAGCCAGTGGTTCCCAAACCTGGTAGAGCACCAGAACTCTTAGGGAATATTTTAAAAGTCATATTAGAGTCGTTTTTAGATCAGAATCCTGGGTTTGGGACCCACAAAACTGGATGGGTTATTTTTTTCTTACTTTTATTTTGAAGTAATGTCAGAAGTACAAAAATAGGTCAGAGTTCCCTTAAGCTCTTCACTCACCTTCCTCAAATGTTAACATCTTATGAACCATAGCATGATTATCAAAACCAGGAAATAAACATTTTAATAATCCTGTTAACCAATCTGCAGACCTCATGCAAGTTTTGTCGGTTCCCCTTTTTTTGTTGGCCAGGATCCAATTCAGGATCCTACATTTCATTTTGTTGTCATATCTCCTTAGTCTCCTTCAATTTAGGATAGCTCCTCAGACTTTTTTCTTTTATGATGTTTTCATTTTTGTAACATACTGGCCAGTTATTCTGTAGAATGTACATCAATTTGAGTTTGTTGGGCATTTTCTCATAAAGAATCTGTATTTTATTTTATTTTTGAGACAGAGTCTTGCTTTGTCGCCCAGGCTGGAGTACAGTGGTGCAGATCTTGGCTTACAGCAACCTCTGCCTCCCAGGTTCAAACGATTCTCCTGCCTCAGCCTCCCAAGTAGCTGGGATCACAGACATGTGCCATCACGCCTAGCTGATTTTTGTATTTTTAATAGAGATGGGGTTTCGCCATGTTGGCCAGGCTGATCTTGAACTCCTGACCTCAGGTGATCCTTTCTCCTCGGCTTCCAAAAGTGCTGGGATCACAGGCGTGAGCCACCACACCTGTCTAGAATCTGTATTTTAAATAGCTTTCATGAAGCTTTCCCCAAACACTTAGGCACTGCTGATCTGACACCAACCTAATTAATTGTGCCTCTGTAATATTACCTAGATACCATTTTAGAATCTATAATAAATTGGTAAGGTTTACAGTTTTCAAGGTTCATTGTAAATAACCCTATTTCTAAAATCTCTCTCTCTAGATAGATAGATCATTTTATTTAAAAAAAAATTATAATATTTTAGAAATAGGGTTTTACTTTGTTTCCCAGGCTGGCCTCGAACTCCTAGGCTCAAGTCTTCTCCCACTTCAGTCTACCAAGTAGCTAGAACTACGGGTGCATACCACTGCGCCTGGCTTATACTCTTTTCTTTCTTTCTTTCTTTCTTTCTTTCTTTCTTTCTTTCTTTCTTTTTTTTTTTAATTCAGAATTACTGGGGTTTTTTAAAATCTAATTTTAAAATGCCACCCAAATTAACCCAGAATTGTATCAGTCAAAAATGATTTCAGAATTGACTTTTTTCCTATCATGGAAACGTACCCTTTTTAAATAGAAAAGGCACGTGTAACATTTTGGATTTAGAAGGTTTAGTAGGGAAATACTATATATCTGAAATATCTCTTACAAAGTTAGAATCTGAAAACGATTTTTGCATGGGTTGTTAAAAATGACTAATGAGTTCATGAAATAAGATGCTATTCCAGACATGTAGAACAATGTTGGAAGAATAATACAGAATATGTGGAAAATAAAGTGAAAGTTGTTTTTTTGTTTTTAAGTAAAATTTTCAAATAATTAGTATAACAAAAGGCTTATCTGAGGTGTGATGGGAAACATTTTTATCTAACCTAACCCCACCACTCAAAAGGGCAAGTGTTTAAGATTTATTTGGTAGTTAGTATTTATTTATTAGTATTTTCTAGAGATTTAGGTAATATTTATCTATAAAAATGTTTAAGCAGCTTAGTCCTTTGTCCTTAGAGAATCTTCATTTAATCATTAACCCTTATGCTATTGTAAAGGAATAGCGGAACCAGTTCATAGTCATTTGTAAATTTTAAAAAAATTTAAATATCTCCGCCTCTCATTTCATTGAAGTTTTTATTCATTGGGATTTGAATGAATAAGATATTGCATCAGAATGTGCATTCACGTAATTCATTTAGCTTATCAAACATTGAAAAAATACCTTTTTAAGCAATATATGAAGGGTATTAATAGGCCATGATTTCCATTTCATGGGAGATTGTTATTTAAACAACTACACTCTCCGTGTGTTGTTCTCATCTACAAACTATTTGAAAATACACATTTAAGTTGGAGATTGATAGCAAGTAGGAGGAAGTATCAAATATGTATTTTTACTACCCAGTTTTATTTAGTATTGTCCCTTACTTTGCCATTAAAAATCATCTGCACCAGTGCCTTAGGATGTAGCAAATATTCACAAGCAAAGTAACGGATACCCTTAGGAGGCGGTTCGTACTGGGAGAGGCATGAGAGGGGACTTCTGGGAAACTAATGCCTTGTTTCTTGATCTGGAAGCTGGCTACACAGATATTTTCTGTTTGAGAAAATTGAGCAGTACTCTTACGTTTGCACTTTTCTGACTTTGCATTACACTTTAATATTAGTAAACTTGCACTGATAGGGTTACGGAAAATGAGAGATTGGATTGGGTGCATATTGAGGTTGTGATACCTATGAGATACCCATATGTATATGTGTAATAAGCAATTAGTTATATGAACATGAAGCGTGGGGAAAAAATCTGAAATAGAGATAAGAGATTTGAGGATCTTTAACTTCTAGGTAGTAGTTAAGAAAAGATTAAATTAAATCTCTCAGGGAGAGACAGGAAGGCGGCTGAAGACAGAACTTTGAGAGAAACCAAAGTTTAACAGGCTAGCAGAGAAGAATTGTCAATGACTGAATCCTACGGAAAACTAACATTCAAGGCGTAGATGCAGGAAGAAGAGCCAAAATTTAGTAAAAGCAAGTTTAGTGAGAACCAGAAGACTCTTGTGTCAGGGAGCCAAGAAAGGGGCCAAAAGGAAACAGTTACACGTTAGGACTTAGTTACACATTATGATTTTTTAAAGCTCTGTTGGATTTGCCATTTTAAAAGTCTTTTGAGTCCTTAAGCATTAGAAGTTTAGGCTTTGGAGTGAGGCATACTTAGTTTCTGTCTCTGTTCTTACTATTTCTGTGACTTTGAGCAAGTTATTTAACTTCTCTAGGCCTCAATTTCTTCTTATAAAATAATAGTACTTCCCTTTTAAAATTGTATGAACATCAAGTGAGAGAATGCATGTAAAGTCAGCACAGAGGCTGACTCATAGTAAACATTGAATAAATGGAAGCTATGAATATTAAAAGTAGTTTTGAGAGTTGAGATTATAGTTGGTTGAGGAATGAAACGGAAATGACTCTTGAGAACTTTGGATACAAAGGAGGAAGAACAAGGTCATATGGGGTCTAACAGTAAATATAGCCTCAAGGGAGATTTTTATTTTAGGAAAGAAACTAGAGGAGGAAAAGGGACTAGAACAGAGAGGAAATAAGCAGTGAAAGTGGTGAGAGGGAATGAAGTGTAACTATGGTTGGTTCCTTAATGTTGCTTCAGAATATCTTTGTGTTTCTTCTGATTTCCTGCTTCCAACATAAGCTGTATTTCTTACTGTTATTTACTTTCTTCACATATTCAGAACAGTGGCGGGTGAGACACCAAGTAAGAATTACCATTATTCTGTTGAATGTGGTAATCATACCAATACAAGAATAATATAGGGAAAAAGCATTCTATAACTTTTTCTCACCTGAAGTCTAGTCATCCAGTCAATAACCAAGTCCTGTTGGTTCTACTTCCACAATAAAAAATTATATCTTTCTTTACCTCTTCATCCACATTCCCACAGCCCTAGATTACCATCTTTTTCTCTCCCCTGAATTGTCATTTGCCTTATCATCGGTTTCCCTTCCTTGCATTTCACTTCCTTGTCATCACATTGCCCCCTTGCTTACAATTCTTATATCTTCCAACTGCTTTATTTTTTTTATTTATTCAAAATAACTCACTGCCTATTCATTAAACATTTGCTGCCAGTGATGAACAAGACAGATTCCTTTTAAATTCTTGCTCTCAAGAGCTTAAAAGCTGCCCTTAAAATGTGAACTCTTTGTGTGTCATACAAGGCCTTCTGTGATCTTCACCCATTCTGGTTGTCCAGCTGTCTGCTGCCTCCTTCTGGGGTACTCTGTGTATTCCTGTCATGCTATTACCACTGCATGTTCTCCTCACTCTTCTGTGGTATCCCCCTACCTGGAATGTACTCTGCCGCTTCTTTCACTACCTGTTAAACTTCTTTTCATCATATCAAATGTTGTCTTTTCTGTAAAGCCCCCTTTACTCTTCAGTAAGCGTGAGCACTTCTTCCTTTGTGTTCACATTGCATCCTGTGCTAACCCCCACTTTGGCATTTTAGCTGTGATCATAGTCTAACTATGATACTTTAAGGTTAGGAACTGTGTCACTATATTTTCAAATCCTAGAGCCTAGGAAAGTGCTTGGCATAGAATAATTAGAAGTTGTTAGCATTAGTTGAGAAATCACTATGCATCAAGACTGTGCTAAGAGCCAATATACATTATCCCACTTAATTCTCAGCAACAGCAGATGTAGTTATTATGATATCCCTATTTTCCAGGCAAGGAAACTAAGGCCAAAAGAGATCAAGTAATTTGCCCAATGTCTCACAGATAGGTACATGGTGGAGTCAGGGTTTAAATCTTTGACCCTGTGTTTTCAAAGTGCATGCTCTTAACCTCCAAATTCTCCTACATTAATAAATAGTTGTTGAAAGAATTCTGATATCTTTCTGATAAATCATACCTGAAAGTATTGGGGAGATTTTCCATTTTTATAATACAGATATTTAAAATAGTACGTTGCTGATTAATAATTACCGTGGTTTAAAATCATGCCCCTGCATCTGTTGAAGCAGATAAGGAAATGTGAGAGTTATGTTTTTATACCTCTCATCAAGACAAAAAAACCCACTTTCATTTTAGATAGCTCCATCTGGTGTGTATATATGTAAATATCAATATATATATAAACATACATATATGACGATATACTGACACATACATGCTTTAGGAATATAAAAAATAATAGTTCTTATGCTTAGGAACATACAGTACAGATAAGATAAGCCTTAACATAAGTGAAAGAATTAAAGAACAACAAATTGTTAAAGTGCCTTAAGTAATTGTCTTTCTACTGTAGAGCAGAAGGAAGTAGAGGCTTTTAACGAATAGGGGGATTCAAGGAATCAAGTGGAATATGAATTTAATAAGAGAAAAAAATCTGTCATTGGAAATCTGCAAGATAATAAAGTAAACACAGTTGTATCACCTCACATTTTTCCTATGAAAAGTAATCTTAAGCCTAAAAAACAAATAAGACTTGATTGCCTTTTTTTTTTTACCTGCTAAATTTATTTATTTATTTGTTTGTTTGCTTGCTTGTTTGCTTATTTATTCATTGAGATGGAGTTTCGCTCTTGTTGCCAGGCTGGAGTGCAATGGTGCGGTCTTGGCTCACTGCAACCTCCGCCTCCCGGGCTCAAGCGATTCTCCTGCCTCAGCCTCCCAAGTAGCTGGGATTACAGATGCCTGCCACCACGCCTGACTAATTTTTGTATTTTTAGTAGAGATGGGTTTCACCATGTTAGCCAGGCTGGTCTCGAACTCCTAACCTTTTTCCACCTGCCTCAGCCTCCCAAAGCACTGGGATTACAGGCATGAGCCACTGCGCCTGGCCTACTTGACTGCCTTTCTGTGTTTAGAAGTACATTAATTGTACTTCTGAGTACATTAATTATACTTCCAAACATAGAATTGGATGGTGTTTGTTCCATTAGAATAGAGTTTATGTTTTGAAAATGTCAACGTGGATTTCAGGATGATTATCATCCTTGGTTGGACATGCAAGTGATATAAAGTGGAAGAAAGTTTATCATGACAATCTTAATTTAATCAAATTTAGGAAAATTCAAAGAATTCATACTTTTTATTCTTTTCCTCTTGAAACAGCAAACTCATTATTACATTGGGTAAGAAACAAAAAAGAAAGAATGAGTCTTCAGATGAAATATCTGATGCAGAACAGATGCCACAGCATACATTAAAAGATCAAGACTCTCAAGTGAGTATTACAATTTTTTCTAGAAATGAAACACTGTTAGAATGATTTAGTTAGCATAATATTGCCTTATAGATATTTACACTTTAGTTAGAAGTAAAAATACATTTTGTAGTATGGTAGAAGTTGAAGGTAGCATTATTACAATATGTCCTGGTAATATTACCATAGAATATTAGATGTGGGAGGAAACTAACATATCCTCTCCAGACCCCTCATTTTTCAGATAATGAAACTGAAGCCCAGAGAGGTTAACAATACAAAGTCCTTGATGGCTTTTAGCATGGAGGAGTATTTAGTGATACTATCCTGTGCTTATAGAGTTCTTTTGAATGAACGTGATGGACATAGTAATTTTTTAAATCACATACAAATGACAGAGCAAATGGATTGAATCATTCCTAGAAATAATTCCTTTGGTCTGTTTTTGTGAAGAAAAGATAACTGACTATATTAAAAATCCCGTAACATAGACAGAAGAAATACTATGCATTTTGCCTTTTTTTTTTTTTTTTGAATAGGTGGATATTCAAAATAACCCTCTGAAGTTAAAATTATATATAGTGAAGGTCATAATAATCCAGGCCACCCTCTGCTCTCTAATAACTAAAGTATGACTGTAGGCCGTAGGGGTGGTGGCAGTTGTGAATTATGGGGCCAGAAAGCCCCTGAATGGCCTTTCTTCTTCCTTATGCAGCTTCTTATCCAATGGGAGAGTAGTGGCTCAAGGCTCCTGGGCTGCTGCAAGAGTTGAGGTAAGGGCAGTGACTGAAGCTCCTAATATTACATGGCCTGGCTTTTTCATCATATGTTATCCTTAACTTAGGCAAACTTATATTTAACTTATTCCATATGATTAAATTTAGTTTAATTTTTGCTGGAATAATGCTGGCCATTTTTCCATTATGTAATTTTCAAACAATGACATGGTAGGCTAGGTCAACATGAACATTTCTTCCATGTTTTTCACTGTAGTATTAGGTTGTTTTGACAGGTGTGTTGCTTTAACACACACACAAAAAATGGTGAAGGTAAAAATATTTTCTAATAGTTATAAATCTACATTATTGATATATTTGATTGTGTCATTAAATAAATGATGGAAAGATCCATGTAGCTTTTAACCACGTTGGAAACTAATTAAGGTTTGGAATCAGCTGGAAATCTAAAAATGTGATTTGGTATTTAATTTTGTTACCTTTAATCTTAATAGAGAATATTACAGTAGTCCAACTATATTTAGAGACCTAAATTAAAAAGAAATATGCCCCTGCAACAGAGTATACTATTAGGAATATTATAGGAAAGAAGTGCAATGTTAAAATAGTGAAGTACTATATTAGTCACTTAAAACGTGCTTCTAACCTCCTATGTAAAGTGCTGTGGGCTGATCTGTTGAAGCCTTTAAGACTTAAGAAGCTAAAAATAAGAAATTAAAAGGGACAATTTATCAGGATTTTAAGTTGTGCTTTAAAAAACATTATGGAAAAAGAAAGCCAGAAAAAGCACATGCCAAAAATGTGGACATAAGATTCATTTTTATGTTTTTAAACTAGTAGCGACGTTCTATGGTGAAGAAAGATAATTGGTGAGAATGATACCTTATTTGGCTTTACCTAAGTAATGTGTAACTATGTCCTCTAGTGGAGTGTAATTTATGGTAAAATCTTCTATAATCTCATAATTCATAGACTTTTAAATTAATCTGTTAGGCAAAGTCTTTGTAGGATGAGGGAACAGTTTACAATAAGTAGCCTTCATTCTATCTGAGTGCACTTTTGTGAGCTTAAAAGATTCTTTGAGGTCACTCATTTACTATTTACTAAAAACTCAGTGAGTTATCTCTAAGTACTAATAGATGTCTTAAGTGGCCAGAAAGGAAACTAATGCTGAAAACTTCTAACAGAATTTTCTAAAAATGTACTGAACTATTCTCAAATTTCATTACTTAAAAGTCATGCCTAATGAGACATTGATAATATATCACAGTTGTTTATTAATTAAAACTATTCTTGAACATTAAGATCTATATGGTGCCCATAATAGAATTCTAAATATTCTTTTAGCCTAGTGTTAGAAATCCATAGAATTCCCCCCTCCTAGAGAATAATAGTAATTCATATCGTTTTCAAAATAGGATGAAGGAAAATTGGGTTTCTAGTAGCCCTTTAATTAGAATTTTTATATGTCACCAGGCTGTGTTATTTTGAGGTTTGAAATGTCAATGTCTTCATGGCCAAGAGACATTCGACCCATCCTACATGAGGCATGGTGTTATCTAGTACATTTGGCTGACCATATGAGTGCCTTTCTTTCTCTCAGTATTTTACTACTCACAAGAGAAAGGGGCAGAGGCATGACTGCATGCATATAGTTTGTCACCACACTGTAGCAGTGACTCAGCCATTTTTGTCATGGCTGTGAAGGTAAATTAAAGACTTGCCAAATAGAAGACAGGCAGAAACCAGAAGAACTTGTGGTTTATTTTGCTGGTTCCATTTTTTGGAAGTGTCATGAAGTTACTAAATATATAGAAGAAATTGGACTAGAAAAAAGAAGAGATTTGCCAAATATTGAGCAATTGAACAGTTGGTTGAGATGCCACTACCCGCATGAAATGTCTCTACCCCATGAGATTACAAGGGAAATTTAAAAAATAAACCTAAGCCCTTTGGGATTTTGAAATTTTTATCTTTATTGTAAACACCAAAAGAGATGTAACTTTGTTTTTGTTTTTTAAGTTCTCCTTGAAATATAAAACTTTTGAAACAAATATTAGATATTTAGGGAGGTAAGTAAAGCCATGTATATTTGATTCCAGATTTAAAATTACTTAGATTATTTAAAAATTATCTTACTACATGTAATACTTTGTAAAAGGCTTAGTTTTGTGTGATGATAGTGATGTCTTTTATATTTAAGGAAAGCTACTAAAGTTAGTGAAACAGTTTCTTCTTTCATTCAAAATTATTTGGTAGATTTAATGCTTTCTTATTTTGTGCATTTCTTTTTAAATATTTTATATTATGTTATTCTGCTTTAAACACAGTTTCATGTGTTTTGGCAAACACTATTTAATTTATTCTTCTAGATTTATACCCCCAATTAATTCTATACCCAATATTCATCTGATACACTTTTTAGGTTTTGGACTAAAACTGTGAAATTATTAATAGTTTAAATATTTATTGCCCAAGTTATGACATAGTTAAATAAAACAGATACCTTTTTATTCTTAACAATAGTTTCTAAAGAAAAGTAATGTAGTAATAAAGGTATTCCTAATAAAATATATTTTGCCCAACCTGTGAAATAATTTTTTTAAAAAACAGACATCTCTTTATTCTTAATGATTTCCAAATTAACATAATAAAAGTATTACTAATATTTGTTGTTTGAAATTGTAGGAAGTAGAACTGTAGGAAGATTGTAAGCCTGTGGCAAATGGCAAATTATAATCTTCCTCTAATTAAAAACAAAATAGGAAAAGATAGTACATTGAGTGTCATGTTGAAAATTTAATATACAAAATTGCCAACTCTAGGGGTAATTATTTTCAAAAACTTTTCTTCAAAATAAATTATATAAATCTGATTCTTGTGGTTCATTACAGAAAAGAAGATCAAATCGACAAATTAAAAGAAAAAAATACGCAGAAGATATAGAAGGGAAGCAATCTGAAGAAGAGGTTAAAGGTTCTATGAAAATAAAAAAGAATTCAGCTCCTTTACCTGGTGAACAGCCTTTACAATTGTTTGTGGTAAGCATATTTGGGATTATGACTGCAAAACATTTTAAACCGACATAAATTCTATAAATACTTGCATTGTTTTTCCTACTAAAAATTGCTCTAACTTATCCTTCCGGATTCCATATTATTAGTTAATTGAGTCATTCAAATTAGAAACCTAGGGATTCATTCTCTCTTCATTTTCCTTTGCCTCTTCATTCAGGTTGTCACTACACTTTCTACCTCCTAAATATATGTTCTTGAAATTCTTCAAACTATCTTTTCTGCAGAATATTTCTAAATTACAAGTTTAATCATATTATTTTTCTACTGAAAACTCCTCTAATAGTTTCCTAAACCTTACAAAAATAACGATACCTTTTTAGCAGTGTATAAACCCCTTTGTCTGGATTTTCTGGCGTCATCTTCTGCTACTTCTCCATAAGCACTTAGTCCTCTGTTTTATGAACACGTTTGCCTGAATGCCATATGTGCTTCCCTCGTCTATGATTTTTTAAGTCCCCCTTATATGCATTATGACCCAACCACTCAGCCACTAGCTGAGTACCTTGGGCAAGTACTTATTTAACTATGCCTAAATTTCCTAATCTGTAAAATGGAAATGATAATAATGAAGATAATAGATTAAATTAATATATGTAAAATGCTTAGAATAATGACCAGCACATTAAAAAGCACAATATGTTTGCTACAGAGATAATGCAGGTGATGAAAAGGACAATGACAATGATATATTTTTTTCATTTTTGTATTTCTAACACGTAACATAGTGTCTAGCATATATGCTGTATAAATATTTGTTGAATTGTAGTATGTTCATCAACATACAAAGTGGCAACTAAAAGATCTTTCAGAATGTGTTCTGTCATTATTTCTTTCCTCCCTCCCATAGGAGAATCCGAGTGAAGAAGATGCTGCAATTGTAGACAAAATTCTATCTTCTAGAACCGTAAAAAAGGAAGTAAGTACTGGTACATTACATTTTACACTTCATATTCTGTGGCCTGTTTAAAAGAGTCACCATTACTGATTTTCTTTTCTTAGATATCACCTGGAGTGATGATTGATACAGAAGAATTTTTTGTAAAATACAAGAATTAGTAAGTATTTGAGTTAGAAAAATAAAAGAAAGATGTTGATTTACATATAAATTAATATATTTAATAAATTAAAATTATGATTTTCATTTTATCCACATTTTTATGATAATTTTTATTATTTATACCTGCATAACTCAAGAATCATTAAAAAGTGGAAAAGGGCCCATTTGAAAACCTTTCATGTTAAAATTGAATGATTTGGCCAGGTGTGGTGGCTCACATCTGTATTCCCAGCACTTTGGGAGGCCAAGGCGGTCATATCACGAGGTGAAGAGATCGAGACCATCCTGGCCAACATGGTGAAACCTCATCTCTACTAAAAATACAAAAAAATTAGCTTGGTGTGGTGGCACGCACCTGTAGTCCCAGCTACTCAGGAGGCTGAGGCAGGAGAATCACTTGAAGCCAGGAGGTGGAGGTTGCTGTGAGCCGAGATCGTGCCACCATACTCCAGCCTGGCGACAGAGCGAGACTCCGTCTCAAAAAAAAAAAAATTAAATTTTTTTTATTTTCCAGAAAATGTTCATTATTAACATCAAAATGCAGGAATCTTTATAAAATATGCTTTTATAATTTATAGACAGCATTCATTGTATTGTTGAACTTTTCAGATTTTATTGTCCTTATAAAATACATTTCTAATCTACTTACAGTCCCAGCTATTCTGGAGGTTGATACAGATCTCTTAAGCCTAGGAGTCTGAAGCCAGCCTGGGCAATATAGTGAGACTCCATCTCTTTAAAAAAAAAAGTTTTTTTTTTCCTGATCTTTAGGTTTTTATGTCAGACGCACACAATGAGATGATTTGACCTTAAAGTTTTTAATTTTAATTTTGGATAAAGGTCAGGTAACTCATGAGTTGCTAACTGGGGAAAAATCACTTACTCTTCTTTTTACATATTTTCCAACTTATCTTTGTACCTCCATGAAAGTGTTTTTTTTTTTTTTTTTTTTTGAGACGGAGTCTCGCTCTGTCGCCCAGGCCGGACTGCGGACTGCAGTGGCGCAATCTCGGCTCACTGCAAGCTCGAAAGCGTTTTAAATCACATTAGTTTCAAAACAAGTTAGCTTTCTGATAATGACAAAACTGTTATAGGGAAATAATAATAGATAAATCGTATCTTGCAATTAGACTTTTGATCATTTTACTGTTCTGTTTCTATATGGCAAATTGTATACCTTTAGACTACGACCTCCTTAGCATATAGTGATCACAATTACTTTATTTTAGAAATGATCGTAATTCTATTAAAGTTAAATGATGAACTACCTATTTGAAAAGTTGAAGACAATAGTTTATATTGGATGTTATGATTTAAAATACATCTTAAAATGGTTATCTGTGTCATTCTAATATATTATTTTTATAAAAATTTTAGCTCCTATCTTCACTGTGAGTGGGCCACAGAAGAGCAGCTTTTGAAAGATAAAAGGATCCAGCAGAAAATCAAACGATTCAAATTGAGACAAGCACAAAGAGCACATTTTTTTGCAGACGTAAGAAAAAAATAAATAAGACTATTATGTGTTGGTCTCTGAATACATGTAGCATTATTTATCAAAAATTACACATTATTTTAATTCTTAGACTTCCAGTGTTGATATTTGAATACAAATGCTACCTAAATATAGTATTTTTCTCTTCTCAAAATTAGCTTGGAAACCATTTGAAACAGGAACACTGATAATTCAGAATGGTAGATCATGCTTGTATTTTTAAACTAGCATATATTTCAACATTTAGAGTTGAATGTGAGTATGGTAATATTACCAATAATATATCAGCAAAGTTATTCAAGTGGAGGAAGTGATAATCTAGCAAGTAAATGGAAAATAAGATTTTTCAGTACATGAAATATATTGCATATTTTCTATACTAGCTTCATGTATGTGAACAGAACCTCTGGAAAAATTTACCTCTCTAGGCCTGACTAAATGGTCTGATGTTCTTTCCTGCTCCAGATTTTTCTAATAGACTCCTTTTGGAGCAGTTTTAAATTCTTAATTTGAAAATTTTAAAAACTTTTTCTTTTAAACAAAATAGTCACAAAAATAGTACAATGAATTCTCACATTTATTTTAACTAGATTTCCGAAATGTTAACATTTTACCATGTTTGCTTTATCATTTGTATTCATTCTGTCCCTCTCTCTGTCATACACACACGTATTTTTCTAAACCATTTTAACATTGCAAACACTTTAGTATATATTTCCTAAAAACAACTATATTCTCTTTCATCAAAATAGTAGGACATCAATGTAGTACTATTATCCACAGACCTTACACATATTTCACTAATTGTTCCACTAGTGTTTTTATAACAAAAAGAGAGTGTGTATGTGTGCATGTGTATGTGTGTGTGTGTGTTTATTTTTATCTGGTCCAGAGTCTAATCCAGCAGCACATGTTACATTTAGTTGTAATATCTCTTAGTCAGTCTCTCTTTGTTTTTCATTTCTTGGACATTTTAAAGGGTACAGCTCATTTTGTAGAATGCCCCTCAGTTTGGGGTTGTATGAAGTTTCGTCATGATCCAGGTTAGGCATTTTTTAAAAGAACACCATAGAAGTGATGCTCTATTCTTCCAGTGAATGATATAAGATGGTACATGATACCTCTGTACCCCAGTACTGGTGGTTAATCACTAGATTAAGGTGGTATCTGCCAGATGTCTTCACTACATAATTACTATTATTCCATTTGTAATTATTAATTTCACCTCAAAAATGTGGGCTGGGTATGGTGGCTCATGCCGGAAATCCCAACACTTTGGGAGGTCAAGGTGGGAGGATCACTTGAGGCTAGGAGTTTGAGACCAGCCTGGCCAACATATGAGACCTCCATCTCTATTTTTTTTAAAAAAAGATGATTCTAATGACCTGTTAGTTTGTGGATGCTGGGAGGTCCTCTCATCACCTTAAATATCTGTCATCTCTTCACTATGATCTAGAAGTTCCTAATAAGCTGAAGATTTTAGAATTAAGTAATAATCATTAAATTTTCATTAAGACTAATTAGGGGAGAGTCGGTGAAGAATTTTAAGTAAAGGAGCGATATATAAGATTTATATTTGAGAAAGATTACTCTGGGGACAATGTGAAAAACATTAAAGGGGAGGTGAGACAGTAGTTGGGGTTATTTTAAAGATTCAAGTAAGAAGTGAGGATGAAGAAGGAGGAACCAATCTCAGAGTTAAAATAGAGTCTGTACGAATTGGTGACTTACTCGATGTAGAGGGTAAAGAAAAAGAAGGAATCTAAAATGACTTCTTCATTTCTGGCTTGTGTCACTGAGCGTGGGCTATGGAGAGGAAGCTCTGTTACCATTAACCATTAGAAAATGCAGGAGGAGGTATGGGTTGAAGAGTAAATGAGTGCAAATGAGTTTGAGGTACCTCAGTAAAGTTTGCAGTCAGCTCAATAAGTGGGTCTTGAGCACAAGAACCATCAGGTAAAGATAAAGGGTGTGTGAGACAACAGAAATGAGCATTCAATGGGATGATGCATGGTCTTCAACTCTTGCAACCTGAGGAAAAGCGTAAAGGAAAGGTATAGAGGCTGCTTTCAGGCATTTTTTAAAGCACGTATCTTCTAGAGTACCTTATATTTTAGTACTATTTGGTTTTATTATTTATAACATTTTTCATGTTATCCTAGCTATCATTTGGAAATGAAAATGGAAGAATTCCATTTATTGGACATTTAACTGAAATCAAACTTACAAGGTCTATAGTGAAATGCTAGTAAATTCGTCCTTACTTTTATCATTCCAGTTCTTTGTCAGATGTCAATTAAGTTACCTTTTAATTTTAGATGGAAGAAGAACCATTTAACCCAGACTACGTTGAAGTAGACAGAGTATTAGAAGTCTCTTTTTGTGAAGATAAGGATACTGGTGAGGTAAATATATGGTAAAAAGATTTTTTAAGTAAGAAAAATCTGAAACTTTCCAAGTATTAAGACCTAGTACTTTATTCTCTGTTTAAACTATTTCTTACTAGTGTCTTTTTCAAAATGGTAAATGAAAAAATTTTTTTACAGCCTGTTATTTACTACTTAGTAAAATGGTGCTCATTGCCATATGAAGATAGTACTTGGGAACTAAAAGAAGATGTAGATCTTGCAAAAATAGAAGAGTTTGAACAACTGCAAGCTTCAAGGCCTGACACAAGACGTTTGGTAAGAACCTGTTTTAGACAGCTTTATAAAATCTTAGCACTTGTTTATGTAAGTTATGATATTGCTAATAATTATATAATGTTTTACTTTCATTTCTTTTAAACAGGCTTGTTACTATGTGAGTCTAGTTTTGGGAGCCAAAGCTTAAGAGGGAGTTTATATGTGAAAAGACAGGAGCAGATTCCTTTTTGATTAGCACGAGAGTGAGGAAAGCTGCCCTGATAAACATGGAGATGTGAAGTAAGAGAAGGAAATGAATTAAATATTCCATAGAAGAGATCATATTGTTTTATAATAACTATTTTCTGATCTTCCTAGTATTATTTTCTGGTCTTCTTACTTTATTTTCCAGTAATGTCCGTAGGCTGTTAACAAAAGCATATCAGTTTACCCCCATTCCTTTTACCTTCTAAATGCTATTCCTTGAACCAGGAAACAGAAGCGTCACCTAATTCAGAGAGGAATGAGTCAAGGAATGTAGTAGAAGAGAAAGATTTTCTTTTGGGGTGGGGTCTATGCCTTAGTGGTAATATTAAGCCTCACTGAATAAGCTATGTCTTTAGATAAGTGATTCTCAGTCAAAGGTGCATATCAGAATCTCTTCTGGAGCTTTTCAAAAATTAGAGATGCCTTAGATATATGTTATAGGCCTTGGTAAAGGGGGCTCAGCCAATAGAATTAATCCCCTTAATTAATGTAAAATTGATGACAACAGGGCTAGTCTGTCATGGTTAAATAATGTAGGAGGTGTTTTTTTGTTTTGTTTTGTTTTCCTTTCTTTTTGCCAGTATACTGCTGTTAAATAAAATAGCATATAAGTCACGTAAAGTATTTTGAGATTCTGTAAATGAAATTTTTCCCTGACCCGAACTAATGAATCATTAATAGTGATTGGATTGCTGAAAAGAAGCTATACAGAATATGATCTAATGCAGAAATTATTTTAAGCAGCAGTTAAAATATATGTTAATTATTTTAATGTTCATTGGCTATCACTTAAAAAATGTTTTCTTTAGCAAACACCTGTATTAAGTAGCAGCAGAGCTTCAATAACCAGTCCTGTTCTCAGTATACTGATAGCCTGTTTTGTTTTCCATGTACAATTACTATACACTTACCTGATGTTTAAGAAAAGCTTTCTTGAACTGTGTTTTTCCTCTGCTCTCAGGGTAACACAACAATCAACACAAAAGACTTCTGTAACCCCAAAATATGTGGGGAATTCTTCCGACCAGCAAGCAGTCAGTTCTGCAGTGGATGCCAGCTGGCTGTCCTCTAATTCAGTTCTACCCAGCTCTAATTCACCATCTACCCAGATATAGCATCAGATCCCACATCTTGAGGGTTCAGTCCCACAAGACTGCCCCCTCCTTTCCACCAGTCACAAGTCCAGGGGCCTTCAGAACTTCTGACTGACTGGCTTCAAGTTAGGGTTCCCATTACCCACCACTTTGGGTTTGATTAATTTGCTAGAGCAGCTCACAGCACTCAGGAAGACATTCAAGTTTTACCGGTTTATTCCTAAGGATATTTTAAAGGATACAAACAAACAGCCAGAGGAAGAGAGACATAGGGCGAGGTCTGAGTGCAGGAGCTTCTGTCCCTGTAGAGTTGGGGTTTGCCATTCTCCTGGCATGTGGATGAGTTCTTGTTCACCTTTCTGTCAGTCTCCACATGTTCAGCTCCCTGGAAGTGTTCAGCTCCTGGAAGTTCACTAAACCCTGTCCTCTTGGGTTTTTATGGAGTCTTCACTATGTAGGCATGATTGATTCAATCATCTAATGGCCATTGGTGATCAACTTGACCTTCTCCCCTTCCTTCCTTCCTCCCCTCCTCCCCTCCTTCCTTTCTGCCCATTCCCCTTCTCCCCTCTAATCATGCCTTTGTCCTTCTGGTGACCAGCCCCACCTGAATCTATCAGTCAGGAATATTGGCACACAAACAAGCAGCACTTTGGGGAACCCAAGGATATCAGGAGTTGTATGCCAGGAAATGGGAATGAAGATCAAATACATATTTCACAATATCACACCTGATTATCCTGATAATTCTTAGAAGTGTAATTTTGTTGATTAGTAACAGTATAATTTTAAAGCAGAAGACAATGGGAGACCTTTTGCTTGTTTCTCAGAAACTTATTTCTCCTACTGAGACCCTACTCATTTGGGGCCAGGATAATGTTATTTGAATTCTCATTCAGGAATCTTCAGAAAATTTATGTCTTATATATCTATATATAAGTGAATAAAATTCTTTTACATATAATGTTTCACTTCTATGCTTCTAGATTTCTTTTGAAAGAAATGTTTTGTACCATGAATATCAAAAGTTATTTTGGATGCTATTATAAAATGGTTATTGTTTTTTAAAAATATATTCATGATTGTTGCCACAATGTTTGCACATTGATCTTGTATTATGCAACCTCGCTAAAATTACTGCTTAGTTTAGCTTTCATGGCAGATTCCACAGGATTTTCTACATAGACAAATCATGTCTTCTATAATATAAATAAAGACAGTTTGTTATTCTTTTTCTTTTTCTTGTTTGATTATACTTGTTAGTGCCTGCAGTACAATGTTGAATAGAAGTTGTCACAGAGGACATCCTTGCCTTATTCCTGATCTTAGGGGGAAAGCAGTCAGTCTTTCACCTTTAAATGTTATGCTAGTTTTGGCTTTTTCATAGTTGTACTATAACAGTTTAAGGAAGTTCCCTTCTATTCAAAATTTGATGAGTTTTAATTAGGAGTGGATGTTAAATTTCTCAAATACTTTTTCTGCATCTACTGAGAGTACCATGTTATTTTTGGTTTTTTTATGTTTTATGTTTTTTTAAATAGAGATTGTGTCTCCCTGTGTTGCCCAGGCTGGTCTTGAACTCCTAATCTCAAGCGATCCTCCCCACTTGGCCTCCAAAAGTGCTGGGATTTTAGGCATGAGCCACCACACTCAGCTGATTTTTATTTTTTAATCTGTTGATCAGCACTGATTAATTCTCTACTTTAAACCCACCTTCCATTCCTGGTTAAAAAAAAAAACAAAACCTACTTGGTCATGATCTTATTGCCCTTATATATTGTTAAGTTCCATTTGGTAAAATTGCATTATGAATATTTGCATCTTTGTTCGTGAGGGACATTGGTCTGTAGTTTTCTGGTGATGTCTTTGTCTGATTTTGGTATCAGGGCTTCATAGAATGAGTCAGGAAATATACCTTCCTCTTCAGTTTTCTGGAAGAGTTGTATAGAATTAATTTGACCTTTAAATGTTAGGTAAAAGTTAATCATAACACTGTACACTGTTATGCCTCTTAGGGTTATTTTTAAACCAATGCTTTTTGCCTTCAGTATGATATATGGAAGATTTAAACACCATTCATTCTTTGTTTTTCCACAAAGGACCGTCCTCCTTCTAATATTTGGAAGAAAATAGATCAATCCAGGGACTATAAAAATGGCAATCAACTCAGGGAATATCAACTGGAAGGACTCAACTGGCTCTTGTTCAATTGGTACAATAGGTATGTAGTATATCTTAATAAAAAAAATTTATTTTTTTAATGTGTGCCAAAATGTGTCAAGTAAAATAGATACTGTTGTTGCTATATTGTTATTGTTTTGAAGTCTTCATTATTTAAAGTGAGGTTACCTCAGGAACATATGTAAATTGCAACTTAGGTTTCAACTACAATTGTTTTCTTTAAATGTATACCAATCAGAATAGAAGAAAGTTGGTATGTTGATTAATACTTAAATTTGAAATACCTTTCCAAGAGTCCTAAGAAACCTTCTGTGTTATATAATGCTTTTCAGCTTATCAACCCGTACTACTGTCTGCCAACAATCAGTTCGAGTTAGTGAGTTATGAGCAAGGTATACTTATAGGAATTAAAGCTCTATCATTTAATGTAAATTATCAAAGAAGTAGGTTGTCAGCAATAGATAAGGAATGGAATATAAAATATGGGAACCTGTAATTAATTACCCCATTTTTATTATCTGTTTTTCAAGGTTTTCAAAATGCCTTATAGAATATCTTACATTCTTTTTTGACATGAAAAGATAATTGCAAAAGAAGTAAAAAAATGTTACTGCGATTGAGAAAGCATAGTAGTTACATATGCAAAAGAGCAAATAAAGGCACTACTGTTAGTAAGAATAGCAAAATTTGATGATACTTTTATTCAGAATCATTTTTAATCATTTTTACTTTTCACGTGAGTCTTCTGAATTGTTATGCTTAGTGATGGTGAGTCATGGACTCAGTCGATGGAAAGAGGCCTGTTATCCCCACAGTGCTCTTTTCCCTGATTTATATTTTCCAAATATTAATCATCATTTTTCCCAAGAGAACCATCTAGGAAAAGTAGTTGACAAAACATTTTTTTAACTTGTCTTCCCTCATCAGTACCCTTTCCCATCTCCTATATTGCCTGTTTTAACTTTTCACCACTTTCTTGAAACCCTTTATCACAGTTCTGCCCCCTTCACTCTCTGTATATGACTGCTTCATAGAGAAACCCGGGGATGGTAGGTAAACTCATCCAAGTTCTTGCTTGCCTTCATATCCAAGCCTACAGATGTGTTAATATCTTCATCCACAGTTATTCTTACCACTGCCCTCATGTATCAGACATGCCATCTCATCTAGTCTTCTTAGAGCCTTAGAGCCTTACTTCAATCACTTATCCTTCTCTTTTATATCTCCAGGCCATCCCTGAAGACTATTGCCATCCCTTCAGTCTATGAACAAATTTGAGTTTAAAATAAACCTTCTCTTGGCTCTGCTTCTCTCTCTCTCTCTTTCTCTTTCTCTCTGTCTCCCCATTCCCCCCCACCACCACCACCACCACTGCCCCCACCCCAACTCCCCTGCATTCTCTGAAACTTTTAACTTTCCAAATCCATGAAATATTTTTCAGCCCTAATTTGCTCTCTGCTTCATTGGTTAGTAGTTGGTACTCCTTCCTTCTTTAAACATTCCCCTCACTCTGAACTCCAACAGTTTCCACAGTGTGACTCTCTCCTAGCTCTGCAGTACCTGTGACTATTCCTTTCAATAGTCTGCTGGTTCTTCCTCTGCCTGCCCTGTAGATATTGTGTTTGCCTGCCTTGGGTTCTGTCTTTAGCTCTCTTTTCATATTACATTTGTTCTCCCTAAGCCATATTCTATACTCCCCGTGCCTTCACGGGGAGTCCCATACTTTTAAATCTAAGGTCTTGAACTCTGGGCCCATATTTTTATTTGCCTCTTGCTACCTGAGTGTCTATCTCAATGATTCTTTAAACACAACAGATTAAAAATTAATATTATTTCCTGTTTCTTCCCCATCAAAATTGTTCTTCCTCTGTATTTTCCATCTTGGTTAATAACAACACAATTCATTTAGTCACCCAAACTGAAATCTGGCTTCACCCTACACCCCATACTTTGGTAACTAGGTCCATTTTATTCTAACCCATAATTAATTCTGGAAAGTTCTCTCCTCTTAGTTTCTCCTCTCTTAGACCAGGTGCCCACACTTTCTTCCCTGCACTTAATGGTACTTTCTCAGTTACTGTCCCAACTTCTAGTCACCTCAACCTCTAATATCCACAATAGCACCAGAGTAAACTTTAAAATACAAACCTAATCTTATTGGATTTGTTTGAAGAGTTCCAGTAATTTCCATTGCATAATAGAATGGCAAATGTCTTCTATTTATGACCCTACTTACCTCAATAATCTCTCTTCCTTTTACCCTCCCCTCCAAACCATAGAACAACTTTTGGTCCTTCAGTTCATCATGTTCTTTACACTTCTGCTCATTCACTGTGCTCTCTGGCAAAAATGCTACTCATTACTGACCTCCTTTCTGAAAGAGGTCTTCTCTCATCTCTTCTAGCCAGAGTTGAGGCTTACTCTTTTGAGCCTCCATAATAAACCATACTGATGATTCTTAATTGGCCACATATCATAATCATCTGTGAAGCTTATTTTTGAAATTATAGCTGATTTTATCCTATTCCATACTCATTGAATCAGAATGTATAGGGGAGGGGCCTGAGTATCTTTTTTTTCAAGCTTTGTAAGCTCTTCTGATGTGCAGCCACAATTGAAAACCAGTGCTTTATCTGTGCTTCAGTGATAGCACATTGCATGACTATTTATTTATTTGCATGTCAGCTTCTGTAATAGATACACACCCCTGAAAGGCAGAGAACATGTTTTATTTCTTTTGTATCCCATCTTCTCATACTGTCCTGAGATACAGAAGGTATTTATTAAATGATTCCTGAACAAATAATATATTGAGTTGGCCTTGCCCTTCCCTTTTCTTTTTTAAAAAATCAGACATCTAATGGGTGGTATCCTTATTTTGGAGCTATAGAAATCTTTGTGCCTTTGCAGGTTTATAATAAAATTGTAATCTTAAGCCTACCCTGCACTTAAGCAACTTTTACATTTTTATAAATGCAACTATTTTATTTGATCTTTGATTATTTTTGTATATTTATCTTTAAAGTATAGAAAAAAAACCCAATGTATGCATGGATAATGTATTTGTTTATTTCAGACGAAACTGCATCTTAGCAGATGAAATGGGTCTTGGCAAAACTATTCAATCAATTACATTCCTCTATGAAATCCTTCTGACTGGTATAAGAGGACCTTTCCTGATTATTGCTCCACTTTCTACTATTGCAAACTGGGAGAGAGAATTTCGTACGTGGACTGATATTAACGTTGTGGTTTATCATGGGAGCCTGATTAGCAGACAAATGATACAGCAATACGAGATGTACTTCAGGGATTCACAGGTGTGTTATTGATTATTTTGTTTGTTGTTTGAAAGGTCAGGGCTGAAAAAGATAAGCATTACCTACCAATTATTTTCAAATTTAGGATACATTTTAATTGCCTACCTAGATCTTAGTTTAAGTTCTTTTATTCATCATTTTTATTTTACAGTAAATTTGAGCAGCTGAAGAGAACAATGAGAAAAGTCAATTTAATGCTGTAGTTCACTATAATGAAGTATGCAGATTTAAACAATGCACGAGTTTCATTGTAATCCTTAATTTTTCAACTAGAATAATAATTTTACTAATTGTTTTTAAATACACATTAGATTTATTTTTAGGGTATTAACTGTCTCTGATCATTGTCCAGCTTTTTTCCCGTCATTTAAAAAATTTAAATCCTCACTAATACCACAGGCTTAAATGCCTGTTGAGGTGAGACCATAGGTTCTCTTTCATGTTCAATGGATTTTTATTTTAGACATTTTTTAAAATGTTGTTTGTTTTGCTTACCAAAACAGGTATACCTCCATCTTTTAGGAATGATGATTTCAGTACTCTAGTGGTTTGATGATGTTCCTCTCTCCATGTATTTTAGAGGAGCATTTTCTATTTTACTTTGACCACTTACTCTTTAGGAAGGGATTTCCTATCCCTTCTAAATACATAGATTGTAAAATAAAGAGATGACACCTTAAGAATTTTCTAGCAGAAAGTTAAGACTAGAAAAGATAGGCCAGGCATGGTGGCTCACACTTATAATCTTAACACTTTGGGAGGCCGAGGTGGGAGGATTGCTTGAGGCCAGGAGTTCCAGACCAGTCTGGGCAACATAGCAAGACCCCATCTCTACGAAAAAATTAAAATATTTTTTAAAAAAGAAAACATTCAAGTCATGGTTTTTGAATGTTCATATGAATCATTTTATTAAAATATTTCAATAAAATCAATAAATTCACAAAAAAACTGTACTTTTTAAATGGAAAAGGTTTATCTCCTGGCACCCTACACTAAAAGCACTTTAGTATTTTTTCTTTCCCTCATTCTGTTGTTCTAAAAGGATCATTATTATACATGGCCAGGTTATGTGATATGATAGAGGTTGAAGTAAGATAATGTGCATAGCCTTCTACTTTTGTCTTCCAATGATAACTGATTTTCTACCTGTTTGAGCCCAAGAGTTTGAGGCCGCAGTGAGCTGTGATCACACCACTGCACTGAAGCCTGGGTGACAGCAAGACCCTGTCCCTAAAAAAAGGAAAAGAATCAATCTATAATCTAATTAAGATATCATGGACTCCAAAGGTGCAAAGGTGACTATTTTCAATTGAAGAATAATTAATTATATAGATGCTTAATTTCGTATAAATGTAATTGTTTCAACCTTGGAAGTAGGAAGCAAAATGAGGTTACAGGAGCAAAATCAGTTAATTTATCCATTTTCAAACTCTTGGGCTTAAGTGATCCTCCCAAGTAGCTGAGATTGCAGGAGTGCATTTCCACACCTGGCTAATTATTTTATTTTTTGTGAAGATAGGGTCTCAATTTGTTGCCCAGGCTGGTCTCGAACTCATGTAATCCTCCCACCTCAGCCTCCCAAAGTGCTGGGATTACAGGCAGGAGCCACTGCACCTGGTCTAGTGTTTCATTATTCTTACTCGTACATTTGTAGAATTTTAGAGCTGTATGTTGTCATAAAAATGATTTAATTTGACATTCTCATTTTTTATAGAAAGCACAACTAATATCTTGAGACTTACAGAGATTTTTAACAAAGTTACAATTTTAATATATGTGTCACATGAGTTTGGCATAAATATGATAGCCAAAAACCTGGAAGATTCTTGATATGTAATAAACTGAATTGTATATATTAAATATTGTATTTTTATGATAAATGTTACAAATTCTAGATATATATTACCTAAAGAGGTTTTAAATTTCAAAAGATAAAGATGTCTCCTATAATGAAATAAATAGATCTGCACTTCAAATATAGAAATGACTTTTAGAATTAACTCTTTTAAATATATTTTCATATAAATTAAGTGAATATTTAACTTCTTTTTTTTTTACATTATCGAATAGCTTGAAATAACAGTAGTACTAAAATCATGCTAAAATTTTTCTAAATTGCCCTGGGAAAAGTAATGGAAGTGATAAACTAATAACCACAAACATTTATCAAGTATTTAACATGTGCCAGGCATTATGCTAAACAGTTTACATATATTATTTCACTTAATCTTTGTAATATCAACCTTGTAAAATAGATAGTATTATCTCCATTTTACCCATGAGAAAACTGAGGCTAAAGAAGTTGCATAGATTGCCCCAAAATCACAGTGTAAAACCAGGATTAATAAACTCAAATCAATCAGATTCAAGAGCCCTTGTTATTAAACACTGTGATATCAACTTAACTGAATATATTATATCCCAGGTTTTTAGAGCTGTATAAATGCCAGAGATTTATAATTTATACCTATTTTAATAATATTCTACTGCAGCTATTATTCAACTTAATGGCCAGTATACACAATTAATATTAACTGACCTAAAATTAATTAGGTTAATATTAATTAAAATCTAAGAACACCCAACTGTTCTTATCCCTTCTTTTCACTTAATACCCAATAGCTTATGTTTTCAACCCTGTTTAAACACTCTCTTCACTTAGATTCCAAGACTTCATCCTGTCCTACATCACCACTTATTGTTTCTCAAGCCCCCTTTATTGGTTCCTTCTTATCTTCCCTATATCTAAACTTTGGGGTAACCCAGAGCTCAGTCTTCAGACTCTTTTGTGTCTGCACTCATTATCTCACATATTTGATTCATACACATAACTTTGAATACCATCTGTACTGCTGAAATTCCTAAGCCTGTATCACCAAGTGTAAACTCTTTCCTAAATTCCAGAGTCATATCCAAATGCCTTCTTAACAACTCCACATGGATATGTCTAATAGATGTCTCAAAATTAACACATACAAAATCAAAATCCAAAACTACTTCTTTTTAGTAAATAACAACATGAACTTCCAGTTGTTCAAGCTAAAATTTTTAGAGGTAAATTTGAGGCCCTCCTCTATCTCACTCCATACTTATCCATTGGGAAATCCTGTTGGCTCTACTTTCAAAATGTATCTAGAACTGACCACTTCTCATGAACTCCAATGAAGATTTCTTGCTTGCATTACTATGGCAGCTTTTTAACTGTTCTCCATGATCCTGTCCTTGGCCTCTCCAGACAGGTTTCATCACAACTGCCAAAGGGACTTTTTAAAAATTTATGTCAAATCAGGACACTTCTTACAAATCCCTTCAATAGTGTCTTGCTCAGAGCCAAAATCTGTTATCACAGTTTTCAAGTCCCGCAGTCGGCTGCATCCCCTCCCCAACTCACTGGGTTTCAAACACTCTGGCTTTCTTGCTGTTATCTGAATGCTGCCAAAGATACTCTTACCTTAGGGCCTTCATACTTACTACTACTTTTACCAAGAATGCTTTCTTTTATAGATCTCTAGGTATCAACATGACTTCCTCCCTCATCTTTAGATCTTTCCTCAGATACCACATCGCAATAATGGTCTCCCAACCACTCTATACAAAAACTGCAGTTGTCACCTCCAACCTTATACTTCTTATCCCACATCCTTGTTTTATTTTATTCCACAGCCCTTATCTCTAACTTACTTTTTAAAAAATTATTTTCTTAATAACTATGTCCTGCATTTGATTCAGTAGAATATAAGTTCTAATTGGATAATTATTTTTATCTGTTTTGTTTACTGCTATATCTCCAGCAACTAGAACAGGGTCTAGCACATAGATACTCAATATCTGCTGAATAAAGTATTTGGATGGCTAATTATTCACTATTTATTTGCTATTATATTTGTGAACTCATTGGTGTAAGTAATAAGAACTAATACTGAAATCTCATTGGCCAGATTTTATCATGATTATTTCTTGCCCAAAATTATTATAATTCTTAAAAATTATCATACAACATTTTACCAAGAAATACTTATTAGGATACAATTATGAATAATATAATTATGTTGGCATAATGTTTAACAAGATTATTGAACACGGCAATATAATACAGTTTCAATGATAAAAGTTTTCATTGTAAGGGAGTGTCTGCATATGTAAAAATTTCATTAGAAATGTTTTATAACAGATGTTATCTGATGCCACTTGACAGGAATAAAAAATATGCAATTAAAATATTCCAGCAAATAATTATATTTGATCATTTCTAGGGGCGTATCATTCGAGGAGCTTACAGATTCCAAGCCATCATCACCACTTTTGAAATGATTCTTGGAGGCTGTGGAGAGCTTAATGCAATTGAATGGCGATGTGTGATTATTGATGAAGCACATAGGTTAAAAAATAAAAATTGTAAACTCTTAGAGGGCCTGAAACTCATGAATCTGGTAAGTAACTTAATATTATCATTATGACAATTGAGTTTATTAGATGTATAGTGAAAGGTTATAGAGTTAATGCTAAAAATTTTTCTTTTTAATTTTAGAGTGTAGTACATCTGAATCTTATCTGTGATAATTGAGATTTTTTGGGGGGCCTTAATTTGTAAGAAAAAAAATTCTGTTTCCTACGACTTCAAATTTTTTAGCTCTTTCCTTCAAAAAGCATTAGTAATTAATTTTTAAAATGAGACCTCTATAGAGTATGTACTATTTAAAAGAAAATAAGACCGTAAGTTTTTGTTTTGTTTGTTTGTTTGTTTAAGATGGAGTTTCTCTCTTGCTGCCCAGGCTGGAGTGCAGTGGTGCGGTCTCCACTCACTGCAACCTCCACCTCCCAGGTTCAAGCGATTCTCCTGCCTCAGCCTCCCAAGCAGCTGGGATTACAGGCATGTGCCACCATGCCCAGCTAATTTTGTATTTTTAGTAGAGATGGGGTTTCTCCATGTTGGTCAGGCTGGTCTCGAACTCCCGACCTCAGGTTATCCACCCGCCTCAGCCTCCAAAAGTGCTGGGATTACAGGCGTGAGCCTGTAATTTTTTGTATTTTTAGTAGACTAAGACCATAAGTTTTAAGCCATGAATTACTTAATAAAAAGCCCCTCTACCAAAGTTATATTATTCAGATCATTTATGGTAAAAAGTCCTACACACTTCTACATGTTTAACATATGTTGGTTATAATTAATAGTGGGATTTCTTATAGTCATCTTTTTGTTAGTGTGTTTGCTTCTTTCAAATGAAAGCATTTTTTAAACATTTTGATTTTTAATTAAGATCACATAATTATTACATGAGCACTTGAACAAATAATTCAAATACAAAGAACCACATTCTGTAAAAACTTAAAGTTTTCCTTTTTACTCCCTGTCCATCTATGCCACACACCCAGTTCAACACCTCATTCCAGTATGGTTTCCTGTTTATCTTTCTGGGCCATTTGCTGCCATATACATAATGTGCAGATTCGCAGATACATATACAAATATTTAGCATGGGAATTTAAAGGTTTTGTCAAATAAAATTTTAAATAATTTATACTACCATTAAAAATATTCTATGTTTATTTTCTTCTTTTACTATTCTGTTTAATTTTTAAGGAATTGTAGTTTCAAAGCATATTTCTTTTTTTTTTTTTTTTTTGAGACTGAGTCTCACTCTGTTGCCCAGGCTGGAGTGCAGTGGCATGATCTCAGCTCACTGCAAGCTCTGCCTCCCGGGTTCACGCCATTCTCCTGCCTCAGCCTCCTGAGTAGCTGGGACTATAGGTGCCCACCACCACGCCCGGCTAATTTTTTGTATTTTTAGTAGAGATGGGGTTTCTCCGTGTTACCCAGGATGGTCTTGATCTCCGACCTCGTGATCTGCCTGCCTCGGCCTCCCAAAGTACTGGGATTGCAGGCATGAGCCACCGCGCCCGGCCTCAAAGCATATTTCAATTAGACCTTTACGTTCTTGGATTGTAACCTCAGTGATTTGATAATTCATTCATGTTTAAAGAGTTAAATGATGATCATCCAAATTATAAATGATGAGCACTCTTTGGTATACAAATTACCATACCAAGAATGTTTGAGTACAAAAGAAAAAATGCCCTCTTTGTTCTTAGAATGTTTTCTTTTTTTCTAAAATTATTTAGAATTTTTAAAGGCACGAATAGCATACAAAGTGAAGCATTTCAGAATGATACAGAGTTTTTAAAAAGCGATTGGGAAAGTACATTCCTAAAGATTTGTGGGTAGAGATGTAGTTTTTTGAGTTAACTCTTGAAAATTATGAGTCTGGGTACCGTGGCTCACACCTGTAATCCCAGCACTTTGGGCTTACTTGAGGCCTGGAGCCCGAGACCAGCTGGGTAACATAGTAAGATCTCATCTCTACAAAAAAATATTTTTTTAATTAGCCAGGTGTTGTGGTGCATACCTGTAGTCCTAGCTACTCGGGAGTCTGAGGCAGGAGGATCCCTTAAGCCCAGGAGTTCAAGGTTACAGTGGCACCACTGTAATTTATTCTAATCATTGTAATTATGTTGTATGTGTAATGCTGAACTATGATGGCATCACTGCACTCCAGCCTGGGTGTCACAGCAAGACCTTGTCTCTAAACAAACAAACAAATATATATATATACACACACACACACATAACATATATATATGTATATATAGTCAGAAAAATATTTGCATATTGATCATTCGATAATCTAAGTCAGCTTTCATATAATTTTAGTACTGTGATGTTTGATGTGAATTGTTCTCACTTTTTGTAGGAACACAAGGTGCTTTTGACTGGCACCCCTCTCCAAAATACAGTTGAAGAACTATTTAGTCTTCTTCACTTTCTTGAACCCTTAAGGTTTCCTTCTGAATCAACATTTATGCAAGAATTTGGGGATCTGAAAACAGAGGAACAGGTATCCTATTGCTCTTTGTAAATACATTCATCGCATTTCTAATCATTGTAATTATTTTGTATGTGTAATTAAATGCTCACTTATGTTATATGTCTTTTTATCATTTTTTATTCAGGTACAGAAACTTCAGGCTATCCTGAAACCAATGATGTTGAGACGATTAAAAGAAGATGTGGAAAAGAAGTTGGCACCTAAAGAAGAAACCATCATTGAAGTAGAACTTACTAATATTCAAAAGAAATACTACCGGGCTATCTTGGAAAAGAACTTTTCTTTTTTATCCAAAGGAGCAGGACAAACTAATGTACCTAACTTGGTCAATACCATGATGGAGCTCAGGAAATGTTGTAATCATCCATATCTTATAAAAGGTAGCTAAAAAAGATTACAACAAATATGTTTTTTCTTGCAACAAATACTAATGAATAAATAAACAGAACACACTACAGCTGTAGTGGCTGTTATGACTCTCCACTGTGATATTCTAAGGAATTACAAGTGTTACAGAATCAGAGGCAATGTGAACTGCTTTGTTACAGTGACTGATGTTAACACACCAGGTTATGACAGCAGCAGTTTGTTCAGTATAATTTGGACTAGAATTTGTCCTCTTGTTTAATCCTCCTCATAGGCAAAGACAGCAAAGCCCATTTTTGGGGCTTCTGCATTGCCATTTTTTTCCTGGTTTCCTTCCAGTCAAGATACATCAGTTAGTGTTTCAATTCTTGTGCTGTAATAATGTTACTTTTTAAGATCTTATCAGGTTCTTTCCCAGTGTTCTCTCTGTACAATGTTTGGGTTTTTCACTTATTCTTGGGAATATACGCCTCTCTACTCACTTTATTCAAGACAACTGAAGTCTCTTGTAGTTACAGTACTCTCTTATGGCTAGACAGGCTGAGGAAAGGAATACAGAGAGCCTCTTTAATTCTGATTTGGATTATCCGAAGGAAGTATGCATCAAGCACCTGTAACATGGCTTTCATTTTAATTTATTCTCTTCTTTCTTTCTTTTTCTGTGTTTTTTTGTTGTTGTTGTTTGTTTTTGTTTTTGTTTTAAGATACAGTGTCATTCTATCACCCAGGCTGGAGTACAGAGGTGTGTTCATAGCTCACAGTAGCCTCAAGCTCCTGGAAACTGACCCTTCTGCCTCAGCCTCCTTAGTAACTAGAACTAGGCATATGCACCACCATACCCAGCTGATTTCTTTTTTTTTTCTTTTTGGTAGAGATGGGGTCTTGTTATATTGCTCAGGCTGGTCTCAAACTCCTGGCCTCAGGAAATCCTTCTGCCTTGGCCTCCCAAAGTGCTGAAATTACAGGCACGAGCCACTGCACCTAGCCTTAATTTTTTCTTGTTTCCTTGTTTTGATGGCTAACAAGATGCCCATAGACACATCCAGATCAACTATGATCATCCTTCAGTGATGACCACTGTTATGATTGCTGTTTAAATATTAGATATTTAAAAATATATGTGTTTACTCAACTGAGTTAGGACCACAGTTTTATTTTTTCCCTAATAACATTCATTAAACATTTGGCAAACATAAATTTATAAAAGGCATTATGCCAGGTATCTGAGGAGACAAAAAGATGTTTAAGACCTTGTCTGTGTCCTCAATGGAATTACAGTCTGGTATTGGTGGAGGTTCAGCAACAAGCTTAAATAATTCTAATAAAAGCAATGTACATGCCATTAGAAAATTATGTTACAGAAGCACACAGGAGCACTAATTGTGATTAAAAGGAAAGCAATTGGGAATTTCCTGCATTTGCACATTGCTGTTATCTTCTCCTATTTCTTTGACAGGTGCTGAGGAGAAAATACTTGGAGAATTTAGAGATACTTACAATCCAGCTGCTTCTGATTTTCATCTTCAAGCAATGATCCAGTCTGCTGGTAAATTGGTCCTTATTGATAAATTGCTTCCCAAAATGAAAGCCGGAGGTCATAAAGTGCTCATCTTCTCTCAAATGGTTCGTTGCCTTGACATTCTGGAGGACTATCTCATACATAAAAGGTAAAGCATACTGAATTTACTGTGAATTATGCTAAGTATATGCTATTAAGATTTGTGCAGCACTGTAATGTAAATGAACTTTACTCATATCTTTCTCTTTGCTAGATTAGAATAATGCATTCAAATTTATAAGTAAAGATTGTTTAGGATTATGTGTTATATTTTCCTAACCTGCATATGTTGCAATATTAGATGTGCCTGAGGAGTCCAATTAAGAAAAGCTTGCAAATAAATATTTGTTTACCCAGGAATGGGTTTAAAAATGTACATTTTACTTGATTAATAAACCTTGTGGATGAAACTTTAAATAGATATATATTTACAACAGTCATCTTCAAAATTGAAAAAAGTGATTCAAGAACTTTGGATCTATTTCATTGTTATAATTAGAGCCTTAAGTTGTGGGACTTTTATTCTTATTATATACTATATAAAAT
Organism: Homo sapiens; assembly: GCF_000001405.40. Classification (NCBI taxonomy): domain Eukaryota; kingdom Metazoa; phylum Chordata; class Mammalia; order Primates; family Hominidae; genus Homo; species Homo sapiens. The sequence continues at coordinate 53,247,941 of NC_000016.10, forward strand.
TTGTTCATGCTTTAATTTTTTCTGATTTGTTTCAATGTGGGTTTTTTGTTTTGTTTTGTTTATTGGTACATCACAATAAGATAGTGTTAAATATTGTCTAATCAGGCCGGGCGCGGTGGCTCACGTCTGTAATCCCAGCACTTTGGGAGCCTGAGGCAGGCGGATCATGAGGTCAGGAGATCAAGACCATCGTGGCTTACACGGTGAAACCCACGTCTCTACTAAAAAAAAAAAAAATACAAAAAATCAGCCGGGCATGATGGCGGGCACCTGTAGTCCCAGCTATTCGGGAGGCTGAGGCGGGAGAATGGCGTGAACCTGGGAGGCAGAGCTTGCAGTGAGCCGAGATCGTGCCTCTGCACTCCAGCCTGGGCGACAGAGCGAAACTCTGTCTCAAAAAAAAAAAAAAAATTGTCTAATCAGTATTTAGGCTATAATAGGCTAATTATCGTAGGATATTTTATCAGACCATTAGGATTCCATCTGATAGTAACATATTAATGTAAAAGAGAATCAGAAATTTCAGCTATAGATTTTTTATTTTATTTTTTTTTGTTTGTTTTTGCTTTGTTGGTTTTTTTTTTTGTTTTTTTTTTTTTTTTGAAGACAGGGTCTCACTGTGTTGCCCAGGGTGTTGTGCAGTGGTGTGATCATAGCTCATTGCAACCTCGAACTCCTGAGCTCAAGCAATCCTCCCACCTCAGCCTCCCAGGAAGCTGGGACTACAAGCATGCACTACCACACCCAGCTAATTTATTTTGGGTAGAGACAGGGTCTCACTGTGTTGCCCAAGCCGATCTCAAACTCCTGGGCTCAAGCAGTTCTTCCACCTCAGCCTCCCAAAGTGCTAGGATTATAGGCATGAGCCACTGCACCTGGCTTGCAGATTTTAATTCAATAGATTTTAACCCATATAGATAAGTAAAGGTCTATACTGATTTATATTATTAGAGATTATGTAGTTCATTTTTATTTTTCATTTTTATTTCTAGTTCCATTTTTATTGTCAATGTCCTACTCTTTAGCCTCATTTTAAAATGTATAGTATTCTCAATTTTATATCATGTGATACGAACATTAAGTTGCACTGTTCCCAAAAATAGTAATTCTTATATTTTTTTAATCTTCTTACGTGGAGAACTTCATACAGATAAAATTACTTATCAATTTCTGTTGTAATAAATTTCATGGAAAATTCAGAGTTTCTTTATTGTCATAACAAACATTATTAGAAGTCTCCATTTTGCAGGTACCAGAGATAACCGCGGAGAGACTGCTAAAACTCTAGTAAATCATATGTAGAAGTGTGTCAGATGTCATATGTATACCACTTAGAGTCCAAGCTCCTAAATTTTTATGTATTTTATTTTTATTTGATGTCTTGCAGTTTTTGAGTTTTGTATATGTTAAATGGGGAAGGATAAAGGAAGTTAAAAGATAATCACTTTGCAGTAATGACTATAAAGAATTCAACAGCATTCCAGTGTATTCTTAATAGATTGCAATATAGAAGCAAGTATGTCAGTCGAGAGTAACATGGATTAAGGACAAAAGAAACATTCATAGCCTTCTTGTATAAAGTTTTTGTGAAAGTATTTCTTGCAAAAAAGTAATATATTATGATGAGATCAGCAAAGCAGTTTTTATAGACTGCCTTTTGTTATTCTAACTTCTGAAATAAAATTTATTGTAGTGTTCTTTTACCTATACATCTGGGAATTCAGAGGTTTTGTATCTTTATATTAGTTTTTGTTTTCTCCTTAACACCAACACCAAAAAGTATAAAGTCACAGAAACTACTTGAGATGATATTGCTTCTTAATTTTAGAGAAAACATAATGCTGCAGGAAAACTGACTTTACATTTGATAGAATATGTCTTCAGTTTTATTATACTTATTTATGTAAATTTATTCCATTTCATTCCATAGATACTTATATGAGCGAATTGATGGCAGAGTCAGAGGAAATCTTCGGCAAGCTGCTATAGATAGATTTAGTAAACCTGATTCAGATAGATTTGTTTTTCTCCTGTGTACCCGAGCTGGTGGGTTGGGCATCAACTTAACTGCAGCTGATACATGTATAATTTTTGATTCTGATTGGAATCCTCAGAATGATCTTCAGGTAAATAATTTCCTTGGCTAACAAAAAATGCATTTTTTAAAAAAGTAAAATTGTGTAACTTTTTGGTAATCCACATCTTTTATTTTTATCTGGACAAACTAATGTATGTTTCTCTATGAAATATCTGTGCCAAATAAAATAGGTGAAGTTATTTTAATTGTTATGATAAAAACTATAATGACAAAAATTTTTACTTTTTTATATGTCTCACTAACTTATATGTCTTACTAGCTTATAAAAAATTATACCTAATTGAGTACAGTACTTTTTGTTTGTTTATTTAGATATGAGGTCTCACTATGTTGCCCAGGCTGGTCTTGAACCCCAGGACTCAAGCATTCCTCCCATCTTGGCCTCCAAAAGTGCTGGGTTTACAGGCACGCATCATCACGCCTGGCCTGATATTTTTATAGTTTAAAGAATATTATGTAAACTTGAGAGAGACCTAAGCTTTAAGAATAATTTATTTGTAATAAAATTAAAATTTCAGAATTTTAATCCTTAAAAATAAGTACTCGCTTATTCTGATTTTATCTTGTAATCATAATATAGTATGCTTTTTTAATAAAATAGAAAATGAAGGCACACATATAAGTAAGACTATACTTGGACTACATAGAAATATAGGAATATTAATTACAGTGATCAAAGAGAGTCTAAATTTGCAGAAGGATATGAGAAGAGAACAAAATATAAGAGAAATTATTTTATTATTCATCATAGTCTTAATTGCATTGCAATTCATATTAGTACTTTTTTTTTTATAAAACTAGTCAAGTGTAGTCGTGAGAAGGGGAAAAGTAGAGTTCAATCTGTAGCTCTGAACAACCCATTAAATAACTACCTTCAGACCAGCCATATTATATTTTTAAACAAGCATAAAAACAAATATAATAAATGGTTATTGAGAATATACCTAGCTTAAAACATATTTTAAATTGCTTATTTATGTAACTATATGTAATCTACTTTAAAATATCAAAAGATTATCCAAAATTAATAAGCCAGAGACCACCAACTCTTTCTGTGGAAGGCTCAATTAGTAAATATTTCAAGCTTTGTGTGCCACATAAGATCTCTGTCACACATTCTTGTTTGTTTGTCATAATCCTTTAAAAAGGTAAAAAAGCCATTCTTAGTTGGCAAGCCAGATTTGGTCCACAGGCTGTAGTTTCCCAATTCCTACATTAAACCCAAATCATAATTGTTTGCCTTTGAAATGCATGTTTGTACTTATAAGTGCCCATAGTGGATGTTCTAAAAGTTAATTTAAAATAATAAAGTCACTTTATAGAACCTGAAGAGAAAGTATCCTGAATCTCCCAATTTCTCCCTCTCACTTGTTTTTTCCTATTTGACTGCTAATGTAGATCCAGTTGTTACAGACTAAGATAATATTTGGCCTCTTGTACTTCCCCTACACCTAGAGCAAAGTTGCCCATTTACAGTCCTGGGTTCCAAATGGCACAAAATGGATGTGGATAGAATAAAAGTGTCAATGAAGGGCAGAACATTAGTGCCCCCTATATATTTTAAAGCCACATTTTATGATTTAATTTGTCTGAAGATAATGGAAAGGTGATTAATAATTTGGGAGAAAAACTAGATTCTGTAGAATATTTGGAGTCAAGATTTATCATACAAAGTTTAAGGTTAGTCAGAACTCAAGATAAAATATGAAGCCCTTATGTGATCTCTGATGTCTCCACTTTTAACATGTATGCATATTAATTAGTTTGTCCTTCATTTAAATAAAATTTAGATATCCAGAGTTATTTACCTTGGGTGGTTTTTTTTCCCCCAAAAAATGACCCAGCTTAGAAAGAAATCATAGATGACACAAACAAGTGGAAATACATCCCATGTTCATGGATGGGAAGACTTAATATTGTGAAAATGCCCATACTGCCAAAAGCAATCTACAAATTCAATGCAATCCCCATCAAAATACCACCATCATTCTTCATAGATTTAGAAAATACAATTCTAAAATTCATATAGAACCAAAAAAGAGCCCGCATAGCCAAAGCAAGACTAAGCCAAAAGAACAAATCTGAAGGCATCACACTACCTGACTTCAAACTATACTGTAAGGCCATAGTCATCAAAACAGCATGGTACTGGTATAAAAATAGACACATAGACCAATGGAACAGAATAGAGAACCCAGAAATAAACCCACGTACTTACAGCCAACTGATCTTTGACAAAACAAACAAAAACATAAAGTGGGGAAAGGACACGCTATTCAACAAATGGTGCTGGGATAATTGGCAAGCCACATGTTAGAGAATGAAACTGGATCCTCTTCTCTCATCTTATACAAAAATCAACTCAAGATGCATTAAGGTCTTAAACCTAAGACCTGAAACTATAAAAATTCTGGAAAATAACATTGGAGAAACCCTTCTAGACATTGGCTTAGGCAAAGATTTCATGACTAAGGACCCAAAAGCAATTGCAGTAAAAACAAAGATAAATAGCTGGGACTTAATTAAACTAAAGAGCTTTTGCATGGCAAAAACAGACAGCAGAGTAAACAGACAACCCACAGAGTGGGAGAAAATCTTCACAATCTGTACTTCTGACCAAGTGCTAATATCCAGAATCTACACAACAAACTCAAATCAGAAAAAAAAAAAAAAACAGTTCCATCAAAAAGTGGGCTAAGGACATGAATAGACAATTATCAAAAGAAGATATACAAATGGCTGACAAACATGTGAAAAGATGGTCAACATCACTAATGATCAGGGAAATGCAAATCAAAACCACATTGAAATACCACTTTACTCCTGCAAGAATGGCCATAATCAAAAAATCGAAAAACAGAAGATGTTGGCGTGGGTGCAGTGAACAGGGAACACGTCTACACTTCTGGTGGGAATATAAACTAGTACAGCCACTATGGAAAACAGTATGGAGATTCCTTAAAGAACAAAAAGTAGAACTACTGTTTGATCCAGCAATCTCACTACTGGGTATCTACTAAAAGGAAAATAAGTCATTATTCGAAAAAGATACTTGGACACACATGTTTATAGTGGCACAATTCACAATAGCAAAATTGTGGAACCAACCCAAATGCCCATCAATCAATGAGTGGATAAAGAAACTGTGGTGGGTATATGTGCGTGTGTGGTGTGTATATATGTGTGTGTATATATATATATATATGATAGGATACTGCACAGCCATAAAAAACAATGAATTAACAGCATTTGCAGTGACCTGGATGATATTGGAGACTATTATTATAAGTGAAGTAACTCAGGAATGGAAAACCAAACATCGTGTGTTCTCACTCATAAGTGGGAACTAAGCTGTGAGGACACAAAGGCATAAGAATGGTATGATGGACTTTGGGGACTTGGGGAGAAGAGTGGGAGGTGGGCAAGGGATAAAATACTGCAAATATAGTGCAGTGTATACTGCTTAGGTGATGGTTGCACCAAAATCTCACAAATTACTACTAAAGAACTTATGTAACCAAATACCACCTGTACCCCAATAACTTATGGAAAAAAAGTACCCAGCTTAAATAAAATATATTGAAAAGATTGTTGATAATGTAATTGAAAAAAATTTAGAAATTTAGCGTTAGACTTTAAAACTTGAGTGGTAGCTCACACCTGTAATCCCAGTACTTGGAGAGGCCAAAGTGGTAGGATCTCTTGAGCCCAGGAGTTCGATTGGGCAACATAGCAAGTCCCCATGTCTAAAAAAAACAACAAAAAACTTGAGTTGCCATCAACTATAAAATCTGTTCATAGGTTTTGTGTCCCTGCCTAAAAGTATACTGACTACACTTCCGTTAAAACATAATAAGGCAAGGCGCAGTGGCTCATGCCTGTAATCCCAGCACTTTGGGAGGTTGGGGCGGGTGGATCACTTGAGGTCAGGAGTTCGAGACCAGCCTGGCCAACATGGTGAAACCCCATCTCTACTAAAAATACAAAAATTAGTCAGATGTGGTGGCAGGTGCTTGTAATCCCAGCTACTCAGGAGGCCGAGGCAGGAGAATCACTTGAACCCAGGAGGCGGAGGTTGCAGTGAGCCAAGATCGCACGACTGCACTCCAGCTGGGGTGACAGAGCAAGACTCCATCTCAAAAAACAAACAAAAAAAATAGTCCTTTGTGAATTTATATTCTTTGATATTTAAGCTTATAAACCTAAATTTTAACTTACTACTGATTGTGGGATTATTTCTCATTGTGGTAAGCTCTCCCTTAATTTCTAGAAAAAGGTTATATCTAATTCAATAAAAATGGTCTAAGAATTCTTGTATGTGTTTATATGCCATACATATAGTTTACTATTAAATGCCTTTTGAGAAACTAATTAAATATGTAACTTTTCATTTTTATAGGCCCAAGCTCGTTGCCACAGAATTGGTCAGAACAAAGCAGTTAAAGTCTACAGACTGGTAACTCGTAACTCATATGAGAGAGAGATGTTTGACCGAGCCAGTTTGAAACTGGGCCTAGATAAAGCTGTGTTACAGAGCATGAGTGGAAGAGAAAGTAATGTTGGTGGTGTATGTATAGTTTCTTTTTCACTTGAGATTTTTGTGTGTTTTTGCATTTGATTTTACCTCCAATAGTGTGTCATTTAGTTTTGGTCCATGCAGAATACTAAACACATTTGTTTTCTGCAGGGGAACATTTTCAGGACAGAGCTATGTTTAGTTAATACTTTTGAATCCTTTTCTTTCTGTGTAGCTCCAGAGCTTATGAATTCTAAATGTATTTTCAAGATAGAAATTCTTTGCTCTCTTTTTAGGACATTTGTATGATGGCATAGCAAAATAGAATTTGTGTTTATATAAACAATTTTCAAATTCTTTTTTTAGTGTCAATCTACTAGCATTGGCTTTGTCTTGTTATAAATGATGACATTTTGGCTTTTTTTTCGCTCAAGGTTCTTGCCTAATATCTATCGGTAATAGGATCCTAGTACTGGGCTGGGCACATGGCTCACACCTGTAATCTCAGCACTTTGGGACGCTGAGGTAGGAGGATTGCTTGAGCCTAGGAGTTTGAGACAAGCCTGGGCAACATGGCAAGACCCTGTCTCTATAAAAAATAAAAATTAGCTGGGCATAATGGTGCATGCCTGTGGTCCACACCACTTGGGAAGTTGAGGCAGGAGACTCGCTTGAGTCCAGGAGGTCAAGGCTGCAGTGAGCTGTGTTTACACCACTGCACTCTAGCATGGATAACAGAGCAAGACCCTGTCTTAAAAAGAAAAAAAATAAAAAATAAAGAAAAGAACCTTGAAAGATGTTACCCAACCCTTAGGCCTTGTTTTAACCAAAGCCATTCTAGGCAGATGGGTAATTCTTATTTTAACAGAGCAAAGAAGAGTCAACAACTTCAATGTATTATTTCTGTGAATTCTCTCTTATGCGCATCCCAAACCCAAATGCAGTTTAAGCATGCCTCTTGTGTTCTTTGACATCCTTTAGGGATACTTTCTCACTTTATGAACTTTAAAAAAAACTATTTTTATGGAAGTTAATTTCTCCTTAGATTCAGCAGCTTTCCAAAAAGGAAATAGAAGATCTGCTTCGAAGAGGTGCTTATGGTGCTATTATGGAGGAAGAAGATGAAGGCTCTAAATTCTGCGAAGAGGATATCGATCAGATTTTACTACGTCGTACAAAAACTATTACAATTGAATCAGAAGGACGTGGGTCAACATTTGCCAAGGTAATAGTGGGTGCAATTTTATTAACATAGCAGTGATGTTCACATCCTAACTACTGAGAAAGTTTAATTATCTCTTATACCGAATGTTTAAACATACTGAATTAGCCAAGATGCAGTAGGTAATGTATTTTCCTTCATTTTTTTCTGATCCCTTATGTTAATTTCACATGAACTTTTCTGATCCTTGTGAAACAGAATAAATGTAATAACTAGAAATGGTTCTAAATGTTAGAGTAGAACATATGAAATCAAAGAAATTTAGAAACTAAACATCTGTATATACCAAAGGCAGAACAAAATGTAAGTAATGTAAGAGGTTAAATCAGCTTACATCAACTTTCATAATTTGAAGAACCTAAAGGAGAGAGAAAATTTCCTATTTCATTTTAAATACTTAAATCTGGCCGGGCGAGGTGGTTCACATCTGTAATCCCAGCACTTTGGGAGCCAAGGCGGGTGGATACGTGAGGTCAGGAGTATCTAAGTCTTAAGGGGTAAGATGAAATTTGTATTTTGGAAGGAAACATTAATAACTCTATACTCTGTTAGGCGATAATATTTGTAAAGTTTACTAATTGCCTTTATATTCCTTTTTTCTTTTCTTTTTTTTTTTTTTTTTTTTTTGAGACAGAGTCTCACTCCGTCACACAGGCTGGAGTACAGTGGCACGATCTCAGCTTACTACAACCTCCACCACCATGCCCGGCTAATTTTTGTAATTTTAGTAGAGACGGGGTTTCGCCATGTTAGCCAGTCTGGTCTCAAACTCCTTACCTCAGGTGATCCACCCGCCTCGGCCTCCCAAAGTGCTGAGATTACAGGCATGAGCCACCATGCCTGGCCATATTCCATTTTTCTTTCTCTCTCCTTTTTTTTTTTTTTCCAAATCAAGACATGATAAACTTACCTCTTCCATTCATCTGAATAGTTTATTATTGGAGTATTCTGTCTCACCTGCACTAATTGCAGAAAACTACATACAAGTTTTCTCTTTTCCACTGAACTTCCTTTCTACATTTCCCTTCTTCCCCATTCCCCTCTCTGCTTTCAATCCAGAAGTTTTTCTTTATCTTTATGGGGAATATTGTGGTATAGCAGGAAGTACAGGTGCTGTACCAAAGTAAGATACCAGCCTTCAAATAGAAACTCACTTGCATTCATTTAGCAGACTAATAAATTCTTGTGTCAGGTATTTTGCTAAATGCCAGGAATACTAAAATGAAAGGATTATAGTTGCTGAAAAAAAATAAAGTAGGAGATTATTAATTCTGTATATTCTGAATAAAGAAAGCCTTTGCAAAGAAAAGAACATTCAACCTGAGTCTTGAGGGAATTGCGAATTTCATTGTTTTACAAAGAGAAAGAAAAAGCCAGCTAAATGAGTCATATGTTGCTAAACTACAAGGAATATTTCAGGAATGTGACATAGGCATGTATGGATACAGGAGATGAATTACATGGAGATGAAACGGTGAAGGAGTTAGGGAAGTTGAACCCAAATTGTGAAGGGCTTTATGTGCCATTTTGAGGAATTTGAAATTGATCCTAAGGCAGTTAAGCTTTTAAAGTCCTTCAAGCAGAAATTGGACATAATGCAATCTGGTTTAGAAATTTAACTCTAGCAGCAGCATGGAGAACAAGTTGGAAAGGGGAAAGACTAGAAACAGGATTATTTAAGGGACTTGTGTATGAAATAATGATGGGTGAACCAGGGTCATGGAGACCTACTTGAATCAATAGGTGTAGATGACCAGTTAGAAATTTTGAGAAGGAAGAGTCAGAAATGACTTGAAGATTTTTTGCTTAAGTAGCTAGGAGGGTCATGGTTGTCTTTAAGATAGAGAAGGACATTTATATGGGGAAAAGAAAGTATTGGAGCTGTTGTATTTATGACATTTACAGGATCCAAATGGAGATGTCTAGGAGAGTTGCCTGGGACACAGATACAGATTTGGAAATTAGTAGAGAATAAATCAGAAAAAAAGTAGTTCCTTTTGTTTCCAAAAGGAACATTGCAGAAGTAAAGTATAAGACTGAGAACTAAAACTAGTCATGACTAAGTAGATGTACCCCGGCTCTAGTTTTTTTCCTGGGAAATCTTACTTAGTTTTGATTCCTTGGTTCTCTACTCTATGGACAGAAATATTTTTCCTCATATCTGAAATCTAATTAATATCAAAAGGTGGTCATGGTTACTGTCCTTGTTGATTAGGCCAAACATGGAGATACTGTCCTTAAAGTTGTTGTTTTGTTTTGTTTTTAATTAATGAAGGCATATACAAAGCATTTAATGAGCACATGTGATTCTTGGCTTCCTTATTTAACATGTTAATGATAATGATCATGGAAAGTCAGAAAAATAGGTTTTGAATTCTGATTCATAAGCTGAGTGACCTTGAACAATTAACCTCTTTGAGTCTTACTTTAAAGAGGAGGTCATAATAATCGTACTTGGCCTTTCCTACTTTACTATACAGTGCTATCTAACTTTTATTTTCCTTAGAGAACTCAAGTATACTCTAATGCTCTGAGAATTGAGAAATGCTTAAACATTTGAATATCTACTTTAAATCCTCACACCAGAGAGTAACTATCACATTTGAAAACTGATAAGGTACCACAATGCTGAGGAGAGTTGAGAGGTTGCTCTAGTTGTTTTATAATTTGTTCATTTCCCAAATAATTTGTTCATTCCCATAGTTGTATGGGAATGCTATTAGATACTGGACATTTGCCAAAATGGGATATGGTGTAAAGTTAGTAGTATTTTACACTTTTTCCTGCGACCCAAAGACTTCAGCTCTGCTCAACTGTTTTCAACAATCTGAAGAAATAAAATAATTCCATTCTTTGTTTCTTTGCATTATCAAATAGTATTTAATAAGGAGCTACATATATGGAACAGGGTCCTTATGAGACTATTCAGACTTAGTACATATACATCAAATAGATAGAACTCATTATTGGTAACTTCATTTTCAAGTGATGATATCCCCTAAAACTTGTTTTGAGAGATTTTTATAAGGGCAGCCAGGTGGGTCCTAGAAAAAGAAACGTTTCTAGTCTGATTTTTAAAAATTTGATAGAGAACAAAATACTTTGAATTGCTTAATTTACAAAGGAAAGAAAACCATCTAAATTGTGCTTCAGATGGATTGCTTATTTGTAAGGGCCTTTAGTTGGCACCTTCTGCCTTTCTGCCACTGTCTGTCATAGGAAGATGGATTTCGCAATTTAAAATCTTCTCTTGCAAATAATACAGAGATTTAATGGCGGAAGGAATGCATTTTAAGAAGAAAAATTTAGGGGGAACTAGGATATTAGGATTTAGTATTTGGAAGGAGTAGCATCTTATTTCTATAGGCATAATTGCTTGTCACAATCCTTGAGAATCATGTAAGCTATCTTGTAAATAGGTTATATATGTCAGTTAGCAAAAGCCTCTTGAATTGTTTAGAAATTTAAAATTGTTTTATTTGTAAATTAAATTTATCATTTGTCTTATAATGAATGTAACAAAGCTATTTAATTCTGAAATTTAATTTCTTCCAGGTAAATTTTTTACATTATCAATAGTTATATGATAGCAGAATAAAAATTATTATACACTGTAGCATATAATTTTTTTTTAGGTAAACAACCAAAAAGTAACACACTTTAAAATCTGATTGTGTCCTTTCAATTACTTCATGTTTAATCGTTCCTCATGGTTTTTTGCTTTTTGTTGTTGGGTTTTTGTTTTTTCTTTTTTGAGACAGATCTCACTCTGTCACTCAAGCTGGAGTGCAGTGGTGCAATCAACGATTCACTACAGCCTTGACTTCCTGGGCTCAAGTGATCCTCCTGCCGCAGCCTCCCATGTTGCTGGGACCACAGGCACATGCCGCCATGCCCAGTTAATTTTTTGATTTTTTAATAGAGATGGGAGTCTTACTTTGTTGCCCAGGCTGGTCTCAAATTCCTGAGCTCAAGAAGTCGTCCCACCTTACCCTCCCAAAGTGTTGGGATTATAGGCATGAGCCACTATGCCCAGCCTGCTTTTCATGTTAAATGTTCTCCAGTTCACGTAAGGCAAATACTCATTTACCAGATTGGTTAAATCTCAAGAGGCATGTATCACTGAAACTGTAGAACAGAATAAAACCCTATGAATGTCATTCAGTAAACTTCACTATTCCTGAAAATTGATATGTTTATAATAATGAAGATATTAAAGTATCATATATCCTCAGTTGTGAAAAATTTGTTCTGAAATAGTTAAGGAATTACTTGCACGTAGTTAGATGTCTGTTCCTCATACTCATTTATACCAGTTTGATGAATTGTTTTAACATACTTATTTTATACAGCTAATGATAGCTGTGTTGTTTTGTTTTATCAAACTAGTTAGTCTTTGTTCTTTCAAGTTGGATATGAAGGTCAGGACTGGTGGCACACGCCTCTAATTCTAACACTTCGGGAGGCCAAGGCAGGAAGATCACTTGAGGCTGGAAGTTCAAGACCAGCCTAGGCAACAAAGTGAAACTCCATCTCTACAAAAAAGTTAAAACTCAGCCAGGCAAGCTGGCATATGCTTGTTGTCCCAGCTACTTGGGAGGCTGAGGCAGGAGGATTGTTTGAGACCAAGAGCTAGAGGCTGCAATGAGCCATGATCATACAGCTGTACTCCAGTCTGGGCAACAGAGTGAGACCTTTTCTCAAAAAAAAAAAGTTGAATATGAGTTTTTATAATATGTGGTTTCTCGTTAAGAGTGTCTGATGCTATTTCCTGTTGTCATTGTAACAAATTATTACAAAGCCCATGAGGTTCATGGCTTAAGACAACACAAACTTTTTCTCTTATAGTTCTAGGTGTCAGAAGTCTAACATGAGTCTTACAGGGATAAAATCAAGGTGTCAGTAGGGCTGGTTCATTCTGGAAGCTTTAGGGGAGAATCTGTTTCTTATTTCTTCCACTTCCTAAGACTGCCTGCATTCCTTGGCTTGCGGCCACAGTACTCCCATCTCTGCTTCTGTCATGTCATATCCTTTTTCTCTTCTAGAGTCAAATCTCCCACTGCCTCACTTTTGTAAGAACATTTATAATTACATTTAGGGCCTACTTGGATAATACAAGGTATCTCTCTATTTCAAGGTCCTTAACTTAATCATATCTGCAAAGTCCCTTTTCCATATAAGACAAAACTCACAAGGTTCCAGGGATTAGGATGAGGTATCTTTGGGGACCATTATTCAGTTTATCACATTCATCAGTTCAAAGAAATACAAAATTAGTTTTTCAGTAGTTTTATATTAAAGCTATAGTTTAGAGAAAGCAAAAAAAAAAAAAAGGGAATTTAAATTCATTTCATTAAAACATTTGTTCCTGTCATTTCTGTTTAATAAATATGCGCAAAATGTACATTTTGAAACACAGTATTTAACATTTGCTTTATTTTATATAAGCATCTTAAAAGCCAAACCTCAAAAGAATACTAGATTGAATGAATGAGTACATTTATTACCTGGTAAGCAATAACATGAACAGAATCTGAAGTTCAGCAAGAAGCATTTAGCCTTTTAATTTTTGGTGTTTTAGACTTTTTTTTTTTTTTTTTTTTTTTTTTAGACAGGTTCTTGTTTTCTCGCCAGGCTGGAGTGCAGTGGTGCAATCATGGCCCACTGTAGCCTTGACCTCTCAACCTCCTGGGGTCAAGTGACCCACCCACCTCAGCCTCCCAAGTAGCTGGGACTACAGGTGTGCACCACCACCTCAGGCTAATTTTAAAAGAAATTATTACAGAGATGGGGTCTCACTATGTTGCCCAGGCTGGTCTTGAACTTGTGGGCTCAAGTAATCCTCCTGCCTTGGCCTCCCAGAGTTTTGGGATTTACAGACGTGAGCCACCATGCCTGCCTTGGATGTTTTCTAAAGTTTAAACTGCAAATACAGACAGTATTCAACAGTTATCAACTCATGCTAAACTTGTTTCATCACCACCTCCCACTTTTTCATACTGTTTCGAAGCAAATCCCAGATATAATCACCACCTTTACATGTTTCCATATGTATCATTAAAAATAAAGACTTTTAAAACATACTACAATACTATTACCACATTTAAAAATAAAATGAAACAATTCCTTGGTATTAATTATCTAGTGCTTAAACTGACAGTTATCTTGAATATCAAAAAATGGCTTGTTTGCTTTTAACAGTTTTATCTTTTTAATGTGGGATTTTTCTGGATCTTTTAAATTTTATCAAGACTTTTTCTTTAATTAAGATTTTTACCTTTTGTTTGTATCCCTGATAATTGGGCATTATCTTAAAACCATTTACCACTAGTCTCCTTTGAAAATCGTTTTATGTGACCATATTCTTCTATTTATTTTTATAAAAATTCACATATATTTTTCAGGCCCTTAACACATTGTGTATCTTCAATGCTTCTTTCATTTTTATAAAGCATTTTGATGACATTTTTTGATGAGGCCTATTTACAGTGATTTAAATTGTAAATAATGGTTATTAGAACACAGGTTAAAGAGTTGAAGTGTTATCTTTAGAGTTTCTTCCAACTAAAAGATTTTATAATTTCCACAGTATTTACGAAAATAAATCACTTGTATTTTCTTCTTTTGCTCCTCAATATTTTCTTAAATTTTTACAGTGGTTATGCAGTGTTTCTGTGGTAAGGTAGAGTTTCTTTTTTGTGTGTGTTTGGGAAAAGAGTTTTTAAAATGACAATGATTTATTTTCCTTTATTTCCCATATCCTGTGTTATATTTCCTTTAGGAGATATTACTATCTGAAAATGTGATGAAAATAAACTAGAAATATACCAGAAAATTAACTCTGTAGTGCAGGCAGGTTTGGAAATTCTTGTTCTCTAACCTAATTTCTTAATGGTCTTGTAATGTTTTTAGAAACCATACCCCCATTCTCTGTAGCCTCCCCACCAAAAAGATTCAGTCCTTACCAAAAGTATCAGAGTTAACCAACAGTAATAACTTATTTAATTCTGCTCCTAAACTTCAGCCTGTGTTTGCATTAAGCCTTTGCCTTAAGCAGATGCAGTGCTGTGTTTCAGACCACTGAATTTGAAACACCCTTTGATGTATGAGTATGCAGAATTCAAATTCTATCCATAGTAAATGTGAGGAGATAATGTTTTAAGTGTACTTTGATAGATTTTTCCTCTAAAACTGCCATTATATATTTCAGGCGAGTTTTGTGGCATCTGGAAACCGGACAGATATTTCTTTAGATGATCCCAACTTCTGGCAAAAATGGGCTAAAAAGGCAGAAATAGATATAGAGGCCATCAGTGGCAGAGTAAGTATTTTTATCCCTCTAAAATAAACTTGCTTTTGGGATACTTTGGCAATAGTATTGTAATATTTTAAGGTGTTCAATTATGCAGTTACTAAAACAAATTTCTAGATATATAAATTGAAGTAGGGTAGCAGAATGAACTGAGTGAGGTTCTCCTCCAATTTAATACATCTAATATCTCCCATGATGGGTTATCCCTACAGGGAAGGTTTAACTTTTGGATATAATTTACATTCTTAAAATTATAATATGTTTTTTAAATTTTTTAATGTCTTCAAATCATGGGTTACATTTATTTTCTCTTTAATGTTTTCTTAGTGTCAGAACCCATTAATGATAATCTAGTAAAATGTAAATAAGAGGAGAAAAAAAGCAGTCAAGAAAGTGGCATTTTTTAAACTGCTTCTCTTATGACTTCCCTTGAGCTAAGAAAAGGTCAAAATGCTAAAATTCACTTTATGGAACTGATAATAATAGCATAACTGCTTATTTACTAAGACACACTTGTCTAATAATTGTATAGAAATCAGTGTTTTTCAGTCTTACCAATTATCAAAATAACAGCTAGATGATTAAAGGAATTTTATATTAAGCACTCATGCATTGGATCTTTGTTGATAGCCTTTTAAAATGTAAAGCTTTACAATTAGGAGTAACACCACTACCATCCATAAGTATTATTGTTGAATGCATTTTGGAAATATATGTAATTCTGTGTGAAACAGGTAAACGTGAAAAGGTAATTATAAAAATATTATTGGCATATGGCATGTTCATATACCTAAACAAGTAGTGGGGTCTGCAAAACACTATAAAAGTTCGTAAGTGAGTTTAGTGAATTAACTGGATAGAAGATAAATATGCCATTGAGCCTTCCTAAATATCAGTACTAACAGAAATAGAAAAATATAATGTAATAGGATATCTACTTCACAGTAGAAAAAAAAAAGATATAGAACACTTAAGAATATACCTAAAGAAAGCTGTGTTTGATTTCTGTAAAGTGAAATTTGGTTGGGAGATGTGTCCATTGGGAATATTTTAAACATTTTAATAGTTCGTTTGTAAACATAGAAATGTTATGTAGATGTAATGCAATGCAAATCAGAATGTTAAACAATTTTTTCTTATAACTAGAAAAAATAATTTTAAATTTTTTTGGAAGAATATTTAATGCACTCAGGAATCGGCCCTGCAGCAATAAGCATACATGTACAATGATAATATAGTACAGTGATACTCATTGCAGCATTTTTTGTTATAGCAAAAATTTAGAAACTAAATTTTCTATATGGGAGCAATGGTACATTCATACTGTCTAATGCAATAATTAAAAATAAAAAATAATAAGAATGGACATTCTTATGTACCATGTACTGTGGACTAACAGAGCTCCAAGACAGAGAAAGAGAGAGATGCAGAATGATGCTTACAATGTGATCTCTATTTATGATTTTTCAGCAGTATATATTGGTAATTACATCCTGGTGGGTAAGAAAGTGGTAAACAAATATATAAGATAATTTAGAGAGTGAGGAAAATAAAGCAGTAAGATGGCAGAGAATGCTGGAGAAGTAGAATTAGACTAGGTGAAGTGATCAAGGGAGGTCACTGCGAAAGGATTATCTGCACGGAGACTTGAATGAAGAGAAAGAGCCAATACACTGTAATGTCAGGAAAAGCTTTGAGGCAGAGGGAATGGCAATGAGACACTGGTAGAAATAAGCTTAGTGTATTCTAGAAGCAGAAATACATTATGGCAGAATGTGAAGAGTTAGTGAGTGTGGTGGTAATAGATGAGGTCAGAGACTGAAGACATGGGCCAAATCAACAGGGCTTTGTAGATTATTTTAAGGCGTTAAGGATTTTGTAAATAAACTTATATAAGCATATAGTCATTTAATACTTTTGCAGTAACATTTTAAAGTTTATACTTTTGTAAAAAATTAAGGACTTTTCTGAAAATGTACAATAAAGACTAACATTACTGTATGTTAAAGTGTCTAAATATATTAATACAGCTGGGCACAGTGGCTCATTCCTGTATAATTCCAGCACTTCAGGAGGCTGAGGCAGGAGGATTGGTTGAAGCTAGGAGTTTGATACCAGCCTAGGCAACATAGCAAGACCCTGTTCTCTACAAAAAAATTTAAAATTAGCTAGGCGTGATTGTGCGTGCCTGTAATCCTAGTTACGAAGGAGCCTGAAGGTGTGAGGATGGCTTGACCCCAAGAGTTCGAGGTTGCAGTGAGCTGTGATTGTGCCATTGCACTCCAGCCTGAGTGACATCAAGAACCTTTCTTTAAAAAATTAAATTAGTTTAAAAAAATAAAATACATTAATATAAAATAATAGTTTAAAAAGTATGGTACTGACAGAAAGATACCAAGCAAAGAATGGGATAACAACAGAAAAAGATCAAAGTATAAGTTTATGAAATATACAAATAGTGCTAAAGAAAGATGATTTAATAAATGGTGATTAGGATATTGGATTAGCATTTGGGAAGAGCGTTATAATCCTATGCTCTATACCAAGTAAACTCTAATTTGTGATAAAAGATTTTTAAGTGTTTTTTAATCAAAACATGAAAAATAGAAATTAGATTTCTTTTCACAAATATTTGGGTGGGAAAACATTCTAAATTAGAAATTACAAAGGAAGTGATTGGCATATTTAACTATACAAGACAGAATTATGTAATGGAAAAATGAAAGTGCAGTCAGACTGGTGACACTATTTGTAGCAGACATGTGTATGAAAGTTAATGTTTCTATTACATAAAAGCTAATATAAGTAGATCAAAATTGTATCAAATCTCAAAAGATTTGGGGAAAAAGACATTTGAAAATTAAGAAAAAAATACAATTAGTTTTTTGTTTTTTTTTTTAAGGAAACTGGGAAGGGGAAAAAGAGGAAAAGGGACAACTCTTTCTTACGGAAGAATTCCATTTAATAAATGTAGAAGGAATGAAGGAAATAAAAAATCACCATGAATCAACTGCAGTAATAATTGTAGCATACAAGATCCATCAGTGAATTCTAAAATTAGTGGGTAAAAGTTTAAGGAGACACAACATATTTATGTGTCTTCAAAGTATATCTTCCAAAATACATATTAATTCCAAAAGGAAAACTAGTAACTTCACAGTGGAGAAACTTGGCAAAAGTTAACATCACCTGTCATAGGACATCACATGCCCCTTAAATATAATGCATTCCATACATATTATGGCATACCAGGACCTTTATGGTCTGGTCCCTGCCTTCTCTCCTACCATTTGTCCTCTCCTGCTCTAGGACATAAGCATTTCCTGAAAATCTGATACCACTTCAGGTCCCTTGCTCTTTCCTCTACTTGTAATGCTATCTCTTCCCTCACTGCCTGGCAAACTACTTCTAATACTTTAAGAAGTCTTTCTAGTATCACTACTTTGTGACATTTTCTCTGACTGTGATACCTCTTATATCATAAAAAATTTCATCCCAAATAGCATTTGTTTAGTGACACATTTGTCCGTGTAACTAAAACTTTGGATTCCTTATGAGTAGAAACAGCCTTATTCATCATTATACCACAGCCCATAACATAGTGCCTAGCTTAGAGAAGTTTCTCAATAAAAATAAAAAGTATGTTAACATAAATTGTTTTGAATGAATTAAACTGAATCGAACATACTGAGGTTGATGCAATTAACTGCCTTGCTTTCTTTGTATTAAGTCTTTTGGAAAGCGCTGTAAAATATTCATAACCTTTGACCAGTATTTCCATTTCTGGATACTTCCCTTCTTTTGAATTTACCTTTAGAATAAACTTAAGCCACAAAGATTTACTTTAGCATTATTTATTTTAAAAATTAAGAACAATCTAAATTATGAATTAGGTAAAGAAAAATTATAAGGCATAAATTCAGTTTAAAATATTTTTATGATTACAATAATGTTATATTAATATACAAAATATCAAGTTCTTTTTATCCTATGACTATAATGTCATAAAATTTTACATGTGTGGTAGTAAGAATTCTAAAGGAATATAAGCAATTCTAAGTTGACTGAATAGGTTGGTGAAATTGTTAGTTGTTTCTTTTTGTCTGTGTTTCTGTAATTATTGTTTGTATAAGGTAAAAATGTAGAACACTGTTGTAAGCAAAATCATAAAAGTACCTTCAGGTAATAGCAGTTCTGTTTTACAGAACAGCTTGGTTATTGACACTCCAAGAATTAGGAAGCAAACAAGACCTTTTAGTGCCACAAAAGATGAATTGGCTGAATTATCTGAAGCTGAAAGTGAAGGAGATGAAAAGCCCAAACTCCGGAGACCCTGTGACCGTTCCAATGGCTATGGAAGAACTGAATGCTTTAGAGTTGAGAAAAACCTGCTAGTTTATGGGTAAAACATTGTTTTTAATGTTTGCTCTAAGTAGTCTGGTATGTAATGTTACAGAAAATATATACTGGTTTTGAGTATATTTTTTATCTTCTTAGAATCATTAAAATTTACTTTTAAAGTACTCTATTTTTAGCATATATTTAAGAGCAGAATGATGAGATTATCCTCAAGTATTTAAATTTTCAAAGTATCACTAAAGTCAAACTTCTTGTCCTTAAATTCGCATATTCAGTAATACAAATTAGATGTTATCCATTACTGAATAAAATATACTAGAAATTACTATACCATTCCTCTACATTCTATGCATGGGTAGGGAAGACTTAATTAGCAAAAATGACAATTTTTTAAAGTTTTTCATTCCTTTTATCTATGAGTTAATATTTTTCTCTAGAACTTGACTCAATATCAATGTAACTATACCTTTTTTAACCAGGTGGGGCCGATGGAGAGAGATTCTATCTCATGGCCGTTTCAAAAGGCAGCTAAATGAACACGATGTAGAGATAATTTGCCGAGCTCTCTTAGCATATTGCCTTGTTCACTACCGAGGAGATGAGAAGATTAAAGGTTTCATATGGGATCTCATTACTCCAACTGAAGATGGACAGACACGAGAGCTACAGAATCATCTAGGTAAGAACATTGTTTCATTTGCTTTTAAAATTTATTTTTAGTTATATAAGTAATACTTAACATATTCTCCTATAAAATATAAAAGCATTACAAATAATATTAAGGAACCTTAACCTTCACTCCCAATTCAAGTTCCAGCTTCAGAAAATGCCAGTGTTATCAGTTTGGTGGATTTTACATTTTGTTATCAAATACGTATCTGTTTGGAATTGATGACCCAACTAAATGTCTTAGAGGTCTTTCCGTCTATGCTCAGATAGATCTATCTCATTTTTTAAGTTCTGCTTAGTATTCCGTAGTATGGATATTCCATAATTTATTTAGTATCTCCTTTGATGATGGGTGTTTAGGTAGTTTCAATTTTAGACAATTAAAAAACAAGTTTCAGAGAAGATCCATGTACCCTCCTCCTTGTGCATATAAATAAATCTTTCACTAAAGTAGATATCAAGAATGGAATTATTAAAGTATAGCTTATATACATCTTTAGAACCTAAAATGTGGTCTCTGGGTCAGCAGCATCAGCATCTTCTGGAAGCTTCTTAGAAATGCAGAATCTTAGGCCTCAGATTTACTGAATAAGAATCTGCATTTTAACAAGATCCATAGGAATTAGTGTACATATTAAAGTTTGAGAAACATTGATATGCAATTTTAAATTTTCATAATACTTTTTAATTTTTGTTTATTATTTGAGACAGGATTTTGCTCTGTCCCCCAGGCTAGAGTACAGTGATGCAAACATGGCTCAATGCAGCCTCAACCTCCTGGGCTTAAGCCATCCTTCTGCCTCAACCTCCTGAGTAGCTGGGACCACAAGCATGTAGCACCACACCCGGCTTTTAAAAATTTTTTTATATTGCAGAGTCAGGGTCCTACCATGTTGCCCAGGCTGGTCTTGAACTCCTGAGCTCAAGCAATCCTTCCCCCTCAGCCACCCGAAGTGCTGGGATCACAGACATGAGCCACCATGCCTGGCCTAAATTTTCATTATACTTTAATTTGCTGTCCAAAATGGTTATGCCAATTTACAATCCTCTCAGAGGTATACGCTAGTACTTTTTGCTCCTTAGCCTTCCTAACAGAACATTCTTTTTTGCATGAAATAATTATTTTATAGCATAAAATAATTGAATTTCCAGTAAAAAATAAAAAGAATTACTATGCCCTTAAATTTGTTACAATTTTATTCTACTTAATCAAAAAATATCTGTTGAATGGCTGGTGTGTGTCTTGTGCAAGGTGTTGAAAAGATAAGAAGAAACAAGATAGACAAGATCCCTGAGCTCATGAACCTTACATTCTAACCAGGTAGACAGACATAGTAAGAATGTACATTAGTTATAGATTGTGGTAATTACTGTGAAGTAAATAAACTATTGAGATGGAAAACAACAGAAAGCACCCATTTTAGATAGGGTGGTCAGTGTAGGCCTATTTTAATAGGAGACAGTGAGTTTAATTAATGTGAAGACCTGACTTCTAGGTAGATGGAAGAATCACACAAATGTAATTTCACTCTTTCTTGAAACTCCACTAGAAAAAAGTAAGGCACTAAGCTTAACAAATTCTACAGAACAAAAGACTTGGATTCCTCAACAAATAAATTATCGGATTAGGAGTGAATAGAGAGGTATCTATTCACAGCCAAAGATGACTTTCTGCCCCAATCCCACCCCTACCACAGACTATCACAACCTTCAGCGTGTTACTGGCATCTAGTGGGTAGAGGCCAGGAGTTCACAGATAGTCTCCCGCCCCCCACAATGAAGAAATATCCTGCTCAAAATATTGTAGTGCCAAGATTGAAACCCTGCTATAACCTAAAAGAGATTGAAAAGTTATCAGCCAGTTGCAGTGTGGGGTCTGGGGACTTTATTTTTATTTTTATGTTTTGTGACAGGGTCTCGTTCTGTTGCCCAAGCTAGAGTGTTGTGACGTGAACACGGCTCACTGCAGCCTCAAACTCCTGGGCTCAAGTGATCCTCCTCCCCTATAGCTGGGAGTACAGGCGTGTACCATCACACCTGGCTAATTTTTTTTTTTTTTTTTTTTTTTAGAGGTGGAGTCTCACTTTGTTGCCCAGGCATGTCTCAAAATTCCTGAGCTCAAGTGATCCTCCTGCCTCAGCCTCCCAAAGTGCTGTGGGGGCTTTATTTAGATCCTGATTGAAACAAATAACCCAGAGGAAATGTTTTATTATCTTTATTAACTAATTAGAATGTTGAATACCAAATATTAAGAAGCTATTATTGCATCTTAGGGCTGATAATAGTGTTGTAGCTATTTTAATGGAGGCTTTATCACTAAATAGATACCTCTGTTAAATTAAATTTAGATACCACTAAATATCTTTTAGATATTGCTAAAAGATACCGTTGATATTTATGAATGAAATGATTGATTTATTACATTTACTTCAAAATAATGTGAAAGATTGGGGGTGAACAAAATTGGCCATGAGTTGATAATTATTGAATGTGGATAATGGGACTGTTGTATATACTTGTATTCTATAATTTTAAAATAAGCATAAACTCTCAAAAATGGGAGAGGAAACGGCAACAAGATTTTGGAAGCTGGAGGCAAATATATTAGTGGTAACTGATTTAACCAACCTGAGAGGGCTGAATCTTAGGTCAGCAGTGGGAAAGGCAAACTGCTTTGCTTTACAGATTTCCCAAATGTCTTAGGAATTTGTGACATCAGGAACCTCTGGAAGTGGGTGTATAAGGATAGAAGCTTTCATTCAAAGCGGTTTAAAAAAAGGCCCTAAATACCCTCTTCAGTTCCATGTAGCCAGGATGAAAACTGACTCAAAATTTTTTCTCTGGAAAGAGTAAAATAGAAGTCTGGATTGCACTGGTAGTTGAGTTGTAGAGCTACTAAATAGGGATTAAATAACTGTGTGCATTCTGGTTGTTCTATTACTCAAGGAATAAAACTAAAGGGCTTGCCCCAAACCTAAAGATAATGACAGGAGAAAAAAAAAAAACCCAGCCAGTTACCCTTCAGTGAGCCCACAATCACTATGCTCCATCCCTTCAGTCTCCCTATCACCTTTTTTATTTGTCACACTTAAATAAGAGCAAAAACAGCCAAGGATTATCAGGCATCTCAGGAAAGTCTCTAACATGAAAGAGAGAGACAAAAAACCATTGGCTGGGCACGGTGGCTCACCCCTGTAATCCCAACACTTTGGGAAGCTGAGGTGGCCAGATCACTTGAGGTCAAGAGTTCAAGACCAGCCTGGCCAACATGGTGAAACCCCGTCTCTACTAAAAATACAAAAATTAGCCAGCCATGGTGACATGTGCCTGTAATCCCAGCTACTTGGGATGCTGAGGCATGAGAATCACTTGAACCTGGGAGGCGGAGGTTGCAGTGAGCCGAGATCACGCTACTGCACTCCAGCCTGGCTGACAGAGCGAGACTCTGTCTCAGAAGAAAAAAAAAAAGAAAAAGAAAAAGAAAAAAAAACATTAAAATGAACTTGAAGGAAACAAGGATTTCAAAAAGGAGGACACCTTTTCTTTAACTATCATTAATATCTTCAAAGATACTTCAAATATACCATGACTTCGAAAGAATAAGGTGCTGTAAAAACAGTGAAAGCAGAAGCCTATAAATTATAACAATATATAATGAAATGAAAAAGTAAAAAGAAGATTGAATGATGAATCTGGGAAAATCTTGTTAGGAAGAAAATTGGAAATACAGAATATCTGTAGATTTCATTAGGAAAATTTAAGCATGTGTATTTTTAAGTATGTACTATTTCGAACCAACAAGGGTGGAGAAGATTGGAATACAGAACTATTTATCATTCCAGCAAAACAAAGAAAGAAGGAAGGTATGATAAACAATAAAATTGTAAAACTAAATATATAAACATATGTATGCAGCCTATGTATATTTTCACCTGTTAAAAGAGGAAAATTGTTAGATGGGGGGAAAAATAAACATTTTATACTTTAAAGAGATATTATTAAACACCAAACAAGCTTAAAAGTTTATTTAGTAAAACTACACCATGCGACTACTAAACCGTACAAAATGTTGTAGTACCATTAACATAGAACAAAGTGAATTTAAGATGGAAGGTATCAATTGGAATAAAAAAAAAGGGACACTACCTAATAATTAAAAAGAATAATCCATAGAAGAAACTATAACAAGTATGAACTTACATACATCTAAAATAGTCTCAAAATGTAAAGGCAAAAGAAAAAAAAAACCTCTGCCAAAATTATAAGGAAAAATGGACAAACCCATACAGTGCTTCAATGTACCATTGTAGTGGAGTACCCACCTGTTATAAAATGGCAAGGAAAAGGTAAATGAGGTACAAGAATTGCAAGAGGAGTCAAAACTGCATTATTAATAATTGTGAAAAATTACAAGCAAAACAGCTCAAATTCATGGAAGATTAATAAATAGGAGGTGGTATAGTTATGTAATAAATTATTATACAGAAACAAAAATAGATGAATTAGAGCCTCATGAGTCAACCAGGATAAATTTTTTAAAAGTTCAGAGTAATAAATAAGGTGCAGGCTTACATTTATAATATAATATCTGAAAACTTAAATACTAAATACTTATCCAACATAGGTAATAATAGTTCAAACATGCATGGAATGGAAAAACAAATTCAGGGTAGTGGTAATCTCTGGGAAGGAATGAGTGAATTTGATAGGAGAGGACTACATAGGGACTTCAACTATGTATTATTTCCTTTAATAAAAAACTAAGTGTTTGTGACCAGACTGGCCAACATGGTGAAACCCTATCTCTACTAAAATTACTAAAGTTAGCCAGGCGTGGTGGCGCATGCCTGTAATCCCAGCTACTCAGGAGGCTGAGGGAGGAGAATCACTTGAACCCAGAAGGCAGAGGTTGCAGTGAGCCGACATCACGCCACTGCACTCCAGCCTGAGCAACAGAGTGACTCTGTCTCAAAAAAAACAAAACAAAACAACAAAAAAAAACTAAGTAAACATGGACTATGTGAACATGAAGAGTGGCAGTACGTTTTTGTAGTTTTTAAATATTTCACAACAAATAACTCAAAGAACTAAAATGAGTTTAGCTATCTTGAAGAGGATGGCTAACCTAATCTATCTAAATCAATTTTGAAAAGCAAGAGTAGAGGTCAAAACATATCTTTTAGTATCTAGGAAAGCAAAAGTAAAGCAGAGGGCATAAGTTTGATCTTTTGGGTTTTATATTTGTAAAAAAATAATCTGTTTTGGAACAAAAAGGAAATCAGAATGATTAATATGAGATGTAGAATTGTTAGCTATTTGGGGGAAATATGTTTTAATATGTATAAAACCATCATCTTGATTTGTGGTTGGGTCAGTATTGTTACTAATATTTTAAAGATCTCTGAACAGACCTCAGAAAGTCTCCAGAAATTTCTTGCATTGAAACAATCTTTCAGATTGCAAATTTTTATACAAATTATTCCTAATTTATATGTCCTTATTTTAACAGGCCTATCAGCTCCTGTACCCAGGGGTCGAAAAGGGAAGAAAGTAAAAACTCAAACAAGCTCATTTGATATACAAAAAGCAGAATGGCTTCGAAAATATAATCCCGAGCAGCTCCTTCAAGATGAAGGCTACAAAAAACATATAAAACACCACTGTAATAAGTAGGTATAGGGTATTTTAAACACAACTCTTTAAATGTTTACTGTTCTGAATTTATTAATACTCTTTAAGCTTGCTGATTTTGAGTACAGAGACAGCATGGTCTAGGGCCAATCCTAATCCTAATTTTACAAGGTATCCTACAAGCAAATCATGATACCTCTTGTGTCATTGTTCTCACCAACAGATAAGTAAAACTGGCCTCCAAATGAGCTCATTATATCTTACTTGTATATGAAATAATGATGATTATGAAGATTTTGGAGAAGTTCTTTATATATATGGTAGTAATAAGATTCATTTAATCAGAAGTAATATTTCATTATTTTAAAATCTGTACACAAATTCCTTCCTAATTTTAACCCCATGTCCGAATATTTTAAACGATGAATGTCTTTATGCCTTTGATTTATTTTCCCTTGTTTTTAGGGTTTTGCTTCGTGTGAGAATGCTGTATTATCTAAAGCAAGAAGTTATTGGAAATGAGTGTCAGAAAGTATTTGATGGAGTTGATGCAAGGTAAGTTAAACAATTTTTATTATTTTTGTTTGTTTGTTGTCTTGCCCAGGCAGCTTCAAGCTCCTGGGTTCAAGCGATCCTCCCACCTCTGCCTCCTGAGAGGCTCGCACTGTAGGCACACCACCACACCTGGCTTAAATGATATATTTATTTTATTTATTCATTTTTTTTTGAGACAGTTTCACTCTTGTTGCCCAGGGTGGAGTGCAGTGGCACAATCTCAGCTCACTGCAACCTCCGCCTCCTGGGTTTAAGCAATTCTCCTGCCTCAGCCTCCCGAGTAGCTGGGATTACAGGCATGCGTCACCACGCCCGGCTAATTTTTTTGTATTTTTAGTAGAGACGGGGTTTCACCATCTTGGCCAGGCTGGTTTCGAACTCCTGACCTCAGGTGATCCATCCGCCTTGGCCCCCCCACAAAGTGCTGGGATTACAGGCATGAGCCACCACGCCCAGCCTATTTTTATTTTTCAATAACATGATGAGGCAAAAATTATATGACCAGAATATTGTATGTTAGGCGGCTCCTTAGTCTGTGAAACTTATAAGGTAGAAAATCCATGAAACTTAAGGAATTAACCCTTGCCAATTTGTTACTTCTCTTTTATTGCTCTCATCTTGGCCATCACTAGAAGTCACAACGTAACAATAGTAGTAGTAATATTAAGAATGGTATCTAATGGAAACTAGATGCCATTAAAGCAGACACAGATTTTTTATTTATTTGTTTGTTTATTTATTTATTTTGAGACAGAATCTCACTCTTTCACCCAGTCTGGAGTGCAGTGGCATGATACTGGCTCACTGCAACCTCCATCTCCCAGGTGCAAGTGATTCTTGTGCCTCAGCTCCCTGAGTAGCTGGGATTACAGGTGCCATCACACCTGCCTAATTTTTGTATTTTTAGTAGAGACGAGGTTTCACCATGTTGGCGAAGCTGGTCTTGAACTCCTAACCTCAGGTGATCTGCCTGCCTCAGCCTCCCAAAGTGCTGGGATTACAGGTGTGAGCCACCACACCCAGCCCCAGACACAGACACTGATTTAATGACCAATTCATTCATTCCTACAGAAGTACTTTTTGAGTACTCATTAAGCACCAGGCACTGTGAAGCACTAGGAATACAAAGACAAAACACAGTCTTGATCCCTAAGGAGTTTATGGTCTCAGTAAGGAGGAAATAGAAAAAACTATACCGCAATGTAATAAATACTTTTGTGTATGTATAGGATACCAGGGAGTGCTACTAGAATTTTCTATTTCTAGTTTCATCTTGCCTCTTAATACTACAAGTCACCTTTCCCAGTTTTCTTCTCCATTCTCTAATTATCTGAGTTATGCAGAAACCTACTACTCAACCCCCCATTCTCAGCAAATGATATTCCCCCACCTTTGTAGAGAAATGTAAGCAAGCCATAAAACAAATTCCTTCAGCTTCCTGCCACCAAATCTAAAATTTAATTTTTCTGTACTCAGTCTTTTCTTCTTCCCTCTTATTACAATTAAAGAAGGTTTATGGTGACTGACTTCTATATCCACCTATGATCCATTCAACACCCTGGTCTCTCATTTCCTTGGCCTTTATATAGTTACCTCTTTTTCTCCCCACTACAGCCGCATAATCACCTGGTCATACAGTTGATCTTGCTATCACCACTAACAGCACTTATTTAATCAGAATTTTGACAGTGACATCCTTCCTTCTAACTCACTTAACTTGGGTACTTCTCATTATAATTCTCCAATCTCATCACGATGTCCCCACATCTTAACACTTACTCACTAGCCATCACCACTTTCATGCCCCCTCTTTCCTCATTATTCAACATAGATTCTATAGTCTAGCACTCTACTTGCTAACTAAAATCCTTATCTATCTCCTTTTGCCTGTCTTTCCTTCTGTTCTAGATATCTATTACAACCTCAACTCAGGTTAATCTCAGCTAGCCATTTACTTCTTCCCTGCACCTAAGTAGCTGAACATTTGTGGAGAAAATCAAGCAAGCCATGCTGAATGACTAACTTCAAATTTGTGAGCATAGATCTCATCTCAAAAGAGATTAAACATCTACTGTTTAACTGTTGTGGCTAGTCAATTCATATTCCTACTCTTTAAGAGAACCATTTTGTACCTCTCTCCTCAAACCATCTTTCCACCCTCCAACTACCACCCTCCAATAATGACCTTGCTACATATTTCATGGACAAAAGTAGACACAGTCAGATAAGAGCTACCTTCAGTTTTACTTGCATATATGTCCACCTATTCCTTCAAGATACAGTAGAAATGTCCCTCCTCCTAAGGCAAACCTTGTGCAGCATGGAACTCGTTTCTTCTTACCTTTTAAGGACTTTACTCTTACCTTTCTGGGACTTTACCTTTCTTGGATCTTTTTTTCTCTCTCTCTTTACTACATCATTCTTCTGGCATACATGTATGCCTTAATATCAGTCACTTAACAAAGGAAAAAACCTCTCTCAGTATACATTCTCAGACTCCATTTCTCTAATCCTCTTCACCACAAACTCCTTTAAAAAGTTGCCTGTATTTATTAGCAAGATTAACCAAGAAAAGAAGAGAGAAAATCCAAATCAGCTCAAGTAGAAATAAAACAGGAGATATTACAACTGACACCACGGAAATACAAAAGATCATTCCAGGCTACTATGAATACCTTTATGTACATAAACTAGAAAACCTAGAGGAGATGCATGAATTTCTGGAAAGATACAACCATCCTAGCTTAAATCAGGAAGAATTAGATACCCTAAACAGACAAAGAACAGCAGTGAGATTGAAATGGTAATAAAAAAATTACCAACAACAAAAAAAGTCTAGGACCAGATGGATTAACAGCTGAATTCTACCAGACATTCAAAGAAGAATTGGTACCAATCCTTTTGACACTATTCCACAAGATAGAGAAAGAGAGAATCCTCCCTAAATCATATTATGAAGCCAGTATCACCCTGATACCAAAACCAGGAAAGGACATAACTGAAAAAGAAAACTACAGACCAGTATCCTTAATGAACATACATGCAAAAATCCTTAACAGAATACTAGCTAACTGAATCCAGCAACGTATCAAAAAGATAATCCACCATGATCAAGTGGGTTACATACCAGGGATGGTTTAACATATGCAAGTCAACAAATGTGATAAACCACATAAACAGAATTAAAAACAAAAATCACATGATCATTTCAGTAAACACAAAGCATTTGACGAAATCCAGCATCACTTTATGATTAAAACTCTCAGCAAAATCAGCATACAAGGGACATACCTGAATGTAATAAAAGCAATCTATAACAACCTATCTATAACAACCACACAGCCAACATAATACTGGATTGGAGAAAAGTTGAAAATATTCCCTCTGAAAACTGGAACTAGAAAAGGATGCCCACTCTCACCACTTCTGATCAACATAGTACTGGAAGTCCTAGCCAGAGCAATCAGACAAGAGAAAGAAAGGGCATCCAAATTGGTAAAGAGGATGTCAAATTGTTGCTGTTTGCTGATGATATGATTGTATACCTAGAAAACCCTAAAGACTCCTCCAAAAAGCTCCTAGAACTGATAAAAGAATTCAGCAAAGTTTCAGGATACAAAATTAATGTACACAAATCAGTAGCTCTCCTGTACACCAGCAGCGACCAAGCTGAGAATTAAATCAAGAACTCAACTCCTTCTACAATAGCCAGAAAAAAAAAAAAGGTACTTAGGAATATACCTAACCAAGGACGTGAAAGCTCTCTACAAGGAAAACTACAAAACACTCCTGAAAGAAATCGTAGATGACACAAATAAATGGAAACACATCCCATGCTCATGGGTGGGTAGAATCAATATTGTGAAAATGGCCATACTGCCAAAAGCAATCTACAAATTCAGTGCAATTCCTATCAAAATACCACCATCATTCTTCACAGAACTAGAGAAAAACAGTCCTAAAATTCATATGGAATGAAAAAAGAGCCTGCATAGCCAAAGCAAGACTAAGCCAAAAGAACAAATCAGGAGGCATCACATTACCTGATTTCAAGTTGTACTATCAGGCCATAGTCACCAAAACAGCATGGTACTGGTATGAAAATAGGCACACAGACCAATGGAACAGAATAGAGAACCAAGAAATAAAGCCAAACACAGCCAACTGATCTTCAACAAAGCAAACAAAAACATAAAGTGGGGAAAAGACACCCTATTCAACAAATGGTGCTGGGATAATTGGCAAGCCACATGTAGGCGAATGAAACTGGATCCTCTTTTCTCACCTTATACAAAAATGCAATCTACTTATCTGACAAAGGGCTAATATCCAGAATCTACAATGAACTCAAACAAATTTACAAGAAAAAAGCAACCCCATCAACAAGTGGGAGAAGGATATGAACAGACACTTCTCAAAAGAAGACATTTATGCAGCCAACAGACACATGAAAAAATGCTCATCATCACTGGCCATCAGAGAAATGCAAATCAAAACCACAATGAGATACCATCTCACACCAGTTAGAATGGCGATCATTAAAAAGTCAGGAAACAACAGGTGCTGGAGAGGATGTGGAGAAATAGGAACACTTTTACACTGTTGGTGGGACTGTAAACTACTTCAACCATTGTGGAAGACAGTGTGGCGATTCCTCAAGGATCTAGAACTAGAAATACCATTTGACCCAGCCATCCCATTACTGGGTATATACCCAAAGGATTATAAAACATGCTGCTATAAAGACACATGCACACGTACGTATATTGCGGCACTATTCACAACAGCAGAGACTTGGAACCAACCCAAATGTCCATCAGTGATAGATTGGATTAAGAAAATGTGGCACATATACACCATGGAATACTATGCAGCCATAAAAAATGATGAGTTCATGTTCTTTGTAGGGACATGGATGAAGCTGGAAACCATCATTCTCAGCAAACTATCACAAGGACAAAAAAACCAAACACCACATGTTCTCACTCATAGGTAGGAATTGAACAATGAGAACACTTGGACACAGGAAGGGGAACATCACACACTGGGGCCTGTCGTGGGGTGGGGGGTAAGGGGGAGGGATAGCATTAGGAGATATACCTAATGTAAATGACGAGTTAATGGGTGCAGTACACCAACATGGCACATGTATACATATGTAACAAATCTGCACGTTGTGCACATGTACCCTAGAACTTGAAGTATAATAATAAAAATCAACTAGAGATGGATCATGGACTTAAATCTAAGACCTGAAACTATAAAAATTCTAGAAGATAACATTGGAAAAACCCTTCTAGACATTGGCTTAGGCAAGGATTTCATGACTAAGGACCCAAAAGCAATTGCAGTAAAAACAAAGATAAATAGCTGGGACTTAATTAAACTAAAGAGCTTTTGCATGGCAAAAGGAACAGTCAGCAGAGTAAACAGACAACCCACAGAGTGGGAAAAAATCTTCATAATCTGTACATCTGACAAAGGACTACTAATATCCAGAATCTACACAACAAACTCAAATTAGAAAAAAAAGAAAAGTTCCATCAAAAAGTGGGCTAAGGACACAAATAGACAATTCTCAAAAGAACATGTACAAGTGGTCAACAAACATAAGAAAAAATGCCCAATATCGCTAATGATCAGGGAAATGCAAATCAAAACCACAATGTGATACTGCCTTACTCCTGCAAGAATGGTCATAATCAAAAAATCAAAAAATAATAGATGTTGGTATGGATGTAGTGAACAAAACACTTCTACACTTCTGGTGGGAATATAAGCTAGTACAACCACTATGGAAAACAGCGTGGAGATTCCTTAAAGAGATAAAAGTATAACTACCATTTGATCCAGCTATCCCACTACTGGGTATTTACCCAGAGGAAAAGAAGTCATTATATTAAAAACATACTTGCTCACACATGTTTATAGCAGCACAGTTTGCAATTGCAAAAAACGTGGAACCAACCCAAATGCCCATCAATCAACGAATGGATAAAGAAACTGTGGTATATATGTATATATGATGGAATACTACTCAGCCATAAAAAGGAATGGATTAATGGCATTTGCAGCAACCTTGGGGGATAGGAGACTATTATTCTAAGTGAAGTAACTCAGGAATGGAAAAACCAAACGTTATATGTTCTCATAAGTGGAAGCTAAGCTATGAGGATGCAAAGACATAAGAAAGACAGTACACTATGGGGACTCAGGGGGGAAAGGGCAGGAAGGGGGTTCGGGATAAAAGACTACAAATTGGGTGCGGTGTATACTGCTCGGGAGATGGGTGCACCAAAATCTCACAAATCACCACTAAAGAACTTACTCATGTAACCAAATACCACCTGTTCTCCAAAAACCTATGGAAATACAATTTAAAAAAAAAAAAAGAAATTTGTCTAAGGTTACCCAGATAAAAATGGCAGAGCAAAGATTCAGACAACAACAAAAAAGATTGCCTACATTTACTATCTCTACTTCTTTATCTTGCATTTTCTATTTAACCCATTCCAATGGATCTTTCTTCTTCGGGGTCTCACTAAAGTGGTTCTTAACACGGCCCCTAATGACCTACAGTGTGATCAACTCTCCAAATTTACTCCCTCGTCCTCCATAAGATGCTGTCTTCTGTAGGCATTTATGCTAACTATACCCATCTGGTTGTCCTTTTTCTCACTACTCTTTCCTTTTCATTCCCTCTTGCTAGCTCTTACTTCTCTAATAGATCTCTAAATACTGGATTGACCAAGAGCTCCGTCCTCAGCTCTCTTACCTTTTTCCTTAGGTGAACTCATGCAGCCTCATCATACCAAATATGATCTATAAACAGGTAAATCTGAAATTTACATATTTCTCCCAGAACTCTTTCTTGAGTTTGAAGCCATTAGTCAACTGCCTCCCAACATTTCCACTTAAATGACCAACATCTTACTTTCCCTGGCTTTTCCAAATCTCCTGTCTCCAGTCCTTTCTCTTTTCCTTCCCATGTACAAGCCTTCTCCATCCTAGTAAATATACAACCCATTGCTCTGTTGTTATTCTTGATTCCTCTCTTCCCTGTTAGCTTGACAAAATACATGCCAAATCTGAGTACCTTTCAGTACTATCTCCTCTGCCAAATCCCTAGTCCAAGCTGCCATGATCTCACAGTTAGACTTTTGCAATGGCCTCGTAACTGATTCTGTTTTCCTCCACTTTTGCCTCTCTAGGCCTGTCCTTCACACAGCAGCCAGAGTGGTATTTCTAAAGCAAAAATCAGGTCTTGGCACTCCTTAACACCCTCCAGATGTTTCTAATTTCTCTTAGAATAAAATTCAAATTCCATATGACCTACAAGGGCCTCCATAACTCTGTACGTACTTTCTTTACTGTGTCCCTCACCCACCATGCTCCAGCCACAGTGGTGGTTGTGTTTTGCCAACCTGTCAAGCTCATTCTATGCTGTTCTTCCTGGTCCAAATATTCTTTCCCCAGGACTTCCACAGAACCGCCCCTTCAGATTACTCGGATCTCAACTCAAGTATTTCCTTCTCAGATAGACCTTCCCTGCCAACCTCAGCTTAAGTAGCCCACCAGTCATTCACTACTACTTAACCTTCTTTTATTTCATTTATAATGCCTACCACTACTTAAAAATTACGTTAATTTGTATATCTTCTTTCTTTCATTACAATTTAAGCTGCTTGAAGGTAAGTATGGAATCTGGGACATCTTAAACACTCAGTAAATATTTGTCAACTAATTGGCTCCTTTCCCCTAGCCTGACTGGATCTGATCCACTTGTAATTTTCCCAGGGACTGCTCTCTGTGGATTGTACCTTCTTTTTCCTCTTTCAGTAATTTTCCCCCTTTTCCTTCTCATTTGGATTTTAACATGTTTACATCTCTGTCACCTTAACTTACACATACACACATGCGTGCACACAACAACACTTAATGCTTTTGGACCCAAAATATCTTCAAACTACCATATTATTACTCTCCTTGATTTCACTGCCAAATTTATGTTAGGAAGCATCTGTAAGGGGTTCACAGTGACCAGTCCTGTAATCCCAGCACTTAAGGCCGTGGCAAGTGGATCAGTTGAGCCCGGGAGTTTGAGATGAGCCTTGGCAACATGGCGAAACCCTGTCTCTACAAAAAGTAGAAAAATTGGCTAGGTGCGGTAGTGCATGCCTGTAGTCCCAGCTACTCTGGAGGCAGAGGTGGGAGGATCACATAAGCCCAGAGAGGTCAAGGCTGCAGTGAGCTGTGATTGCACCACTGCACACCAGCCTGGGTGACAGAATGAGACACTGTCTCAAAAAAACAGAAAAGAAAGAAGCATCTATGTTTGTTGTCTTCTTTTTCTTCCCTTCCATTCACTATGCAATCTACCACAATGCAGCTTCTACCTCCTCACCCCAGATGTTCGCTGATATTCTTGCTGCCAAATTTGATGGATATACCATAGTGCTTACCTTACTTTACCTTTGTTGACCACTTCCTTCTTTTTAAAATGCTTCTGTGATACCATTCTCCTGTGGTTTTTCTTTTTACCTTTCT
Source organism: Homo sapiens (assembly GCF_000001405.40). Lineage (NCBI taxonomy): Eukaryota > Metazoa > Chordata > Mammalia > Primates > Hominidae > Homo > Homo sapiens. Next base: position 53,282,850 of record NC_000016.10, read on the forward strand.
GCTTGCTGCTTTTCAGGCATGTTTTCTGTCTCTTAGAGGTCAAAGAATCTTCACATAGGCCTTCTCGTCACTTACTCTTCTTGGGTGTTCTCATCTTTGTGGCTTCAATTTTTGTCTCTATGCTTATGTCTTCCAAATCCCTATCTGTAGCCCATGTCTCTCTTCTGAACTTTAGATCCACATTTCTCCAATGGGCCATGATTAGTTACTCTTCTCTCCAGGCCTTTGCATTATTGTTGGAACATTCTTTCCTCCTTTTTTCCATTCTCTTCCTCTTCCTGCTCAGCCAACATTGACTCAGCCTTTCATAACCTCTCAGATCTGGGTTAGGCACATAACCAGAGTACCCTGCCACAGCACTCATCACACAGTATTGCATGTCCATCTTTACAAGGGCATGTGCATGACTATCTTAATTTATTATTGCCATTATTGGCATGTAGTGAATTCTGTTTAAATATATTTTGAATGAATGATCTACCCTGGGGAAGTTAAAGGAGGCTTTATGCAAGAGATGACACAAGTTAGTCTTTAAAAACAGAAATCAGCAACACCTAATGTGCTTATGGCACTTACATTTGAAACATGAGTTTTGTATGCTGATTGCCTTTTCCTCTTTACAAGCAGGAAAACCTTCCACCTCAGATGGTAATCACAATGTTTTGAGCTTAGAGTGCCATCTTATGGTTGGCAAAGGGAGCTATCTGACCCACTTTTTTTCTCCTCTGGGATTCTGTTTCCAGTGTTCTTTCCTGTTTCCTTTATATTTCAGGGCTAATGCTTTGTTTAATCCTACTTAATAACTCGTTCAAAAATAAATATCTCTTTTTACTGTATTTCTCATTTCTTTTTTAACTTTTTCCATATTACAAGAAAATTATTCCTCCTTTTTCTCTATTTTTCTAAACTGAGCTAAAAAATGTCAATTGTGACCCTTTTGTTTTAAAGCAAAATTAGATATAATAAGGTGTTCATTTCGAGTGCTGACAAATTCGTTCAAGAATCTACAGAAAGATCTCTTCATCCACTTCCTTATGCTTCTTGAGTTAAAAATTTGTGACAAATAAATTTGTTTCCATTTTTTTAATTATAAAAGGTATAAGTATTTCCTTTTCACTGCCATTGTCTTCTATCTCACCTATATTTTGATTACATACTGGGTTCTTGTCCTAGGAACATGTCGATCACTTGTTTGTTTATTTTTATATAAAAATTTGAGTTTCCAAAGACAGCCAACTTAGAATCTAACTTTTCCCACAGAACTTGTCAATAGGAAATCCCCCATTTCTTATAGGTCTTTGTTAACTAATTTGTGAAATAATGATGCCAAGACAGATGAAATTCTACTTTGTATAATTTATATTGTTTTATATCTCTGGTTATTTGAAAGTTGATAATTTATGAATACCAAATAGAGAAATTCTCAGCTATTCAACTTTTTGTAGTAATTTATCCTGTTCAATCTCTATCCATTGTCAAATATAAGAAAATGTGTGTGTGTGTATATATATATATAATATACATATTTGTGTATGTATATATAAATATATAGTTGTGTGTATATAAATTGATACTTAATCATTGTCAGATATTAACTGTATTCTGTGCTAAAGAAAATGACTTGAATCACTGTGGTAAAGAAGTGAACATTTCAGTCCTTCTATACATGACATGTTTTTAGACATGTTATATATGTAACTTGCCAAAGCTTTCTGGGAAAATAATAATTTCAAGTGACGAGCAAAGAATAAGAAAATTATAGTTGCAAAATTGCCCATTCTAGTAGTTATTTGTTACTTATAAAATCAGTCAATCTACAAAATCAAATCATTATGGGTTTATTATTTTACTTTTTAGTAATCTATTGTGATTTTATGGCATTCTATTATTTATTTACAACATCAAAACAGCATTTGAGTGTTTTTTGTTTTTCGAGACAGGGTCTCATTCCCGCGGCCTGGGTTGGAGTGCAGCAACACGATCTTGGTTTGCTGTCACCCCAACTTCCCAGGCTCAGGAGATTTTCCCACCTCAGCCTCCCAAGTAGCTGAGACTACAGGTGTGCACCACCACGCCCAGCTAATTTTTTGTATTTTTAGTGGAGATGGGGTTTTGCCACGTTGCCCAGGCTGGTCTTGTACTCCTGGGTTCAAGTGATCTACCCGCCTCTGCCCCCTAAAGTGTTGGGATTACATACATGAGCCACTGTGTTTGGCCTACACTTGAGTGTTTCAATCAAATTATGAATCAAAAATTTGCTATTACAGGGCATTTTCAGTGTGGTTTTCTTAGCAATAGTGGTCTAGAGGAGCTATTACTTGTTCTGCAGCCTAAAACAATTCATTTACCCTTTTAGGGCCTCAGTTTTCTCATGTGCGAAATGAAATAATTGAACCAGATGATTATTGCCAAGTTGTTGGCTGACATAGTCTCTACTTCCAATAGAACCCTTTGTCTCTAAATAAAGAAAATCAGTGAAAGAATATGATTCTTTAAGAAAATTGTTTAGTAACATTGTTGAAACTTATTTCTTCTCTTGAGCTTAACAATGTTCGTTTATTTTATGGTATCTTTGTTATTGCACAATTTCGTAATTTTAATTGGTGGCAATTATGAAGGATTAAAAAATAATGAAATCCTAAGCTCTCTCTTGAAAGCCACAGTGCTTTAAAAGCTAGGTAAAATTTTGCCTCCTTTTTGACTCATTTATAATAATTCATAATGCCATATTATGATTTTTTTAAAGTGACATTGATGTTTGGGTACCAGAACCAGACCACTCAGAAGTTCCTGCTGAGTGGTGGGATTTTGATGCTGATAAGTCACTCCTTATTGGAGTTTTTAAACATGGTAAGTAAGAAGTAAGGTAGGTGAGATCCCCTTCTATGTATAAGGCAGTTCTGTCAGTTCTCAGTTCATTGATTTCCACTTACAGCTTTATTCCAGTAACATCTATGTTATATATACAGAATTAAAAGCATACACTACCAAACTATGTCTGTCAGTCACCACATTACCTCGTGGGAGGGTGGCATGTGTAACCTACCCTTCCTGGATGTAAATCTAAGACAACTTCCTCTCTCAGGAAGAGTTCTCATGTGAGATATGTTTGTGTGTTTGTGTGTGGGTATGATCAGTTTATCCTATTTCTCATATTAACTGATAAATGTAACTGAAATTTTACTTTAGTAGATATCTATTACCAGATCATTTAATGTTTGTGATAATTTCTAGAAAACATACTTAACCTATATCATTTTAATGTATTATCCCTTTAGTCCAGAAATATCATCCACTGTAAATACGAGGAATGCTTATATGTATACACCTTTCTTCTTTTTATCTTTTTTACTTTTGTAATTGGTGATGTTTTCAGGATATGAAAAATATAACACTATTCGAGCAGACCCAGCATTATGCTTCTTGGAAAGAGTGGGAAAACCTGATGAGAAAGCAGTTGCTGCTGAACAGAGAGCGAATGATTATATGGATGGGTATGTGTGTTTCAGAGTCATGAATTTTCTATATATCTCTCTTCTATTCAATATCAGCATATTCTATGTCACACTATTTATCTTTAAATGAGGTAGCAGTAAGGGAATTGGAGTTTACAATCTGAAAGAGCTAAAGATACCCTAATAGGTTAGCACTTATCCAACAGAATGTGATCGAGGAAGAGGTTGGACCTGCCCCACACCCATTCTTTTGATGAGTTTTTCATTTCTTTCATTTTAACAGCTATATCATGGCCACTGAGTTCATAAACTTCTAGGGGCATAGGGGGAGAAAAAGGCAAGAATGTTATAGTTGATGAGACATATGATGACATTTATTACATAGTCATCCCTCAATATCCATGGGGGATTTTGGTATTCAGGACACCCTGCAGATACCAAAATCCAAGGATGCTCTAGTCCTATATATAAAATTGCATAGGATTTGCATTTAACCTATGCACATTCTCCCGTATGCTTTAAACTATCTTTAGATTATTTATAATTCATAGTACAATATATATGCTGTATGCTATGTAAATAGTTGCTATACTGAATTGTTAAGGGAGTAATGACAAAAAAAAAAGTCTGTACATGTTCAGTACAGATGCCATTTTTTTCCAGATATTTTCTTGAGACAGGGTCTTGCTCTGTCATCTAGGCTGGAATGCAATGGCACAATCATGTCTTACTGCAGCCTTGACCTCCCAGGCTCTAGTGATCCTCCCACTTAGTCTCCTGAGTATCTGGGACCACAGGCACATGCCACCATGCCCAGCTAATTTTCTTGTATTTTATTTTTTGTAGAGATGAGGTCTCCCTGTGTTGCACATGCTGGTCTTGAACTCCTGGGCCCAAGTGATCTTCCACCTTAGCCTTGGCTTCCCAAAGTGCGGAGATTATAGGTGTGAGCCATCATGGACCAGCTTTTTTCGCATATTTTCAAACTGAAATTGGTTGAATTTATAGATATGAAACCCACACATAACGAAAGGCCAACTGTACCTGTTTTAAGGCCTTATGTAATCTGTCTTTTCTTACCCAAAGAGAAAAGTAAGGAACACTTTGTGGTTAATAATAATGCATTTAAAAGCGAACTCGCGGCTGGATGCACTTGCTCACGCCTGTAATCCCAGCACTTTGGGAGGCCAAGGCAGGTGGATCATTTGAGGTCAGGAGTTCGAGACCAGCCTGGCCAACATGGTGAAACCCCGTCTCTACTAAAGATACAGAATTAGCCAGGTGTGGTGGCATGTACCTGTAGTCCCAGCTACTCGGGAGGCTGAGGCAGGAGAATCTCTTGAACCCGGGAGGTGGAGGTTGCAGTGAGCTGAGATTGTGCCACCGCACTCCGGCCTGGGCGACAAGAGTGAAACTCCGTCTCAAAAAAAATAAAAATAAAAGTGAACTTGTGAGTAAGGGTACATTAGAACTAGCTTTCTCCCTATTTGCTTTATAACAGCCTTCCTGCTGTGTCTTGGGCTCTTCTGGCTAGAGAAGAGACGTCAGTCTGACTTTTAAAACAAACTAAAACCCTCCAACAAGACTTTGTCCTATCAAGTGAAATCTTAAGTCCATTACAGTAATTATAGCATTTGTTTGTATTTTAACAGGGATGTGGAAGATCCAGAATACAAACCTGCCCCAGCCATCTTTAAAGATGATATAGAGGTATGCATTGGATCATATTTTTAAATCCTCAATTTTAGGTATTCTTTGGTTTCTTGTGTTTGCTTTTTCTTTTGCATTATATTTTGTTTTCATTATACATAATTCTTCTGTTCCTCAGATTAGCTAAGTAAGTGATCAACTTGGGTTGACAAACATCTCAAATAATCACTCAGAATTCACCTGATCTCCCCTTTTAGACAAGATGGGGGCTGGCTTGGACATGTGGATGCAATGGGGCTTGCCCACCTGCTCTACTTCTTAGAGCTAAGAAACACAGTGTCCAAGGGCAAAATCCCAAAGGAGAGTGAGAACTAGATACTAAAGATATACTGCAAGAGTTAGAAACTATACCTACATGAAGAGGTTTGAGATAGAGGGTAGAGCATCAAGGAATTCTGAGTTGCCAAAGCATAGTTCTCAGTGCTCTGTTTGTAGAATGTCAAAAGGAAGAAGAGTTGGATGAAAGTACAGAAAATAATCTGTAGAGTGGGGAAAAGGATTTTAAAAGAGATGAGGAATGTCTAATATTTATGAGAGTGTGGTAAAAGGCTAAATGACGCTAAAGCTGTCAGGTAGGATTTGCTGGACTTGGTAGCTAAGGGGCTTGATGCCTTGATGAGGGCATGAGACAAGGCTTGCTCCAGTGTGTGGGCAATGAAAACCAAAATCCTATATGAGGTCAAGAGTCTCAAAGGCCAGTAATTACTGACAAACAGCACGGAGAAATAGCAAGGAAATTTATCTCATCACGGACTTTGGGTAAGAAAATTATTGTTTCCCTTGAGAATTTGTAACCATAGACCCACCTTCTCTTGAGTTCGTGATTTGTCTTTTACTTTATCTGTGTGGTCCAAGAGCCCTCAGTGTAATATAAAAAAGGATCAGTCCTTTACTGGTAATATATCTAGGGTGCCTGGTAAAAACAAAAAGCACCTGTAAGAAACAGTTCAACCCTGACTATGCACGAGTCCCGAAGATGAAGCCCTGCATAAAATGAAGTAAAAACCCCAAGTTTAAAAATATATGAGAAACCATTTACCATGAGTGAATGTTAGCATGCAATAAAGAGTAAGATTAGACCCCTGAGAATTTCTGATGTATCTACTGAAATAAAAAAATTCCTATTGAAATTTTTTAAAGTAAATTTGTAAATGATTAAAGACATTAAAGAAAGAACCAGGAACAAAAGACAAGATATGATTTTAAAATACTAGAAAGATGTGAAAAAGATGATATTTAACTTTAAAAGTGGGAAAAGGCTGAGGGCAGTGTGGCTCACGCCTGTAATCCCAGCACTTTGGAGGGTAAGGTGGGAGGATCACTTGAGCCCAGGAGTTCAAGACCAACCTGAGCAATATAATGGGACCCCATCTCTAAAAAAAGAGAGAGAGAAAGAAAAATGTGGAAAATACATTTATTGATATGTAAAAGTCAACAAACAGGTTAAACATTCTCCTGGAAAAGCAGATAAGACACAGTTCATAAAGGGAGAAATGATTTGGAAAACAGATGTGAGGAAATTATCCAGTATAGCATAATGGATTCGTCTGGACCAATCAGGAGAGATAACCCAAATAGTCATTTGAACAGGAAATGTATAATGTAAAGAATTATTAATTATACTATAGTAATAGATTAGTAAAAAATAAAGACTACATTAAAGAATATAGGAATAGCATATAAAAGCAGCATCTACCACTCCTAGGGCTCAGATAAAGCTCCCAAGGAAGAGTCCCATCCCTATCAGTGCCAAGATCCAGACTTTGGTAGGAGGATATGGCCATGTCTCACTGGATGGCAGAAAAGTTGCTAAAAAGCTACCCGTTGAAACTGGCTGTAAATCTGCCCTGTAAGGTTGCCAAGGAAGATTTTCCTGGGAAAGTGTCTCACTGGAAGCACTTCACTCACAAAACCACTCAAGAGGGAGGTTACTGGGAAAAGCTGCTGACCAAGAGTGCTAAAGAAACTGCTCAAATTGACCAGGCACAGTGGCTCATGCCTGTAATCCCAGCACTTTGGGAGGCCAAGGTGGGTGGATCATTTGAGTTCAGGAGTTCAAGACCAGCCTGGCCAACATGGTGAAACCCAATCTCTACTAAATATACAAAAATTAGCCAGGCATGGTGGCATGTACCTGTAATCCCAGCTACTTGGGAGGCTGAGGCAGGAGAATCACTTGAAGCCAGGAGGCGGAGGTTGCAGTGAGCTGAGATTGTGCCACTGCACTCCTGGGTGATAGAGGGAGACCTGTCTCAAAAAAAAGAAACTGCTCAAATTGTGGGAGCTGGGTACTGGGGAAGTGGCCTTGCTATGGGAGCTAAGCAATGGAGGTGATCACCAGAATTAGGACGTAAAACCCTTTTCCTCTACAGTGTCTCTCTGGTTTGCTGTACTAACAAAGCTTTATATCATGCTGACTGACAGAGGAAAAACTATTTAAAGAGCTGTTTAACTATTTTCTTAGAGCAGGCAAAAAAAAAAAAGTATGAGAGGAGCTGGATGCAGTGGCTCATGCCTGTAATCCAGCACTTTGGGAGGCCAAGGAACAGAGATTGCTTGAGCCCAGGAGTTCAAGGCCAGCCTGGGCAACACAGTGAGACTGCATCCCTACAACAAATAAAAAAAAGATGACATTTGCTTGTAGTCCCAGCTACTCAGGAGGCTGAAGCAGGAGGATCGCTTGAGCCCGAAAGGTTGAGGCTGCAGTGAGGTGTGTTCACGCCACTGCACTCCAGCCTGGACAACACAGTGAGACCCTGTCTCGAAAAACAAAAGAAAAATATGAAAGGCAATAAATTTGGAGCAAAGAGACTGAAATCAATAACCACCACAGTGGAATATGTATTAAAAAATTTAGAAACAAGGAGGATAGCATGATAACATCTGGCATGTATCGAGTAGGTATTCCAGAAGGAGAGACTAGAGACAATAAGAAAGAAGCACTATGAAGAGATAGCAGCTGAGAATTTTTCAGATGTTATGAATACATGAATCCTCAGTTTCAAGAAATAAAATAAGTCTTGGCAGGATAAATAAAACTAAGTCCACTCCAAGAAACATCATGGTGAAATTGAAGATACACCAAACAAAGAGAAGATATTAAAAGCAACCAGAGAAAAAGAGATACCCACAAAGGAATTATGATTCTAACTTCAGGCTTTTTTAAAACAACAATAGAAACTAGTAGTCATTGATATAAAATTGCTAAAGTTATGAATATAAGGTAATATTGGAATAGCTAATTAAAGATGCTCTGTTGACAAAAACTGAATCTTCAGCACAAGCAAACTGCTTAAAGCTAAAAAGGAAAAGATTTGTAGGTTACCTAATAACCAGATATGAAAATGAATAAGTTATCTAAGAGTTGGTATAAGAAAGGGGAAAAAAACACACTTAGTTAGCAATAAAACCTAGGGCATACCCATAGTTAGAGGAAGGTTGGAGGAAAAGAAACTAGCTTAACAGTAATCATAGAAAAGGAAATACTTTTAGTAAATAATGACTGTCTAATTGTCAAAAGCAATAGAGAAGTGTGAAAGGATGAGAATTGAGAATAAGCAGTTGAAAGTTTTATTTTTGCTAAATTAATTATTTAACATTCCATTGGGGGAGAAAAGCTCTCTGTTATAAAGAAGTTTGATTCTCTTTTCTTTTTTTATATATCTCTTGACCCAATTACCCTGTGACAAGTTTCTATTTTCTTTTAAAAGGATGATGTTTCCTCACCAGGAGATCTTGTTATAGCAGATGGAGGTAAATTGCACGTACTTCTGTACTTAGTATTATTGTAAATTCACATTCTAATCATACCATGAGATCAGTAAACTATTACACTTTTATAATGTTTCATATATAAAAATTTTTATTGACTGCCATTGTAATCGTTATAGGACATACTAGTTGACTGGGAATTTAACTACTTTTAGTGGTTATGAATCTTCAGGCAGTGACTCACTGAGCTTTTATAGAACATAGGTTTTGATGACATTATGACTTGACTATTAAACTTGTATGTGAGATTTCATCATTAAAGTGTTGATCCAATATATTCAACTTCTTTTTCATTCTATGTGTACATTAAGAGCCATTCTTTATCACCTAGTTTCTACAAAGCTTTTCTGTGCCAGGTCTTGCTTCTACTTCCTTCTGATATCAAGATAGAAATGCACTGTCACAAGAGTACACTCACTCCCACCAGCATCCCAGAGGAACAGTGCCTCACCCTGCCATAGTTCAACTAGGAATGAAAAAGTAGTTTTTGTTTAGTATGAATGACTACAGCTTGATTATGGTATAGATAATTATAGTATTACACCTTAGAAATAGAGCATTAGATCCTATACTTACTAGGTGGATAAAACTTAAAAGTTACATCATTGTCATCTTGAACTTCGAAAATGTTTCTTCCCAGTGACTTAAAATATTTTGATTCTAATTAAACTGAGATAAACTTAATACAGAAGGCTTCCATTAGAAGCGTTTACAATATTCAGCCTCTCATGGATTCAGTTTGGCTTTTAGTTTATTTAAGTTAAAGCCTTGAGTATTTGCCAGCCAGTGTGATATATACCTAGACATGCAAGAGTTGTATTTGCTGTGCAAATCTTTATTCCACTGTATTGTACCTACTTTGAACTGCTCTTAAAGTTTGTTGTAATGTTTCTTATAGCTATTGTTAAAAGAAGCTTTTAGGATGAGAAATATGTTTTTTTTTCCCCACATAGATTGAATTAAAAATTTTTAAAGTAAAGTTGCTGCTTTTGTGAGCTTCATACAGTATCTGTTTAGTTATTATTACTATTACTTATTTAACTATAGATGGTCAACTGATGGAGGGTGATAAAGTATATTGGCCTACTCAATCAGCTTTAACCACACGTTTGAGGCGTCTCATCACTGCATACCAGCGTACTAATAAAAACAGACAAATTCAGCAGATACAACCGACTTTCTCGGTGCCTACCAGTGTAATGCAGCCTATTTATGAGGAAGCCACTCTTAATCCTAAAATGGCAGCCAAGATAGAAAGACAGCAAAGGTAAGACAATAACACTAAATTTTTAATGTATTGTCTAAATGTAGCTGTTCATTCTAAAGCCTGTCTGGGTACAATTATCACGCTTTGTGGAAAACATACATAGAATGTTGGTCAAAGCAAACTGCTTTGTGCACATACACACATATACTCACACATTTATATATGTATGAGTGTGGTAAAACTTATAAAGATTATTGTGTCTTATAGTTGACTAACCATACTGTAATCATTTTTTTTGTCATGTTTAGGAACACTGAGGTATTTAAAAAAATAAATAAATAACTGGGCACAGTGGCTAATGCCTATAATCCCAGCACTTTGGGAGGCCGAGGTGGGAAGAGTGCTTGAGCTCAGGATTTCGAGACCAGCCCTGGCAACAAAGCAAGACCCTCATCTCTACAAAAAATGCAAAAATTAGCCAGGTGTGGTGGCGCATGCCTGTGGTCCCAGCCACTCGGGAGACTAAAGTGGGAGTATCACCTGAGCCCAGAAGGTCCGTGCTGCAGTGAGATGTGATTGTACCACTGCATTGCAGCCTAAGTGACAGAGCAAGACGGTCTCAAAAAGTAGAAACAAAAAAGTGAAGGCATAGAGCAAACTCATGAATTGAATCACTGGCCGGGCGCCATGGCTCACACCTGTAATCCCAGCACTTTGGGAGGCCGAGGTGGGTGAATCACTTGAGGCCAGGAGTTCGAGACCAGCCTCGCTAACATGGCAAAACCCCATCTCTACTAAAAATACAAAAATTAGCCAGGTGTGGTACGCACCTTTAATCCCAGCTACTTGGGAGGCTGAGGCATGAGAATCGCTTGATCCCAGGAGGCAGAGGTTGCAGTGAGCCAGTATCATACCACTGAACTCCAGCCTGAGTGACAGAGTGAGACCGTCTCAAAAGAAAAAAAAAAAGAATTATCAGTAGAACAAAAGTTTATGTTAATTAAATTCCATTCTATCATATTTTACATTTTACATCCAGACTTTTATGAAATATAAAAACGTATGGAAAGCATATGTTCCTTTATTCAGAAGACAAATCCTTGGAACTACTGAAGTCAAAGGGAACAAATCGCAAGCGACCTTATTAAAAAGACAGGCAAACTTCTCTCATTCCACAAGCTTTAACTTCTTAAAAGGAATAGAGTACATGGAAAAGAATAGCTATCTTTGGCATAACCTGACTTCCTTGTTACCCGGGTCCTTGGATGTCCTCTGGAAGATATATTGTTCTTTTGTTGTTTCATTTGCAGCACAGTGATCATAAAATTTAGTCTGACACTTAAGATTTTAGCTATCTTAGTCATAATTTTCAAATACTACCGCCTCTGTAAATGAACTGTTTTTGTTATCTATTGTTGCATAACAAACTACCCCAAAACACAATGCTTTAAAACAGCATTAATTTTTTATTTCTCCCAATTCTGTGAGTTGACCCAGGTGCTGCTTCTGCTTTGTATGCTGTTGGCTGGGTTTCTGAGATACCTAGAAGAGCCACAGTTGCCTCATTCATACGGCTAACAGTTGGTGCTAGCTGCCAGCTGGGAGCTCAGATCCCAAGAGGGACCATTCCAAGTAGAAAGGCAGAAGCTGCAGATTTCTTATGACCCAGTCTCAGTAGTTACAAAATGTCACTTTTGCCACCCTCTGTTGGTCAGAAAAAGCCACAAGGCCAGCCCAGATTTAGGGGAAAGGGAAATAGATTCTACCCGTTAATGGAAAGAGTGGCAAAGCATTTGTGACCATCTTTAATCTACTACAAATTTTCCCTCCATCTGTTGAATCTGGATTAATCTTCCTAAAATATTAGTTTTATCATAACATTTGATGGCTCCTTATTTAGTATAGGTAAAAAGTGTTAAGTTCTTAAGCCTAAGTTTGAAGGTCTCTTCATTTTAGGTTTTAACATGCATTTCTAAACTTTATCCACTTCTTTTCCCTCAGCCAGAGTGCCCTACTTATTTTTGACTTCATACCCTAGCCTATATTGTTTCTATCACCTGGAACACCCTTTCTACCTGTTTATTTCACACTTAGCCCATCCCTCAGAGCTCAGCATATGGCCTATTTCCTCTAATAATTTTTTTTCTTTCTTGAGACGGAGTCTCCCTCTGTCACCCAAGCTGGAGTACAGTGGCACAATCTTGGCTCGCTGCAGCCTCTGCCTCCGGGGTTCAAGCAATTCTCCTGCCTTGGCCTCCTGAGTGGCTGGCACTACAGGTGTGCATCACCATGCCTCGCTAATTTTTGTATATTTAGTAGACACTGGGTTTCACCATGTTGGCCAGGCTTGTCTTGAATTCCTGACCTCAAGTGGTCCGTCTGCCTCAGCCTCCCAAAGTGCTGGGATTACAGGCATGAGCCACTGCACTCGGCCTCTTCTATTAATTTTTTTAACCAGTCTAGCTCACAGTATTCTATTTTTTGTACTCACATAGCAACTTATCTAAGTAAACTACTCGTTTGTCACAATAATATAAGATATTGTAATGAAATTCATCTTTTCCTTTCTATCTTTCTCAGTTGTATCTTCTTGGGGATGGGCACTCTGTCATATTTTTTGTGTCCTGTGTAGTCTTTCAATTAATCGTTTTTCCCATTTTTATTCTTATTACCCAGATTTAATGACTTGGGTTTCCCAAGCTAACTATTTTTACATCATAATTACATTAATCTTCTTAATGTATCACTATGATAAAAATGGCCCATTCACATTTTTCAAAGGCCTGTCCCATATGTTTTTTCTAATTTACACAATAATCCTGTGAGTTAAGCAAGGACAGGGTTCTACACCTGCACTAAGGTTTGCAGATCTATGGTGCATGATGATTATATTACCATCTCAAAGCATCAGGAGCTTTCAAGTGAAAGAGATTACTTTTACCCAGGCCTTTAGAGCATTTCATAATCTGACCCAAACCCTATATGGCTTTGTCTCCAGTATAAGCCATAACCTTGTCAATCTGGAATACTCATCTTTCCCCTCCAATATGGACCACTCCCTCTTTGCTTACTCTGTGCTTTCTTCCTCACTTTCCCTAACCTTAGCCTCGTCCCATCTGAAATGCCACTTACTCTGTGATGCCTTTCTTGATTGTCAAGTCTGAACTGATCCTTCTATCTTCTATGCTCTCCTGAAACTTTTGGTTTCTTTAACTCATACAAATATAAGGTATTACCTTATACTATAAATGTGTTTGATTTTATCTTTTTCCTGAAGGGCAGGATCATCTTACATGATTTTGTATCCTGTGCTGATTTTCTCACATAGCAAAAATACAAAACACCATTATTGTCTGAAGGAATAGTGTATACTTTTAAAAGTATGTTTGGGGACACATGTCATCAGGACCTCCTGAGGCTGTCCTTAACTATTAAAAGTAAATTTTTTTTTTTTTTTTTTTTTTTTGAGACAGAGTCTCGCTCTGTCGCCCAGGCTAGAGTGCAGTGGCACAATCTCGGCTCACTGCAAGCTCCACCTCCTGGGTTCACGCCATTCTCCTGCCTCAGCCTCCTGAGCAGCTGGGACTACAGGCGCCCGCCACCATGCCCAGCTAATTTTATTTTTGTATTTTTTAATAGAGACGGGGTTTCACCATGTTAGCCAGTATGGTCTCTATCTCCTGACCTTGCGATCCGCCCGCCTCGGCCTCCCAAAGTGCTGGGATTACAGGCATGAGCCACCGCGCCCGACCCATTAAAAGTAAATTTTTCTAAAAAAAAGTATGGTTGGATAGATGAGTTAACTAGCATTTAAAAATGTTTTACAAGGCAGCAAGCTTGTATTTAATCCTATAGTGTTAGGTACTTGAAATGTTTTAAGTTTGTATTATAGTCATTATATTTAGTATTAATATTAATTTTAGTGACTAGTGTGGTTTTTTTCTTTAATCTGACTCAAAATAGATGGACAAGAAGAGAAGAAGCTGACTTTTATAGGGTTGTATCTACATTTGGAGTGGTTTTTGACCCTGACAGAGGCCAATTTGATTGGACAAAATTTAGAGCTATGGCTAGGCTACATAAGAAAACTGATGATAGTTTGGAAAAATATTTGTACGCATTCATGTCCATGTGTCGGAGGGTTTGTCGTCTTCCTTCCAAAGAAGGTATGTATAAAATTTCTTTTTCCTGGTTTCGGTCAAAGAAGCAAAAATCACTAAAATTCGGAAATTTCCAATTTGTCTCTTTTATGTGAAATTTCAATACTATCTAATTCAACTTGTCAGTAATTTTTTAGAATTATAAATAAACTAGCTTAAAGATCGCGTATTTGTTAATCCTGCTATTAAAACGAGATCTAAAGAGAATAAAGGTATACACTGAGTCTTAAGAAAACAGGTAGAGTTTAGTGATAGATTTATGATTAGGAGGTGGTGGAAGATAAAGGATTGCTTTTGTTAAACAGAACTAACCTATATTTTCAGTCCATCTTATAGGAATTGTGCTAGAGGGTTTATTTACCTGAATAATTTTGCAAGGAATGAAGCCCCCACTCATAAGACATTTTAAAGAATTTTCTAGAAAAGATCTCCCAGGGCCATCTTCACAAAAGACTACTAAGCAGAGGCATTGATGCAACTCAACTAAGGAATTGTTCTGGGATGCATTTCATTGTCTTCAAAGCCCAGAGACATAGCTCATCCTGTCAACAGTTCCTCTCAGTAATGCTATGTCATGAACAGTTGTCTCCATTCTTTGTTGTATATGATTTCTCACTGCTAAACCCAATGGCCTGCTATTCCTGTTTTATAGTAAAAAGATTTCCTTACTTGTTTTAAATGTATTTCCTAACAGATTTTTTGTCAGTTCACTGAATGGAGTAGCCAATCACTTGATTACTAGGTAATTCAGAGTAGATTTCAGTCTGTTTTCAGGTCTACTGGAAAACCATAAATGAGGTTAAAATGACAGCTAAAGCAAAATAATGTGTCATTTGTAGTTGGCAAGAGGCCCTCATTTTTTAAAAATTTTCTTAATTCCCATCAATAATATAGTGATAGGAATATATTCATCACTTTTGATTCTAGTTTTAAAAGGGAAAGAGCTAACTACTAAATAATCATTGAAAATGTAGGGCTTCCTCAGAAATGTGAGTAAGGATATTGGAGGCAGGAGCATGAGGCGGCAGTGGCCAGGCGCAGGCCAGGACCCCACTCCTTCCAGTGGCACCATGGGGAAGGCCATGAGCAACTCAAAGCAGGCACTGCCCTGCGTGGCCAAGTTGCGGACAGTCCACATGGAGGTGCATCAGCACAGAGGCAGCACTACAAAAAAAAAAAAAAGGACATAAAGCTGAGTGTTAGAAAGATACCAGGCTGGGCACAATGGCTCATGCCTGTAATCCCAGCACTTTGGGAGGCCAAGGTAGGAGGATCACTTGAGCCCAGGAGTTTGAGACAAGCCTGGGCAACATAGGGAGACCCCATCTCTACAAAAATAAAAAAACAGCCACGTGTAGTGGTGTATGGCTGTGGTCCTGGCTACTTGAGAGGCGAAGGCAGGACCCAGGACCCAGGAACAGGAGCCAGGAGGTCGAGGCTGCAGTGACCCATGATGACACCACTGCGCTTGATCTCGAGCAACAGAGCAAGACCTTGTCCCTAAAATAAATAAACAGAAAGCTACTCACCAAACATATGGTACTGTGTTTGGTGACTACACATGGACTGAGTTTGGTGAACCCTTTCTGTCCAGGAACATGCGGGATTCTATTGTCGACACAGAATTAAAAGTTAAAGACCCCATAGCTCATTGATGAGTGTGTGCACTATTGCACTTCACATCTTCCAGCAGAATGAAGGTGGCCCTAGCAGTGAAAATTTGGAGGAAGAGACAGAAGATATAATTGTGGCAAATCACTGGGTTCTGCCTACAGCCAAATTCCATGGGCTTTGGAACAGCCTAGTGTCTGATGTGGAAATCAAATCACACCTTGATTATGTGATTACAACCTTATCATTTTCAGACAAGAATGTCAACAGCAGCCTCAGCACCTGGAACCAGGTGGTGCTGCTACAGGGTCCTCCAGGAACTGGAAAAACATTCCTATGTAAAGCATTAGCCCACAAATTGACTATTAAACTTTCAAGCAGGTATTGGTATGGCCAATTAATTGAAATAAATAGCCCTAACCTCTTTTCTAAACGGTTTTCCGAAATTGACAAGCTGATAACTAAGACGTTCCAGAAGATTCAGGATTTGATTGATTATAAAGATGCTCTGGCATTTTCACTGATTGATGAGATAGAAAGTCTCACAGCCACCCATAATGAAAGCCATCGGGTGCCATTGGCATGGTCAACGCTGTCTTGACCCAAATTAATCAGATTAAAAGGCATTTTAATGTAGTGATTCCAGCTACTTCCAACATCACCGTGAAGATTGACATGGCCTTTGTGGACAGGTCTGATATCAAGCAGTATATCAGTCTGCGCTCTGCAGCAGCCATCTTCAAAATTTACGTTTTCTGTTTGGAAGAACTGGTCAAGTGCCAGGTCATATACCCTCCTCAGCAGCTATTAACCCTCCAAAAGCTGGAGATGATTGGCTTCATTGAAAACAATGTGTCAAAATTGAGCTTCCTTTTGAGTGACATTTCAAAGAAGATCGAGGGCCTCCATGGCCAGTTCCTGAGGAAACTCCTTTTTCTGGTGCATACACTGTGTGTCCAGGCTACACCAGGCTTTCTCTCTGGTCGTGGACAAGCAGGTTGAAGAGAAAAAAGAAGCTTTCAGCTTACATTTGGTCCTGGGCTTCCCATTCCATAGCTTTCTAGTGGAGAGCACACAAATAGTAAGTAACATCACTTGCCTCACAACAGCCACCACTCTGGAAATCCTCTCTATAAAAATTTGCTTAGGTCTGTCTACAAGCCAGAAACCTACAACACCAACCTTTGTTACAAGTGTTACATTTACTTTAGCTTAAAATGCACATTAGAAGACAAACACCTTGTCATTTTAACTGTTGTTAAAAGATAATTCAAATGGTTGGTGTCTTTGTTAAGAATTGTCTCAGTGTGGCCAGCGCAGTGGCTCACGCCTGTAATCCCAACACTTTGGGAGGCCGAGGCAGGCGGATCACAAGGTCAGGAGTTCGAGACCAGCCTGGCCAACGTGGCGAAACCCCATCTCTACTAAAGATACAAAAAATTAGCCGGGTGTAGTGGCACGCACCTGTAATCCCAGCTACTCGGGAGGCTGAGGCAGGAGAATCGCTTCAACCTGGGAGGCGGAGATTGCAGTGAGCTGAGATCGTGCCATTGCACTCCAGCCTAGGTGACAGGGTGAGACTCCGTCTCAAAAAAAAAAAAAGAATTGCCTAAGTGTGTTTATTGCCATCCTGCTTCCAACTGATGGATACAAAATGCTACACAAGTTTGGTTTTTTCAAAAAAGGAAGATTAACATAGGTATTATAGAAGCAGAACTGTATCACCCTAAATAAGCATGTAATCATAGCATTAAAAAATGAACATATCACTCAGGCTAGAAGGTGGCATGGCTTTATGATGTCAGCTTGATTAATGCAAAAATGGCTTGGAGACTTTTTAATGGATAATAAAAACCTATTTCTATGTTAATAGAAATTGAGAGAAAATTCTAGGTAAGTGTTCTTTTATAATAATCAAACATGGTTCCATTTGCAGGAAGAGTGCAGACCCGCAGTGTTCAAGTGCTGGATATCCCTCATAAACCAGTGCAGGCACAGATGCATTGCTTGGATATTTCTTCCCATTGTTTTGTTGGTTCAATAACATTTTTCACATCTCAGGCCAGATGCGGTGGCTCACGCCTGTAATCCCCACATTTTGGTAGGCCAAGGCAGGTGGGGCAACATGGTGAAACCTTGTCTATACTAAAAATACAAAAATTAGCCAGGCATGGTGGCAGGCACCCATAATCCCAGCTATTCAGAAGGTCGAGGCACGAGAATCACTTGAGCCTGGGAGGCGGAGGTTGCAGTGAGCCAAGATCGCACCATTGCACTCCAGCGTGGGCAACAGAGCAAGCCTCTGTCTCAAAAAAAGAAAAAAAACAAAACAAAACATTATTCACATCTCAAATGATGATTCATATTAATAGAATATAAAATAAATGGGACAATAATTGGTGTATTTTATAGAATATTATGTTTTGCTTTTATGTCATGTTAAAATAAATTTCAATCGCTTCTCTTAGCCTTTTGGCTAAGATCAAATGTAAAGTAGATTTCATATTAATGCTTTGTTAAAAAAAAATGTGAGTGAGGTTGAGGTTCTACTTAACTCAGAGCGTTTCTCAAATTTCCACACTTTACAGTGTCCTTAATGTCTCAGTAATTTTTTTCACAGCACTCAGGGCCAGAAGAATTACCTAACATTTCTGTCTAATGAATAATTAGGTCTGACAACTCAATAAGTATTTATGTCCTCACAATCCAGTAATTATTTAAAAACATAACATATTGAAAGAAAAAATAATACTTCTGTTTCTTAAGTAGCCACAATTATTAATCAAATGTGTGCACTGGTTGGGCACTGTATAACTTTTCAAATCTTAGAAGTAGACTGTGCTCTTCCCACCTTGTTTCCTGCTCCATATTGATTTTTGCATGGTCCTTGATTTTTTTTCAAATTTTTTTGTTTTGAACTACTTTTAAAATTACAGAAGAGTACAAAAAATGTACGAGGAGTTTCCATCTATCTCTCACCCTTCCTCTCTCTTTCTTTTTTTTCTTTTTTTTTTTTTTTTGAGATGGAGTCTCGCTCTGTCGCCCAGGCTGGTATGCAGTGGCGTGATCTCGGCTCACTGCAAGCTCCGCCCCCGGGTTCATGCCATTCTCCTGCCTCAGCCTCCCGAGTAGCTGGGACTACAGGTGGCTGCCACCACACCCGGCTAATTTTTGTGTTTTTAGTAGAGACGGGGTTTCACCGTGTTAGCCAGGATGGTCTCAATCTCCTGACCTCATGATCCACCCGCCTCGGCCTCCCAAAGTACTGGGATTGCAGGCATGAGCCACTGCGCCTGGCCCTTCCTCTCTTAATGTTAACATTTTACCAGAGTAATTATAGTATAATTATCAAAACAAGAAATTAACATTAAAGCCATTAACTAAACTAAATACCTATTTTAATTTTACCAGTTTTTCAACTAATGTCCCTTTTTGTTCCAAGATCCTACAATGTATTTGGTTTTTCTTTCTCGTTAGCTTCCTGCAATCCGTAACAGGTTCTCAGCTGTTCCTTATCTTTAATGACTTTGATACCTTTGAAAAGTGTTGATCAGTTATTTAGCCATGTATCCCTCAATTTGAGCTTGTCTTATGTTGTTACATGACTGGATTGAGGTCATGCATTTTTGGCAAGAGTGCCACAGAAATGATGTGTTCTCAGAATGTAATATCAAGGGATTGGAGATGTCAGTATGTCTTATTACTGATGATGTTGACTTTAATTGTGTGGTTAAGGTAGTTTATGCTGCATTTGGCCAGTGTAAAATTACTGTAATTAACAAATATCTTAAGCTTCACAAATCTTGTTTCTTCTCAAACTTTCACCCATTGATTTTTAGTATCTGCCAGATACTAAATCTTGTCTACAACAGTTTTTTCTGTGGAATTCTGCTGTAAGAAAGGATGTTTCATTCTCTCTCATCTATTTAATCAGTTATTTATTCATATCAGTATGGATTCATGGGTATTTATTCTATAGGTTACAATCCAATATTGTCTTTATTTATTGCTCAGATTGTTCCATATTTGGCATTAGGAGCTGCTTATGTTGGTCCCTGCATTGTTTCAGCAAGCCCATGTTTCTTGAGTACTTCCCAAGTGTCAGTAACCCACTTTTGCAAAGGCATAACCTTATCAGAGGTATGAGGTAGCATGAGTTCATGTTGAAACTGAACTATCTCAAGCTAGTAATTTGTGCAGTGTTTGAAAGATGTGGCTGTGTTTCCCTAGAAATTTGAGAAAGCCCTTGTTGCCCCTGTGAGTTCACTCCAATGTCCTCTTACCTTTTGCAGTTTGAGATATGCCAGCTTACATTTGTTTATGGAGTATCACTTAACACAAGCTTGTCCAACCTGTGGCCCAGGACAGCTTTGAATGCGGCCCATCACAAATTCGTAAACTTTCTTAAAATATTATGAGTTTTTTTTTTTTTTTTGCAATTTTTTTAAGCTCATCAGCTATCGTTAGTGTTAGTGTATTTTATATGTGGCCCAATACAATTCCTCTTACAATGCAGCCCAGGGAAGCCAAAAGATTGGACAACCCTGAACACTTCTAATTTATAAGTGAGTTTGAGCAAGTGTTTGTGTTATTAAGACAAATGTTATTAAATGCATCGCTCATAGGGAATTTCTTAAAATTCCCAGTTCTATTAATGTACTTCCAAAATAATCTTATGTTTTACATTAACATCCAGTATTTTATGTTACATGATTTTTAGTACTTACTTTTAAAACTTTCTCCTTTTTAAAGCTTTTACTGAAATTTCAAAATTTCAAAATCCTCACTGAATTTCTCCTCACTGAAAAGAAATTCTGGAAACTATACAGTGATATTGCATGGAGGCACATTTTAGAAATGGTATTGTTATAAATATATAAAGATGTATTTATAATGATTTATTTATAAATAAAGGATTTTTGAGATTAATATTTTTGTCCTTGTTTCAATATGTAGAATTGGTGGATCCAAATATTTTTATCCAGCCCATCACAGAAGAACGTGCTTCTAGGACTTTGTATCGCATTGAACTTCTAAGGAAAGTACGGGAACAGGCCCTTCGACATCCACAGTTGTTTGAACGCTTGAAGCTTTGCCATCCAAATCCAGATTTACCAGTCTGGTGGGAATGTGGCCCTCATGATAGGGATTTGCTTATTGGTGCTGCCAAACACGGGGTGAGCCGAACAGACTATCACATTCTTCGTGATCCTGAACTCTCATTTATGGCAGCTCAGAGGAACTACAGTCAAAGTAAGATGGCTCATTCAAGGACTTCTACCCCACTTCTACAGCAATATCAAGTAGCACTTTCTGCTTCTCCTCTTACCTCTCTACCTAGGCTCCTAGATGCTAAAGGTATTATTCTAGAGGAGATGAAAGTTAAAAGTGAAAACCTTAAAGAGGAGCCTCAGTCTTCTGAAGAAGAATCTATGTCTTCTGTGGAAACCAGGACACTAATAAAATCTGAGCCTGTAAGTCCAAAGAATGGTGTTTTACCACAGGCTACTGGAGACCAGAAATCTGGTGGAAAATGTGAAACAGACAGACGCATGGTTGCAGCCAGAACAGAACCCCTAACTCCAAACCCAGCTTCTAAGAAACCAAGAGTCCACAAAAGGGGATCAGAATCTAGTTCTGATTCTGACTCAGATTCTGAGAGATCATCTTGTTCTTCCAGATCATCTTCTTCCTCATCATCCTCTTCTTGCTCCCACTCTCGATCAGGCTCTAGTTCTTCTTCATCTTCATCTTGTTCTTCAGCATCTTCTTCATCCTCTTCCTCCACCTCTTCCTCCTCCTCCTCCTCTTCATCTTCATCAGAAGAAAGTGACAGTGATGAAGAAGAAGCCCAAAAACGAGGTACTATGCATAAAATAATTCTACTTTTTTAACATAACTTTTCTTTTCTTTTCTTTTCTTTTCTTTTCTTTTTTTTTTTTTTTTTTGAGATGGAGTTTTGCTCTTGTTGCCCAGGCTGGAGTGCAATGGCGCAATCTCAGCTCACTTCAACCTCCACCTCCTGGGTTCAAGCGACTCTCCTGCCTCAGCCTCCCAAGTAGCTGGGATTACAGGCATGTGCCACCATGCCTGGCTAATTTTGTATTTTTAGTAGAGACGGGGTTTCTCCATGTTGGTCAGGCTGGTCTCAAACTCCCGACCTCAGGTGATCTACCCGCCTCAGCCTCCCAAAGTGCTGAGATTACAGGCATGAGCCACCAGGCCTGGCCTAATATAACTTTTCAAGTGAAAATGAAAAGAACTCGTTTCAGGTAACTTAAGGATGTTTAAAATTGTTTGCTTACAGTGTTTTTTTGAAACGGAGTCTCGCTCTGTCGCCCAGGCTGGAGTGCAATGGCACGATCTCAGCTCACTGCAACCTCTGTCTCCCAGGTTCAAGCGATTCTCCTGCCTCAGCCTCCTGAGTAGCTAGGATTACAGGCACCCACCACCATGTCCAGCTAATTTTTGTATTTTTGTAGAGACAGGGTTTCACCATGTTGGCCAGGCTGGTCTCGAACTCCTGACCTTAGGTGATCCGCCCGCCTTAGCCTCCCAAAGTGCTGGGATTACAGGCATAAGCCACCACACCTGGCCTGTTTGCTTAAGTTTTATATATACAAATGTTCTTAGGAAAGCACTATTGGGAAGAAAACTAGTTACTGATACAAATTCCCTGTTTAATATTCAAGGCATTACACAGTAGATTAATCAGGCAATTGAATTAGAAATTTTACACAGTAGTTTATTTGTGATTGTCTTAAATTGAATATTTTTCCCAGGAACAAGTTGATTAGTGAACAAGTAAAAGATAATATTATATAGCAGTCACCAAGAGTCTTAAGCTAATGAGAATATCATAAGCCATTTATTTGTCAGCCATGACAAATGCTTGTCAGCAGAACAGTGTTTGGTGGTCCCCTTCTGCAGGAACCCTTGCAGCAGTCCACCAGTTCAGGGGCAAGAAAATGAGTCCAATTAAACATGAGCAGGAGCTGGGGTCTCTTGTAACAACTCCATAGGCATAACTTTCGGGGTTGCCGCAAGAAACATGCCCAATTCTAAGAGTTACAAGAGTCACCTAATCAAGAGAATTATGGTATCCTCATCAGGTATTTATAGTTCTGCCAATCCAGATGAAGTCTACCAATCAGGAATCATTTTAAAAATAGTGAGTAATGAAGTCAGGCGTAGTGCACACCTGTAATCTGAGCTACTTGAGAAGCTGAGGCAGGAGTATTGCTTGAGCCCAGGAGTTCTGTCCAGGCTGTGCAACACAGCAAGACCCTGTCTCTTAATAATAATGATAGGTGCTTTTTTTATATTCTAGGTGATTTTTTCTCTTTTTTTATCATTTGTTTTTACTTCTAACATTTTCATTTTCAGGTGTTTCTGAATAATTATGTAAAATCCTTATATATAAAACTATTTTATGTAGTCTTTTTAAAAAATGATTATAATTGTTTTTAGCAGAAAGTACTACTCACATGAAAGCCTATGATGAAGAAAGCGTCGCGTCACTGAGCACTACCCAGGATGAGACTCAGGATAGTTTTCAGATGAACAATGGGACACCAGAGTCTGCTTATATCTTACAAGGTGGATATATGCTGGCAGCCTCGTATTGGCCAAAGGTAAAGAAATAATTTCTTATTGGGATAGGTCATTTTTTAGTATTTTTCTATATTGCTTCAATGGTAGATATTCTTACTATGTGGAAACATAGGTCAGCGTAAAATGTAGGATGACATTTTGGTGTTAGCTCCAAAAGTATAAATTACTGCTATCAAGTAAATAGTTCTGCTTTAATGTGTATGCTTCTCAACATAACTTTAGAATGTTTAGAATAAAAGATAATGAATCCTTACTTTCAAGTTAATCCTAAAGTGCTTCTTTATGAAACAGGTGCTTTTGACTGAGTCTCCTTGAAGAAGTTTACTGTAGCCAGTTGTGACCTAGAATGAAAAGTTCATTTAAATACATGTACATTCAGTGGAAGAAGAAAGATTGAATTAATACAGATTTTCTTCCTTTTTTTTTGAGTCTCACTCTGTCGCCCAAGCTGGCTTACAGTGGCACAATCTCAGCTCACTGCAACCTCCGCCTCCCAGGTTCATGCAGTTCACCTGCCTCAGCCTCCCAAGTAGCTGAGATTACAGGCACCCACCACCCTACCTGGCTAATTTTTGTATTTTTAGCTGAGACAGGGTTTCACCATGTCGGCCAGGATGGTCTCGAACTCCTGACCTCAAGTGATCCGCTTGCCTCGGCCTCCCAAAGTGCTGAGATTACAGGTGTGAGCCAGTGCACCTGACCAATTTTTCTTCCATTATGTGACTAGACTAGTGCTGGAATACTTACCTTTAAGAATGAGGTTGGGAAATGGGAGAATGGAGGGTTTTCTCCTCTTCTGTGTACGTCTAAGTTGTTTGAACTTATTAGGAGTCTGTATTACTTTTTAATTATAACAGCAAAAATAAAACTATCTTTGTGGTATAATTTTTTGTCTGTTTGTTTGTTTGTGAGACACGGTCTTACTCTGTCACCCAGGCTGGAGTATAGTGGCACAATTTTTTAATTTTTTGCAGAGACAGGGTTTTGCTATGTTTCCCAGGCTGGTCTCAATCTCCTGGCTTCAAGCACTCCTACCACCTTGGCCTCCCAAAGTGCTGGGATTACAGACAGGTGTGAGCCACCACGCCTGCTTATGGTATAATATTTTTGAACTTCACCAAAGGGAATCTGTACTCAAATAACTTGTTGCAGAATTGTAATATATATATACACGAGAATATGTATGCATAGCACATACACATATGTTGAACTAGGGTTAAATCCATAGACTCTTGAGCTATTTGATCTCCAAAGGTCTGATCTAATTATTAAAATTACACTTTGATGTTGCACGCTTTTCTAGGATCGTGTGATGATCAATAGGTTGGACAGTATTTGTCAAACAGTTCTGAAAGGAAAGTGGCCTTCAGCTAGAAGAAGTTATGATGCTAACACAGTGGCTTCTTTCTATACCACAAAACTGCTGGACAGCCCTGGAGCAGCTACAGAATACAGCGATCCCAGTGTACCCACTCCCCCAGGTGCCGGTGTTAAAGAAGAACATGATCAGTCAACACAGATGTCAAAGGTGAAGAAGCATGTACGAGAAAAGGAGTTTACAGTGAAAATCAAAGACGTATGTGTATTTTTATTGCCCTAGGGCCTGATTGCGATTGCGGTGTGCAGCATGCTTTTCCTGCAAATGGCTGCCTGCTCTTACTCTTCCTTCCTTCACATACCTGTTTCTTGGTATTTGGATTATTTTCTTTCTGATATCCAGGTTATTAAACTTGAATATTCTACTAGAGGGATCGTCATTAAATATGTTTTTCTCTTTATGCTTCTGAAAATAGTTCTAATCAAAATGCTTTCTTAAACAGTGTGGCAATTTCTAATTGTTTTGGTTCTTTTATATAGTATTTAAATAGTATGTCAGTGTACTTTCTGTTTTAAACATTTAGCATGCCCTGTTATCAGTATTGTTTCATTTTTAAATGATTTTTGAAGCTTAACTTATTACTTAGTGTCTAAAACATAGTTAATGTCCTCCAAAATGTCATATGAATAATGTACATAGAGATGTATGTCTAAAGTTAAAAATGTTACAGTGTACTAGTAACATCTTGTTTTGGTCAGAAAAGTGTGTAGAGTACTTGTATTTTTTTCA
Organism: Homo sapiens; assembly: GCF_000001405.40. Lineage (NCBI taxonomy): Eukaryota > Metazoa > Chordata > Mammalia > Primates > Hominidae > Homo > Homo sapiens. The sequence goes on from NC_000016.10 coordinate 53,308,485, forward strand.
TTCAAAATAGAAAATTTGGTGTTATTATAGAAATTGATTTAAAATGTTTTTATTTGACTGATTTATGAATGAGAAATGAACTTCTTTGATGTTTCAGGATTTTTACTTCATTTTTTTTCCTCAGTAAAAAAATTCTCTTAATATCCTGCAATAAGATTTTTTTTAACAGTTTCTGTCTTAATAATGGTATTTGTTTAACAGGAAGGTGGTTTGAAGTTGACATTTCAGAAGCAAGGGCTTGCTCAGAAAAGACCATTTGATGGTGAAGACGGTGCTCTGGGGCAGCAGCAGTACCTCACTCGGCTTCGAGAGCTTCAAAGTGCATCAGAGACCAGCCTCGTCAATTTCCCAAAATCCATACCAGTATCAGGTGAATATGCAAGTAATAATTGTCTTACTATGAAATATTTTCTGTCATGTCCAAATCTTCTTTTATAGATGCTTGTAATAAAAATTTATTTTTCCTTTGTTGGAACCTCTTAAGCCTATAAAGTAATCAATAGAATTTTAAATCTTAACAAATATTTTTTGGAACTTTTAACATGACATTTTAAAGCATAAAGGGCAGTTTTCATTTTGGGGCCTAGAGTAGTTGTGTGGGAACATCATTTTGTCAAGTTGCCTCATACAGGTAAAAGTTCAAACTGCATTTCAGTATCACAAATTAATGGTGATTGGTAGAAGAAATTAAAAAGAGAAGTTTTAGAAAAACTTTAGAGATTGTACAGTCCAGGCATCTTCAGGATACAGGTGTTATCTATGACTAATCCCTAAAAGGTAATTATTCATCCTTAGGGAATACTTACAGAAACAAGGTTCCTTAAATAGCCCTTTTTATTATTGGGCAGCTCAAATTGTCAGAAAATTCCTCTATTTAGAAGTAAATTTTGCCTCCTATAGGTTCTTCTCAATTATCGAAGTTCTGTCTTTAAAAGGCAATGCATAATTAACCTAATCCTGTGTCTACATGATAAATCTTAGCATTTTGAAAGCAATTATCAGATCTCCCCTACAAACTATCTGTCTGTCTTCTAATCTTTTGGCAGTTTGAATCAACACATATTTATTAAATACCTAATTGGTGGTGCCCTGTGCTGTGTACTCCGTAGGCATTGAGGAATGCATTAGACATTGGTTTTAGTTTTTGTTTTGTTTTGGATTTCTGTTGAGATAGTGTCTCACTATGTTGCCTAGGCTGGTCCTAAACTCCTGACCTCAAACGATCCTCCCACCTGGCCTCCCAAAGCTCTGAGATTACAGGCATGAGCCACCACGCCCAGCCTGTTTTTGTTTTATCTTAGTACTTTAATTTATCTGTGTTCCTCTAAAAGTGTGATGTCAAGAATTGAGAATGAAAATTTAAAAAAAAAAGTTGAGAATGGTACTCAAGATTAACTGAGTCTTAATGCGTGGACCACAACATACTGATCTCCTAAAGTACTAGTTGTCAATTCAAGCAAATAAGTGTCTTGAATTTCCCTTCCTTGTGCATAAAGTTAAAGACTGTACTTCAGTATTCTACTAAGTCTAGTTGCCAAGCAATACATGCTGTATTATAAGTGTTGTCTTGAACTGATCACTATTTCCAAATGCTGCTATTACCACTTCTTAAATTATAAATTAGTTTAGCTTCATCAGCATCAGTTTGGTCTCTTGTGGATTCATTAACCATTCAATGTAATTTTCCAATTAGTAGAACTTCAGACATGTATGAATTGCACTTCAAATATGAATCACCCATGCTTCTATTACTGTAGAATAAATCCCCCAAATTATGCTTTACAATTACAGTCGCCCAAATTATACCTTACAATTAACAATTTTGTTATCAAAGGAGCCCTTTTTTTTTTTCACCAGAAAATGGTAACAAATGGGGAAGATAAGCTGTGCGTTCTTTTGCCCAACCTCAGTGGGGCTTAATAATACCACTACTCTTACTGTTTAAAACTCCACTGTAAAGTGAGATTGATACTTCTATTGCCTGAACATTTTATTGCTGTTGCAGCTGAAGATTGTATAGCTTTTGCCTGTAAGTCATTCTTTGGTAAATAATACTGTTTTTTAATAATATCAATAGTAGGGGTCCGGTGTGGTGGCACATGCCTGTAATCCCAGAACTCTGGGAGGCCGAGGCAGGCGGATCACCTGAGGTCAGGAGTTCGAGACCAGCCTAACTGACATGGTGAAACCCTGTCTGTACTAAATACAAAAAAAAAAAAAAATTAGCGTGGTGGCGCGTGCCCAGATTCCCAGCTACTCAGGAGGCTAAGGCAGGAGAATCGCTTGAATCCGGGAGGCGGAGGTTGCAGTGAGCCGAGGTCGGGCCATTGTACTCCAGCCTGGGCAACAAGAGCGAAACCCTGTCTCAAAAACAATAATAATAATAATAATAATAATAATAATAATATCAATAGTAATTGTGCCAAGCGTGGTGGCTCACACCCGTAATCCCAGGACTTGAGGAGGCAGAGGCAGGAGGATTGCCTGAGTCCAGGAGTTCAAGACCAATCCTGGCAACATAGCAAGACCCATCTCTGAAAAAAATTTAAAAATTAGCTGGATATGGTGGTGTGCCCCTGTAGTTCCAGGTACTTGGGAAGCTAAGGTGGAAGGATCACTTGATCTCAGGAGGAATACCTGAGCCATGGTTGTGCCACTGCACTCCTAGGTGACAGAGCAAGACCTGTCTCAAAAAAAAAAAAAAAAATTGTAACACGACTTTTGCAGCTATACAAAATATTTAAAATCTCAAGTATTCACCCTAGATAGAGTTATTATCTAAGCATTTTATCTTATCCATCTTAATAATTGCAAATATGAAATCTAGATCTTTATTCCTATGTTACTTTTGGGAAATCTGTTAACATTTTTGAGCCTTACTTTTCCTGTTTGTGACATGAAGGGTGTGGGGATGACAGAGATGGCATTGTTAGATGGGTTAAATAAAACAATGTATATAAAGTGGCCAATAAAGAGCTTGGCACACAATGGGATGCCAAACAGATGTTAAAATATGTACTCATAGATTTTAGAATTAGATGTTTAACAGATGCTATTATTAAAATTCTTCATTTTCCAAAGGCTGTGCCTTTTGTATTCTTGTGTAATTACCCCTTGGAAAGCCTTGAGTAAAGATACCAGATGTAGTGTAATTTCATTAATGAAGGAGAGTAAAATAGCATAGATTATAACAAGAGGACAAAACTGAAGAGCTCATTCCAGAAACTACCTGGAATAGTGAATAGAGGATGGCAGAGCCAAGCAACCTGGGGTTTTTAATTCTGTCATTTACTGGCTATTGTGACATTGAGCAAGTGGCTTAATGTTCCCATCTTATTTATAAAATGAGCTTAATAATCCCTCTTCTGTTTTGTTTTTGATGATTTGAGATAGCATTTGTAAAGCTTAGTACAGTATCTGGCACTTAGTAGGCATTCAATACAAAAAAAGCTATTTTTAAAATAGTGTTAATTACATCTAAAATAAAGACAACACAGACTTCAAAGTTAAATCTTACATTTGGATTCTGGCTTAAATGAATTGCTAATGTTTATTAAAATCAGCCTCAGAAATAAGTCAGGGTAGTATATAATTAAAATGAAGAGTTAGTCAAATAGAATATGTTTGTAAATGTACACAGTATTGTAAATGTACAATATTGGTAGAAACCAGATGTTTTTTCATAGATAATTATATTAAGTACTTCTATTTTTTATGTAGTACAGGGATAGCACTAAAGGTAAAGTAAAAGAAATGTAGGACACTATCTCTTCCTTTTAGTTGATTGGTAGACAAGACCTGCACATTAAAATATTAGACAATACATTCAATATTTTGCTACACAGAACATTATAGTTAATAAACGTTGGAAAAGAGGAAAGTCATTGCTTTCTGGAAACTTAGCCAGAGTCCTGTGGAAGAGATGGGATTGAACAGGATTTGATAAGAGGACAACAAAATAATTGTCTTTCTAGAAAATAGGGTTGTCAGAAGGGGTAAAAGAAGGGCAGGGAATAGCATGAAACAGAGACTAGATGTCAGGAAAATGGTATGATTTTGTGGTAAGACTGACCTTGCTAGTGTGTAAATTCTTACTGGGACAGATGTGTAGATCAAATCTTGCTTAGGAAAGCTAAATCTTAAGTTATGAAAAGCATCAAAAACAGATCTAGGGCAGGGGTCAGAGGTTGAGAATCATGTTGATTCAAGGCAGTTCATTTATATTAGAATAGGAAGCCATGAGAAGTATGAAACAGAATGGTTACTTACCATATGAATTAAGTACCTTTTTGAAACTGAGATGGGAGGAAGGTTGTGACTTCTGTGAAGTTACACAGCTCGCCAGAAGGCAACACCTTCTTCAGGAATACCCAGGACTTGCTCAGTAAATTCTCCTTGAATGACTGGAAATGCATTTTTCATTATAAACATGTAAACTATTTTAAACAAGCATCTCACCTTTAATAATACATCCTTTTAATAAGAGAATTCAAGATTATGTACTCTTTAAGGAAAAGTGTTTTATTCATCTTTGAACCATCATACTGCATAGTACATAGCTGCTTAATAAAATATCTATTAGAAAAATTGATGAATGCATGGAACTGTTTCATTCATACCCCTTACATTTTTGTTGAGTGCCTACTGAAATGAAAGAAGTCAGTCTAATTTGGTGACTAAAAAGTTACTGGTATCTTAAAGAAAATACCTTAAGTAGGTTGGGGCAGGAATGGACTAGGGAAATCCAAGAACTAGTTACTCATGAAAAAAAAAGAGCACAAGAGAGATCAGTCTTTTAAAAGTTCTGATGTTATAAAAAGGACAAAGTGTTTTTTTTCTGAGACAGAGTCTCATTCTGTTGCCCAGGCTGGAGTGCAGTGGCATGATCTCGGCTCACAGCAACCTCCGCCTCCCGGATTCAAGTGATTCTTGTGCCTCAGCCTCCCAAGTAGCTCGTATTACAGGTGCCCGCCACCACGCCCAGCTAATTTTTGTATTTTTAGTAGAGACGTGTTTTTGCCATGTTGGCCAGGCTGGTCTTGAGCTCCTGACCTCAGGTGATCTGCCCACCTCGTCCTTCCAAAGTGCTGGGATTACAGGCGTGAGCCACTATGCCCGGCCAAAAGTTTAACATTTGTTTGTTTGAGTTAGGGCATATTTTTAAGTTTAGAAAAATCTGGCCAGGTGCGGTGGCTCACGCCTGTAATCCTAGCACTTTGGGAGGCCGAGGCCGAGGCCGGTGGATCACAAGGTCAGGAGATCAAGACCATCCTGGCTAATATGCTGAAACCCCGTCTCTACTAAACAAATACAAAAAAATTAGTTGGGCGTGGTGGTGGGTGCCTGTAGTCCCAGCTACTTGGGAGGCTGAGGCAGGAGAATAGCATGAACCCAGGGGGCGGAGCTTGCAGTGAGCCAAGATCGTGCCACTGCACTCCAGCCTGGGCGACAGAGCAAGACTCCGTCTCCAAAAAAAAAAAACAAAAATCAAAAAAGAATAATGTAGAAAAAGATATTTGGCACAAAAAGCAGAGATAAATGATTTTTTTTAAAAAAACAAGCTTTTGAAAGTATAGGAACTAATGGGTTCAAAGAAAGGGGAAATGTTTATCTTAGGGAAAAGGCATGCTTCCTTCTCCAAGGAAGGAAGAGAAAATGTGTGAATATCGGGAAAAAAAATAGAGAAGACAGGTCAAAAATTGAAAGAGGCCTAGGTTGTAATTCTTCAGGTTTTTAAATGAGAGGTGGGGATGATATTTTTAGTCCAAAAGTTTCTACATTAAAGATGTATAAAATAAGAACTAACACTTTCATATATTTAGGAAAGGGATTACTTTCAGTTTGTTTAAGAACTAAATTTGTATCACCATTTTGCATTTTTAATTCAATTAGGTACTTCCATTCAACCAACCCTTGGTGCCAATGGTGTGATATTAGACAACCAGCCTATAGTCAAAAAAAGGCGAGGAAGGAGGAAGAATGTAGAAGGTGTTGACATCTTCTTTTTTAACAGAAATAAACCACCTAATCATGTAAGTAAAGCAGTACTTAAAAACTGATCCTTGAATTCAAAATTCAATCCTAATAAATATACATATTATTGTTTTGTGAATGTTTTATAGACTATTAGTAAGGAAATTAGAAGTATGCCATATAATTTTAGATGATATCTTAGAATCTTAGCACTGTCCAAGAGTGATAAAAATTTTAAGTTTAAAAGATTTAGCAGAATTTTTAGCAACAACTTATTTTTTCTCTTCAAAAATAATTGCTTTATTGAACCAATATTAGAATGATAAAGTATGAAAATAAAGATACCATTTGGTGTTTTTTTACAGGTTTCTTTAGGCTTAACCTCCTCACAGATTTCCACAGGGATAAATCCAGCACTATCCTATACTCAACCTCAAGGAATTCCTGATACAGAAAGTCCAGTTCCAGTTATTAATCTTAAAGATGGAACGAGACTTGCAGGAGATGATGCACCAAAGAGAAAGGATTTGGAAAAATGGCTTAAGGAGCACCCGGGTTATGTGGAAGATTTGGGAGCTTTTATTCCTGTAGGTGACACCTTAAAATTCTTGTTATATTTTATTTTTATGAGTTGTCAGATCTATCATGATGAAGCATAAATTCTCATCCACTTATGCTAAATATGTGCTCTGCCTAAGACCTAGGAGAATTAGCAGAAAAAATAATTACCATCCTTCCCATGATACAATACAATGTTATTTTCCATTTTTCCATTCTGCATTCAATGAGTATTTAATAATAAAAATCACTTCCAATATAGAGTACTATGTTAGACCCAGTGAAGGTTGCTAAGGTATAAAACTTCCAATCCTTTCTCAAGCAGTTTATTTTAAAATAATAATGATTATAGTAAACATGTATTGAAACTTAACTATGTGCCTGCAGTTATGCTGACATACTTAGGCACACCACATGCATTACCTCATTTAACACAATAACTTTATTACGTGGCATTGTTATAACTGTTTTTTGTTTTTTTGAGACAGAGTCTCGCACTGTCACCCAGGCTGGAGTGCAGTGACGTGATCTCGGCTCACTTCAACCTCTGCCTCCCGGATTCAAGCGATTCTCCCACCTCAGTCTCCTGAGTAGCTGGGACCACAGGTGCACACCACCATGCCCAGCTGACTTTTGTATTTTTCATAGAAACAGGGTTTCACCATGTTGGCCAAGGCTGGTCTCAAACTCCTGGCCTCAAGCAATCCGCCTGCTCAGCCTCCCAAAGTGCTAGGAATACAGACATGAACCACCGCACCCAGCCTATAACTGTTTTATAAATGAAATTAAAACACCAAAGTTTTAAGTAAATAGTTCAAGTCCACTCAGCAAACAGACTCTTAAATCTGGAGCCCAAACTGCTCCTCTTAAGCTCTTCTTCAAGCTATGAGTATAGCTTCTATGCCCCTCCAGATGCACAATGAGTTTATTTTAATCAAAGATGAGGCTGGGCATGATGGCTCATGCCCGTAATCCTAGCACTTTGGGAGGCCGAAATGGGCAAATCACTTGAGTTCAGGAGTCTGAGACCAGCCTGGCCACAGGCCACCACATCCAGCTAATTTTTTCAATTTTTATTTTGTAGAGACAGGCTCTTACTGTCTTGCTCAGGCCGGTCTCAAACTCCTGGCTCAAGCGATCCTCCTGCCTCAGCCTCCCAAAGTGTTGAGATTACAGGTGTGAGCCACCACACCTGGCTAAATATTGCAATCCTAAAAATAATGGGAATCCTGAGTTGAACACTGTAACTTCCTAACATGTTCAAGATAACATTCATTTATTCAGTTAACAATTTTTTATTGAGGGATTACTATGTACTACTTATTATTTTAAGAGATTGAGGATATAGCAGTAAACAATATAAAGTTTTTGCCCTCATACCTATACTCTAGACTCTGAAGAATTCTCATACCTTTCTCTTTATCACTGCAAAAGGGCCTTTATTAACTTTTTAAACTTGTATATCCATTCATCATTTCACCTGCAAATATTTTATCATAATATTTTATATTACTTTATTGTAAAGATTTTGAAAACATATTTTTAAGGGCAGCATTTGTTCCTCTAAAGATTATAAGATGTAATTTGTCTGCTTTCCCAAGGAAAAGCATTTTCCTTTGTAAAAATCACCTTACATTAATGATTTCTTGGATCTCACACTCTATTGTAGTATTTCTGTAGCTAAACAATTATAACATGGTGGAGAGTATACTATAATAAAGTTATGTATAAAGTCTCATGGGAACAGATGTAAGAAAAATTAACTGCCTAGGCAGTTTCTGAGGAAAGATAAAGAAAATAGAGCCGACATTTGTCTCGTGGATGAAAAAAGAGTAAGTAGGCATTGACCAGGTTAACACAAGAAGAGGATGTTCTAGGCAATATAGAATTATTAAGAAGATGGCCGGGTGCGGTAGCTCACGCCTGTAATCCTAGCACTTTGCGAGGCCGAGGCGGGCAGATCACCTGAGGTCAGGAGTTCAAGACCAACCTGGCAAACATGGTACCCCATCTCTACTAAAAATACAAAAATCAGCTGGGCATGGTGGCGGGTGCCTGTAGTCCCAGCTACTCGAGAGGCTGAGGCAGGAGAATCTCTTGAACCCGGGAGGCAGAGGCTGTCATGAGCCAAGAGCAAAACTCCATCTCAAAAAAAAAAAAAAAAAAGAAAAGAGGATAGGACTGTAAGCCATATTCATAAAACAGTGACTAGTCTAATATTCCAGAGTACGTGGAGGAGTGAGTGGGGTAATAGTAAATAAACAATGAACAGAAGAGGTGAATTGAATAGGTTCAGGCCATGATGGGACTGGTATGCTAAGCTGAAGAGTTTGAGTGTTGATTTCCTGAAAATATTTTTAATTGGCTGGAAATACCTGCAAACATTAAGCCCTGTTTTGTTAATAGTTGTATAGAGAAGTAGCATGGTTTGATTGGATGAGTTTTTATTTTTATTGCTAGATATGAGTTGTTGGGTTCTTGCTTGTTTTTGTTTTGAGACAGGGCCTCACTTTGTTGCCCAGGCTGGAGTGCAGTGGCACGATCATGGCTCACTGCAGCCTTAATCTCCCATGCCCAAGCAGTCCTCCCATCTCAGCCCCAACAAATACCTGGGACTGTAGGCGTACACCACCATGGCAAGCTAATTTTTTGATTTTTTGTAGAGACAGGGTCTCACCATATTGCCCGGGCTTAACTTTTTTAATGAATAGTTTGAAGAAAAGATTGATGCAATACTTTTTATTAAAATAATGTTTGGCCAGGCGTGGTGGCTCACATCTGTAATCCCAGTACTTTGGGAGGCCTAGGCGGGAGGATAGCTTGAGCCCAAGAGTTCAAGATCAGCCTGGGCAATGCGGCAAAACTTTCATCTCTACAAAAAAATAAAAAAAATTAGCCAGGCATGGTAGCACACACCTGTAGTCCCAGCTACTTGAGAGGCTGAGGTGGGAGGATCACTTGAGCCTGGGATGTGAAGGCTCCAGTGAGCTGTGACCACACCACTATTCTCCAGCCTGGGCAACAGAGCAAGACCCTGTCTCAAAAAAAAATAAAATAAAAAAGTTTAGATATTTTTAAAATGTAAATAACCAAAAGGTAAATGCTATTAAATTACTTGGATCAGCTCATTTTAATATTTTGAATTGTTTTGCACAGTTAAAGACTTTAAAGATATGTCTTTATCTATATATTTTAGAGAATGCAGCTTCATGAGGGAAGACCCAAACAAAAAAGACACCGTTGCAGAAACCCCAATAAACTAGATGTGAATAGTCTCACTGGAGAAGAACGTGTTCAACTGATTAACAGAAGAAATGCTAGAAAGGTATTTTAATGTTTTTTTCTTAATCTTTTGTATTGATTCAATATTTAAGAGATCTCCAGAACACTATTTCATTATGTGGTGGTGTTTTCTAACAGACCTGGAAATGAGTTGAATCTATCAGATTTCTGAGGGAAGACATGCAGTATAATTTTATGCAGTCTAATTTCAAATCTTGCTTCATTAGCTGAGCTATTACATGAAATAAGTCATTTAACACATCTGTGCCTAAGCAGTGCCATTGCACATGATTGTACACTTATACAAGGGCACGACATCAAAAACAGTCATTCTCATCGGGGTGATTTCACCTCTCAAGGAATATTTGTCAGCGTCTGGAGACATCTTTGGTAGCCACAAGGAGAAGATGCTACTGGTATCTAGTGGGTAGAAGCCAGAGATGCTGCTAAACCTCCTACAGTACATAGAACAACCCCCTACAATACCAATTCACAATGTCTGTACTGGAAAGGTTGAGAAACTCTGATCTAAGAGGACACCACTCACATTATAGCCATCATAAATTTATATATTTATCACTGCAATTTTCTGTCAGATGACCTTAACATGTCTTTTTCTATCAAAATCATCATATTACATAATTTCTGATTGATGAAACTAGAATGTCTTGAAGTTACCTTGTAGACTAATGCCACCTTTGTGGCTTATCTTCTTTTACTGAATGATGAATGATAGAGTGGAGATTTTTCAGAAATAGACTTACATAGATTTCTTGTTTTATGTTTGGATTAATATGTTTCTCTTTTACCTCACAAAATAAACAGTAGAAACTTGTGACACTGTTTTGTATATGTATAGCTTTGACACACTTTTTTATTCTGATGAGCAAGCAACAAAATAATTAGGAAAGAAAAAATGGCGTCAGTGTAAGTACATCACATTTCTCATTGCGTTATTTTTCTCATACACTAAATTACCTTACATAGGTCTGGTTCTGATTTACTGTCTGTTAAATGCACTCACTGCTAGGATAAAAATACCCAAAAACATTTGAATTTCTCATAAGAAATATTGGAATTAGAAGAAAACTATTTTAAAATAACAGTTGTTTTAATATTGTTGGGTACACCAACTCTTTAAAGTTAATGTTAATTTTTCCCACAATTTTGTAGAGATAGCTTTTTCAGCTTTTGTTAGTATTTTAAAGTGTAGCATACATGTCTTAAGGAAAGAACAAGGTGACATTTCAGTAGCATTTTACTTAATTTTGTGCTTGTGCAGATTTTGTTACAAATCCTTCTTCTTCATCTTATACCAAAAATTCACATTACTAAATATTATGAATGAGTTTGTCTTAGCCAATTTTAAGGAAATGAAACAATTTGAATTTTTACCTGTTGGGTTTGATATTAAACATTCTAAATTTTATTTTTAATTATTGTAACTTCATGAGAGGTTTGTTCATGTTCCTTAATTTGTAGAGTTTCTAATTGTCTTGAGTCTCTCGGGTACAGGCTTAAGGATTGATGAGTTATTAAGGAAAAGAATCTACCTGCTAAATCCCCATAAACCCCCAAGAGGGCCTCCATTTTCAATAGAAGCTTAATGAAGGAGATAATAAAAAAGAGAAGACAACAGAATTACAGAGACTAAGTAAATATACTTATTTCCTTAAATGTACTTATTTAAATATACTTCTTTAAATATATTATATAAATAAATAGAAGGAGCTGGGGATGTGGTGGTGCACACCTGTAGTCCTAGCTACTCAGGAAGTTCAGGAGGGATGATTGCTTGAGCCCAGGACCTCAAGGCTGCAGTGAACTATGATCACATCACTGCATTCCAGCCTGGGCCACAGAGTGAGACCTTAAAAAAAAGTGAGTGAGTGAGTCTCTTTAAAAAAAAAAAAAAAAAAGAAATACCATGTAAGAATACTTGTGTTGGGTGCAGTGCTCAGGCCTGTAATGACAACACTTTGGGAGGCCAAGGTGGGTGGATCATCTGAGGTCAGGAGTTCAAGACCAGCCTGGTCCAACATGGTGAAACCCTGTCTCTTCTAAAAATAGAAAAATTAGCCAGGCATGGTGGTGGGCACCTATAATCCCAGCTACTCAGGAGGCTGAGGCAGGAGAATCGCTTGAACTTGAAAGTCGGAAGTTGCAGTGAGCCAAGATCGTGCCACTACACTCCAGCCTGAGCGACAGAGTGAGACTCCATCTCAAAAAAATAAATAAATACTTATAGGTAATATAACTGATCATATTAAACCTTATCTGTATCCTATCAAGATATAGTATTTAATCATTCAAAGTGGTATAGAAGAAGAAATTACTCAAGAAATATTTTTAGTCTCTAAAGGGATGTTAAATTGGTAGGTATAAATCACTTGTCCAAATGTAATGTTTTTAATTTAAATTTCAAAATATTATTTTGTCTGTGTCATATTATTACATTTTTTTCCAAATTATTTACTTATGATTGGTTAATTATACATACTTCACATATGAAAGATATATACAATTTTATACTTTTAGGGTGTCAATATATATAATCGATAACAGTATTGGTTTTTGAGACCTAGTTTTGTATCCTGACTCTAACATGTACTAGCTAACTTTAGGCAAATTATATAAATTCTCTGAGGCTCAGTTTCTTCGTTTGAAAAATAGAAATAATACTATCTCCAAAGGAGGTAGTGAGAACTAAAATAAAGTTTACATTTAAAGTACTTAGCACAATACTTGCCATATAATAACTTATATTTATTATGTGACAGGCATTATGCTAAGGTACTTGAATTGTCTCATTTTATCTTTATAAAACCCTATGAGGGAAGTATTATTGTTATCCCCATTTTACAGATCAGAAAATTGAGGCTGAAAGAGATTTACTGATTTGCTCGAGTTCACATAGCTGGTAAGTCTAACTCTAGAGGGTGTACTTTTAACTAGGCTATATGGCCTGTCCAGCATGGTAGTTATTCATTTTACTGTTCTAGTTATTCTACTTAAAACATTTAAAATTTACATTATCACATATTTATATATTACATCAGTAGTCCATAGGGTCACGGTGGGCCTTTTTAATATAATCATAAAGATTACCTAAGGTGGTTCAAAAAATATGTATTTTAAGGAAATAAACTCTGTAGAGCATACAATAAAAGCAATCAAGAGTTTTCTATGTAACAGTGTTGTAGTATTTAATCTGTTTCTAATTTACAGGTTGGAGGTGCATTTGCTCCCCCTTTGAAAGATTTATGTAGATTCCTAAAAGAAAATTCAGAATATGGAGTAGCTCCTGAATGGGGAGATGTTGTTAAGCAATCTGTGAGTATTTTACGAATACTAACTCATACATTATTTTCAAATTAGGTGCCATTCAATTATATCTTAGATTAATTATAATTAATAAAATATTCCATGAATTTGTGACAGCATTTTTCAGTTTGCAATTTTTATTTTGCAGTACATGTTGCAAATTTCTCAGATGCTTCTCAGGTTAGAACAGAAAATCAATACTGATTTGTTTTTACATTAACCTCTAAGATACCATTTGAATGATGCCACAAAGAGTAATCAAATATATGAGCAAATATGTAAGGATATTCATCATGATATACTAGTAAAAAATTGAGAATAAATTAATAGTTCATTAAGATTCTGGAAAACTATGCAATTTTTTTTCTTTTTCTTTTTCTTTTTTTTTTTTTTTTAGACAGGATCCCTCTCTGTCACCCAGGCTGGAGTGCAGTGGCGCAACCTTGGCTCACTGCAACCTTCGCCTCCTGGGTTCAAGTGATTCTCATGCCTCAGCCTTCCAAGTAGCTGGGACAATAGGTGCCACCAACACACCCTGCTAATTTTTGTATTTTTAGTAGAGACGATATTTCGCCATATTGGCCAGGCTGGTCTTGAACTCCTGGCCTCAAGTGATCCACCCACCTCAGCCTCCCAAAGTGCTAGGATTACAGGCCTGAGCCACCATTCCCAGCCTAGGCAACTATTTTAAAGAGTATATCTTAGACCTAGTGCAGTGGCTCACCCCTGTAATCCCAGCACCTTGGGAGGCCGAGGCGGGTGGATCACCTGAGGTCAGGAGTTCGAGACCAGCCGGCCAACACAGAGAAACCCCGTCTCTACTAAAAATACAAAAATTAGCCAGGCAGTAGTCCCAGCTGAGGCTGAGGCTGAGGCAGGAGAATCACTTGAACCCAGGAGGCAGAGGTTGCAGTGAGCCAAGATCGCACCACTGCACTCCAGCCTGGGCAACAGAGGCAAGACTCCATCTCAAAAAAAAAAAAAACATATCTTAGAAGAACATCTAAAGGGAGAGAAAGTTCACAGTATATTAAAATCAGTAGTATTTAAGCTCTTGGGATAGTAAAGCCTACACGTATGCTAATGGTGAATAATTAATAGATATTATTCTTACAGGTGTCCAAATGGAAAGGGCAGGCTATAAAACTAAGTTCGCTGTGATTCTATTTTTTTTGTTTCAGAAAGGGAGGTGGGGGGAATTATAGAATGTGTATAATTGCACAAGGAAAAAAATAGAACACATAATGAAATGTTAGCAATGGTTATCTCTGAATGTTGAGATGATGGATGATTTTTTTAATATTTTTTGTTGTGTTTTCTGCTATGAGCCCTGATGCCTTTGTAAAGAGAAAAAATAAGTTGATTCAGTTCAAAACAAAATTAAACAATAGTCGAATGAGTCTTGTCTTAAACCACTATCTAGAACTGCATTGTCACAAACAGTAGCCCCTCAGTAGCCACAAATAGGCACATGTGGCTGTTGAGCACTTGAAATGTGAATTAACATTAAGTGTAAAATACACAGTGGTTTTGGATTTTGAACACTTTGTTGGAAAAAAAATGTAAAATATCTCAATTTTTATAGATTACATATTGAAGTGACAATATTCAGATTATGTTCTATTAAATAGACTATTACTAAAATTAATGTCACCTGTTTCTGTTTTACCTATTTTAAATGTGGCTACTATAAAATTTCAAGTTACATATGTGGCTTACATTGTATTTCTATTAGATAGTGCTGTTCCAGTGATTCTAAACTCTTAAAACTTCTAAGAGTTCTGGGACCCAGAAAATCATGGGAGAATTACATGAAAGTAGCATAGATTGTTTTCTGTTGTCCTGGACTTTATGGTTCCCAATCTGCAAGTGCTACTGCAGGTGACCTTAACCCACTTTGAGTATCTTTTTGAGCATGGCTCTATCTCCTTTATTCCCAAAGTGACAGTAAAATAATTCATATGAAGCATCTTACTATAACCTTAACCTTTAATATTCCTTCTTTATTGTTCTTCCCAATTAGAAGGGAGCCACTTCTTTGGTCTTCTAGGACAAGTGATGGTGTGAAACATGTAAGGGTTATGGAAGTACCCATGAAAAAATTTTTTTGGACCTTATATTTTCTAGAATTATACTACAATCTTATGTTTTACAGTATGGAGGAAGGCTAAAGACCTCTTTACTCACTTATTCTGTGATAAAATGAAAAGTGGAAGAGCTGTTTGAAGCTACCACTTATATAAAATTAGGTTATTGCTATTATAATTGATTATTTAATATCAGTACAGAATAAATTTACAAATAATTACCTATTTTTCATGGTTATTTGTATGATAAGCTAATAACTCTTTATTTTATTTTCATGTAGGGATTATTAATGAATATATATTTCTTCCAGGGATTTCTTCCAGAAAGCATGTATGAACGTATTCTCACTGGTCCCGTTGTGAGAGAGGAAGTAAGCAGGCGGGGGAGACGGCCTAAAAGTGGAATTGCAAAGGCCACAGCAGCAGCAGCTGCTGCATCTGCCACCAGTGTTTCAGGCAATCCTTTGTTAGCCAATGGACTACTTCCAGGTGTGGATCTCACAACTCTTCAGGCCTTACAACAAAACCTACAAAACTTGCAGTCACTGCAAGTAACTGCTGGGTTGATGGGAATGCCTACCGGCCTTCCTTCTGGAGGAGAAGCTAAAAACATGGCTGCTATGTTCCCCATGCTGCTGTCAGGAATGGCTGGATTACCAAATCTGTTGGGCATGGGAGGACTCCTGACAAAGCCTACGGAATCTGGGACAGAAGACAAAAAGGGAAGTGACTCTAAGGAGTCAGAAGGAAAAACAGAAAGGACAGAGAGCCAAAGTTCAGAGAATGGTGGAGAAAACTCTGTGTCAAGTTCTCCTTCCACATCCTCTACTGCTGCATTAAATACAGCTGCAGCTGCCAACCCATTAGCTCTTAACCCACTATTACTATCTAATATACTTTATCCAGGGATGCTTCTCACTCCAGGCCTTAATCTTCATATTCCAACTTTGTCCCAGTCCAATACTTTTGATGTACAAAACAAAAACAGTGACTTAGGCTCGTCTAAGTCTGTAGAAGTAAAAGAAGAAGATTCCAGAATTAAAGATCAGGAAGACAAAGGAGGAACTGAACCAAGTCCTCTCAATGAAAACAGCACAGATGAGGGTTCAGAGAAAGCTGATGCTTCATCTGGATCTGATAGTACATCGTCGTCATCTGAGGATTCAGATTCTAGTAATGAAGACTGATTCCCAGACTCTGCACTTAAAATATGAACTGATTTTGGATTTTTTCTTTAATAATTAATTGTAAATACCCCAGTGTTGAGTGCATCAATAACTTACTGACCGAACATTTCAGTTATTTGTTTAGAAGTGCAAACTGCTTTCAGAGACTTTTTGCATGTAATATTTCTTAAGATTCATAAGTTTCTGAACTCGTATGTACTATCAAATACATAAAGGTGTAAAATTACAACAAAAGGCATTATAATTTTGTTGGGGGTTAATTTTATGAAAATTATGCTCAATAAGAGTTGTATATTTAATATATTTGCAGTGAACACAGAATACTTTATGCATATTACTGATTTAATTTGAATATAGTTTTACAGCCTCCTTGACACCTATAATTTACAGATCAAAACTCAGCAATAATTTGGGCAGCTAATGAATGTCATGAAAGCTGTAGAATCTACATCACCATCCATTGCTTTAATTACATGAAAATGCTCTAGTGTTGTGATGCACTGCTGATGTTTCCAATTCAGGTACAAGTATGTTTTAAAGAAGAAATAAGTTTCCCAATCAGCCAATTTAACTGGCTACCTGTTACCTCAGCTGAGTTAGTTTAGGAAGTTTACATTCGTTTCTAATTCTATACTTGTTTTCAGGGGTTTTTTAAACACATCCTATATATCATGTCAATCTGGCAAGAAATATGACTTGCTTTTTGCTGAGCTTAATTCAGATATCAGTAAAATTAAGTCATAAAATAATCATGTGTCATGTGACTTTGGCACCCTATAGACATACTTAGTTTTAACTTTTCAAAGTTTGGCCTCCTATTAGAAATAATCATGTCTCAGATGAGTAATGTCTGTTTCCAGGGTTCAGAAAAGGCAAACTCATGAAATGCCACTGAAAAGAACTTTCAACACAGCATACTTCATGTAAAAGAAATTGTTTGTTTGCTTTCTTTGTGTAGATTTCTATTTGTGTTTTATGTCATGGAAATATTCCAGAATTAACAGATAATAGTGGTAAAGTAATATGCAGATAGTCTAAATTCATTTTGAGTTTCTAGGTGTAAGCAGACTAAATGTTGCCCAGAATCAGTGTTGGGTTATCAGTTTATATTAAATATACTGAGTTGCCCGTTTTGAAAATGCACTTTGAATAATCTCAAAAAGATGTACAAGTTATACCTGTAAACCACAAAAGTGAAGCCTGAGGCTTCTGTTCAATTTCATAGACTCCTTTACCATGTAAAATTTGTCTGATATTTGATTTGTGATACAATTTCTCCTGCTAAAGCTGCTATTATTCTGACAAGGTAGAGGTCCAGGTTCACCTTTATATATATTTAAAACAATTAGTACTGAATTGGACATAAAAATATTGACATTCTAAGGAGAGATATATGTTAGCATTTTTCTGGTACTCAAATAAGTTAGTAGTAAAGTCTGCAAGGGCATAAATTTAGGGGGAAAAAGTGTCCCAGTTCTCTCCTACAGAAAAAATACTTTCAGTATGTTTTGATAAAACTGTTGCTTTGTCATGAGTTAGTCAATTGTATCAGGTTTTCCAAGACCTTTACCAGTAAATTATGTTTCTGTATGTAAAATAACCCCTTATTAGAGAGACAGTGTTATATGTATTTACAAAATTATATAAGTTCCATTGGGATTGTATTGATTTTGTATTTTCCCAAAATAGTACTTTGAATTGATAGTCCTTTATGCAATGTCTTAGCAATAGTCTCTATAATGCCCATCCAGGAGAAGTGGGTAGTAATTCTTCATCATGAAAATGATATATTACATATTTAGTATCTTCCCTTTGCAGTATTGCACTTTTGTTTAACTAGAATACACCTATGAGATAGCCAAAGTTTCAAACACAGTTATCTTAGTTTACCGGTGGAGTATTTCAACACCAACCACATTTCCCTTCCTCCCTCTAATTCTACCCACATGATCTTTATTCCTTCCTTTCGCCAATTAAAAAAAAAAAAAAGGAAAAAAAATCTGTAGATCTTGTCACTAAAATCTAATTTATATCAAATTTATGAGAGAAAGTATTTTCCTAATTATGGTCAAATAAATTTGGTTAACATCCTAGTGATTCTCTTTCTATATAATAAGGCAATTACAGTTTTCAAAGCATTAAGTCTAACATAACTTTAAACATTCTCTTAGGTTTCAAGACACTTCTATTTAATATTCATTGGGGAAAAGTTGTCCAGCTATCAGCTAAGAAAACACATGCAAATATGGTTGTGTAAAGTTAAGGGTTATAAGGAAAAAAAAATCAGTAGAATTACATAATACTAAAGTTGCAGTTGAAAGAATATCCAAGTATGTGTTGGTAGTTACTAAAAGAATTATAGCTGTTATTGCCTTGTATTTATAGCCCTTGTTTCAGGTTTTATGATTCAAGTCTTAGTCCAATCTTTCTTTTGGACATTTGCAATATTTACCAGTTGTGTTTTGTGTAGTCTGAATTTGCTTTCTGTAGTTGAGCAAACGTCTTAAAAAGTCATTTGTAATTTATTAAATTACTTTCTATGATGTTCTATAGAGCAAATGGAAGTTTAATTATTTTTTATTAAACATATTCTTTGACTACCCATGATGTCAGCCTCTGTACATGAGAATACTTTTTAAAATTGAATTTTATATAGAATTTATCTTATTCCAGTTATGAGAGACACCATAGTTGTAAATCTTTAAAAGGAAAATATACCGTGGAAGAATTTTTAAAACAAAAATTGGCTATAATTTTATCCACAGTATCTTAAATGCTGTCAATTTTTCATTTTGATTTAATTTTATTAATATTGTTCATTGTGGATATTGGTGACTGCAAAAAAAGCAAAAGCTGCTTCTTGGGCATTCAAATTGTTAAACCCCAATTTTGCAGCCCAATCTCAACTTCATGCTGAACATTAAGTATTATTTTCTTAAGTTTTTGGACTTTTAAAAAACTCAGAAATACTCAGAGATATTCCTCACCTCTTTAAGAAGTCCATTTTGGAAATCAATAATTATTTTTTTCCCTTAGTCTTAAGAGTGTTTCCTAACTCATTGCCATGGGTAGTGTTCTTCGTAAACATTGAAGAAAATAGTTTTTCCTCTAATTACACAACTAAAACAGTGGAGTCTCATACTCATTTAACTTGAACACATTCAACTACACTTTCATGTTTAGAAAACCTTTTTTTCATTTTTGTACAACATAACATATAAACACAAACCAACTGCTTCATCTAGTACTCACCCAGAGGAACAGTAGTCTGTTCCAGTGTTGGAGGAAGAATTGCCTATGTTGGACATTTTTGAGAAGAGATATGAGGTATAAAATGATGTATTCTGTAATTTGTGAGCTCTGTGAGAGAAAAGAGTGATTTTTTTTTTTTTTATAAAGACAAGGTCTTGCTCTGCCTCCCCTAGGGTGGAGTGCAGTGGTGCGATCACAGCCCACTGCATCCTTGACCTGTTGGGCTCAAGCAATCCTCCCTCCTCAGCCTCCTGAGTAGCTGAGACTACAGCATGCATCACCACAACGAGCTAATTTTTGTATTTTTTGTAGAGATGGGGTTTTGCCGTGTTGCCCAGGCTGATCTCAAACTCCTGGGCTCAAGCAGTCTACCCATCTCGGCCTCCCAAAGTGCTGGGATTACAGGTGTGAGCCACCACACCCAGCCAGAAATGATTTTTGACTACACCTAATATTCACTTTATACAATAAACTTAGAACTTAATCTCTATATAAGCTATTTATTTTAAAATTCAGAAAAGCAAAAAAATATTTAAATCATTCATAAACTAAAACTACCCAGAGATAAACACTGTCAGTAATATATTCAATCTTTTGTATATCTATGTTATTTACATGTAGTGGGTTGAGTAGTGTCATTCAGAAACTGATGTCAACCTAAAACCTCAGAATGTGGCCTTATTTTGGAAATCGGGTCTTGGCAAATGTAATTAGTTGTAGTCATGCCGGATTAGGGTGGGCCCTAAATCCAATGACTAGTGTCCTTAGAAGAAGAGCAGAAGATACTCAGAAACACTGGGAAGGCTGTTTTGTGATAAAGGAGACCGGAGGGATGTTCCTACAACTAGGGAACACCAAGGATTGCCAGCAACCACCAGAAGCTAGGAGAGAAGTAACAAGCATTCTCCTTCATAGCTTCCGGAAAGAACCAACCTTGCCAACACCTTGATTTGGGGTTTCTAACCTGAACTGTAAGAGAATAAATTTCCATTGTTTTAAGTCACCTAGTTTGTGGTAATTTGTCATGGCAGCCCTAGGAAACTGATAGCTTTTCATATTAACTCAGTGTTTTATGGTACATAATTTCTACCTGCTGTAGGCTTTGAAAAAGAAGAAAAAAAACTTGGTGCACTGCCCTTAATATACTGACCTATGTCAAATAAGAATCCTGCAATGTAATTTTTAATACATAGTATTGATTCATACAGATGTAATTTATTTAATCATTAATTTAAAATGGATATTTGGGTTTATGTAGACATTTTTGCATCCATCCCTAAATAATTTGCTTAATTCCTAGAACTGAAAATACTTCCTCTGTTTTTAAGGACTTCAGTTTATGTTTCCACGTTTATAACGAAGCTCCTAGTAGCTATTTATACTAACATTAGCAGCATACGTTTTGCGCATGCCCATTTATTCCCAAATCTTTGCCAATGCTGTGTATTGTCTTTTTAAATAATCTTTGCCAAATTAATAGGCATAAATTATATTTTGATCTTTAAAATTAACTTATTGTTCTTTTTTCCTAGTTAAAAAAAAAAAGACATCCATATTATAGAAAATCCAAAGGGACAGGGGAAGCACAAAGTAAAACCCCCATAATGCTGAATTCAGAGATAATCGTTAACCTTTGGGTAATTTTTCTTTGCATATACATAATATATATTTGAATAACAACGGAGTTATACTGTACATACCATTTGTAACCTACTTTTTTCATTGACTATATCATGACTATCTTTCCATGTCATTAAAGAATCTTCCACAACATTATTAAGGGCTTTCTGATATTCCAATATATAGATGTATTATAATTTAATACCCAATTATTGAACATTTAGATATATAATATTTCAGTTTGGGGCTACTAAACAATAAGGTGTTTCTAGTTAAATATTTGCATACATTTATGATTCTTTCATTAAATATTTAGGCATGAAATAGTTGTGTTTGAGTCTTGGAACCAGTAAGATTGTTCTATTTTATACCTCAACAGCAAAGCGAACAGGATATGCAGGATGCCTGCATTTATAATTAAATAATCTAAATATACATTACGAAGTATTCAGCTCATGTGTATCATATATATGCATTATATATCACAGGCGTTTTTTTCCTGTTTTGCATATTATGCAAACAGTAGACAAGAAAACTGGAGTGACTTTACTAATACCAGATAAATAGACTTTAAAACAAAAGAAAATTGCTAGAAATAAACATTTTATAATGATAAAAAAGGCCAATCTACTGGGAAAAATCACAATTATAAACATATATGCACTTAACAACAAAGCTGCACAATTCATGAAGCAAAAACTAACACAGTTGAAAGAAGAAGTATACAATAAAACAAGAATAGTTGGAGACTTCAATATATCCTTTATATAATGGATAATATAACTTTTTTATTTTATTATTATACTTTAAGTTTTAGGGTACGTGTGCACAATGTGCAGGTTTGTTACATATGTATACATGTGCCGTGTTGGTGTGCTGCACCCATTAACTTGTCATTTAGCATTAGGTATATCTTCTAATGCTATCCCTCCCCCCCTCCCCTGGTGTCCATGTGTTCTCATTGTTCAATTCCCACCTATGAGTGAGAACATGTGGTGTTTGGTTTTTTGTCCTTGCGATAGTTTGCTGAGAATGATGGTTTCCAGCTTCATCCATGTCCCTACAAAGGACATGAACTCCTCATTTTTTATGGCTGCATAGTATTCCATGGTGTATATGTGCCACATTTTCTTAATCCAGTCTATCATTGTTGGACGTTTGGGTTGGTTCCAAGTCTTTGCTGTTGTGAATAGTGCCGCAATAAACATTCATGTGCATGTGTCTTTATAGCAGCATGATTTATAATCCTTTGGGTATATACCCAGTAATGGGATGGCTGGGTCAAATGGTATTTCTAGTTCTAGATCCCTGAGGAATCGCCACACTGACTTCCACAATGGTTGTACTAGTTTACAGTCCCACCAACAGTGTAAAAGTGTTCCTATTTCCCCACATCCTCTCCAGCACCTGTTGTTTCTTGACTTTTTAGTGATCGCCATTCTAACTGGTGTGAGATAGTATCTCACTGTAGTTTTGATTTGCATTTCTCTGATGGCCAGGATGATGAGCATTTTTCATGTCTTTTAGCTGCATAAATGTCTTCTTTCGAGAAGTGTCTGTTCATATCCTTTGCCCACTTTTTGATGTGGTTGTTTGTTTATTTCTTGTAAATTTCTTTGAGTTCTTTGTGGATTCTGGATATTAGCCCTTTGTCAGATGAGTAGATTGCAAAAATTTTCTCCCATTCTGTAGGTTGCCTGTTCACTCTGATGGTAGTTTCTTTTGCTGTGCAGAAGCTCTTTAGTTTAGTTAGATCCCATTTGTCAATTTTGGCTTTTGTTGCCATTGCTTTTGATGTTTTAGACATGAAGTTCTTGCCCATGCCTATGTCCTGAATGGTATTGCCTAGGTTTTCTTCTAGGGTTTTTATG
Source organism: Homo sapiens (assembly GCF_000001405.40). Lineage (NCBI taxonomy): Eukaryota > Metazoa > Chordata > Mammalia > Primates > Hominidae > Homo > Homo sapiens. The sequence continues at coordinate 53,331,639 of NC_000016.10, forward strand.
GTTTTAGGTCTAACATTTAAGTCTTTAATCCATCTTGAATTAATTTTTGTATAAGGTGTAAGGAAGGGATCCAGTTTCAGCTTTCTACATATGGCTAGCCAGTTTTCCCTGCACCATTTATTAAATAGGGAATCCTTTCCCCATTGCTTGTTTTTGACAGGTTTGTCAAAGATCAGGTAGTTGTAGATATGCGGCACTATTTCCGAGGGCTCTGTCCTGTTCCATTGGTCTATATCTCTGTTTTGGTACCAGTACCATGCTGTTTTGGTTACTGTAGCCTTGTAGTATAGTTTGAAGTCAGGTAGCGTGATGCCTCCAGCTTTCTTCTTTTGGCTTAGGATTGACTTGGCAATGCGGGCTCTTTTTTGGTTCCATATGAACTTTAAAGTAGTTTTTTCCAATTCTGTGAAGAAAGTCATTGGTAGCTTGATGGGGGTGGCATTGAATCTATAAATTACCTTGGGCAGTATGGCCATTTTCACGATATTGATTCTTCCTACCCATGAGCATGGAATGTTCTTCCATTTGTTTGTATCCTCATTTATTTCATTGAGCAGTGGTTTGTAGTTCTCCTTGAAGAGGTCCTTCACATCCCTTGTAAGTTGGATTCCTAGGTATTTTATTCTCTTTGAAGCAATTGTGAATGGGAGTTCACTCATGATTTGGCTCTCTGTTTGTCTGTTATTGGTTTATAGGAATGCTTGTGATTTTTGCACATTGATGTTGTATCCTGAGACTTTGCAGAAGTTGCTTATCAGCTTAAGGAGATTTTGGGCTAAGACGATGAGGTTTTCTAGATATACAATCATGTCATCTGCAAACAGGGACAATTTGACTTCCTCTTTTCCTAATTGAATGCCTTTTATTTCCTTCTCCTGCCTGATTGCCCTGGCCAGAACTCCCAACACTATGTTGAATAGGAGTGGTGAGAGAGGGCATCCCTGTCTTGTACCAGTTTTCAAAGGGAATGCTTCCAGTTTTTGTTCATTCAGTATGATATTGGCTGTGGGTTTGTCATAGATAGCTCTTACTATTTTGAGATATGTCCCATCAATACCTAATTTATTGAGAGTTTTTAGCATGAAGTGTTGTTGAATTTTGTCAAAGGCCTTTTCTGCATCTATTGAGATAATCATGTGGTTTTTGTCTTTGTTTCTGTTTATATGCTGGATTATGTTTATTGATTTTTGTATGTTGAACCAGCCTTGCATCCCAGGGATGAAGCCCACTTGATCATGATGGATAAGCTTTCTGATATGCTGCTGGATTCGGTTTGCCATTATTTTATCGAGGATTTTTGCATCAATGTCCATCAAGGATATTGGTCTAAAATTCTCTTTTTTTATTGTGTTTCTGCCAGGCTTTGGTATCAGAATGATGCTGGCCTCATAAAATGAGTTAGGGAGGATTCCCTCTTTTTCTATTGATTGGAATAGTTTCAGAAGGAATGGTACCAGCTCCTCCTTGTACCTCTGGTACAATTCGGCTGTGAATCCATCTGGTCCTGGACTTTTTTTTGGTTGGTAAGCTATTAATTATTGCCTCAATTTCAGAGCCTATTATTGGTCTATTCAGAGATTCAACTTCTTCCTGGTTTAGTCTTGGGAGGGTGTATGTGTCGAGGAATTTATGCATTTTTTCCAGATTTTCTAGTTTATTTGTGTAGAGGTGTTTATAGTATTCTCTGATGATAGTTTGTATTTCTGTAGGATCGGTGGTGATATCCCCTTTGTCATTTTTTATTGTGTCTATTTTATTCTTCTCTCTTTTCTTCTTTATTAGTCTTGCTAGTGGTCTGGATAATATAACTTTCAATAATGGATAGAGCAACTAGGCACAGGGTCAACAAGAAAACAAGACTTGAACAACACTGTAAACCATCTAAACCTAAAAGACATCTATTAAGCATTCCACTTAATAAAGGAATAGACATTTTTCTGAAGCATACATGGAACATTTTTTAGGATAGACCATATGAAAGACTGTAAGACAAGTCTGAAAGGTAAAAGGTTGAATCATACAAAGTATGTTTTCCAAGCATGGTAGAATAAAATTAGAATTCAATAGTGAAGCTTAGAAATTCACAATTATGTGGAAATTAAACAATATACTCGAATAACAAATGGGTCAAAGAAGAACTCTCAGTGGAAATTAGAAAACATCTTGAGAAGAATTAAAACAACATTGCAAAACATGAGATGTAGCCAAAGCAGTGCACAGTGGGAAATCTATGCTAAGGAAAAAAGTCTCAAATCAACCTGACTTTCCACCTTAAGAAACTAGAAAAAGAAGATCAATCTAAACACAAAACAAGCCAAAGTAAGGAAACAATAAAGATTTGAACAGTAATTAAATAGAGAATGGAAAAACAATAGAGAAAATGAAACCAAAAGTTGATCATTTTTTTAAAAATCAATGCTATGGTTTGACTGTGGTCCTCAAATTCATATGTCGATTGGAGGTGAGGCCTTTGGAAAGTAATCTCTTGCCATGTTATGAAGCAACAAGAAGACCCTCATCAGATGCCAGTGTAATGCTCTTAAACTTCCCAGCCTCCACACCTATAAGACATAAATTTCTTTTCTTATAAATTACCCATTCTGTGGTATTTTGTGTAGTAACAGAAAATGGACTAAGGTAATCAACAAATTGACAAAACTTTAGACTGATCAACAAAAAGAAAAGACTCAAATTACTTGAATCAAAAATGAAAGAAGAGACATTCCTACTGACCTTACAGGAACATAAAGGATCATAAGGAAATATTATGAACAAGTGAATCCAACAGGTTAAATAACCTAGATGAAATGAACAAATTCCTAGAAAGACGCTACTGAAACTAAGTCAAAAAGAAATACAAAGTCTAAATAGAATTACAATAAGTAAAGAGATTTAATTACTAATTATAAGCAAACTTCCCTTAATCCTTTTGTAGTTCATGAGCGTGATGATTGGGTGTTCACACACATATGTGAGATGTGACCCCTTGAACCTTGTTACCACGTGGGCACATTACCCATCTGATATGAAAAAAAAAGCAGCTTCCCATAAAGAAAATCTGTGGCTTCACTGGAGAAAAAGTTAGCACCTATTCACAAACCCCTCTAAAAAAAGAAACAGGAAGTGCTCCCCAACTTGTTTTATGAGGTCAATATTACCCTGATACCAAAAGTAGACAAAATCATTGCAAAACAACTGCTGTCCAACATCCCTTGAGTATAGGCTCAAAAAAAATGCTGGCAAACTGAATCCATCAGCATATGAAAAGGACTATACATCACGACCAAGCTGGATTTATTCAAGAAATGCAAGGTTGATCGATGTATGAGAATTAATCAATGTGATATTACTTACCTCAACAGATGCAGAAAAATAATTTCACAAAATCCAGTACCCTTTCATGATTAAAAAATAGAAAAAAAAATTCAACAACTAGGGATAGAAGACAATTTCCTCAACCTGATAAAAGACATCTATGTAAAACCCACAACTACTACCATTCTTACTGGTGAAAGACTATTTTCTCCTAAGTCAAGAACAAGACAAAGATATTCACTCCTGCTAGCCTTTATTCAACATTATTTTGGAAGTTCTGCCCAGGGCAATAAGGCAAGGAAAAGAAAAAAAGACATGCAGATGGGAAAAGGAAGTAAAAATATCTCTGTTTCAGATGATATGATCTTGTATATAGAAAATCTTAAGGAATGTACTAAAAAAACAAAATATTATTATTAGAAAATGAATAAACAAGCTTAGCAAGGTTGCAGAATATGACAGCAATATACAAAAATCCATTGTATTCCCAGGTGGCTTCTTTGCAGAAATTGACCATTTTATCCTAAAGTTCATATAGAAATACAAGGGACTCAGAAATAGACAAAACAAATTTTTTAAAAGAACAAAGTTGGAGTAGTCACACTTCCTGATTTCAAAACTTACTACAAAGACATAATAATCAAGACAGTATTGTGTAGGAATTGATATAAACAAATGGATTAATGGAACAGAAATAAGAGTTTAGAAATAAACCCTTAACATTTATGGTTGGTTGATTTTTCTTCCAGCCTTACTGAGGTACAATTGACAAATAAAAATTGTATATATTTAAAAGTGGATGTCGTGTCTTTTTTGCTTTTTCTTTTTTTTTTTTTTTTTTTTTTTTTTTTGAGACAGAGACTCACTCTCACCCAGACTGGAGTGCAGTAATGCAAATTCCTGCAGACTCAAATTCCTGGGCTCAAGCAATTCTCCTTCAGCCTCTGAAGTAGCTAGGACTACAGACGTGCAACACCATGCCTGGCTAATTTATGTATATATATATATATATATATATATATATAGTAGAGATGAGGTCTTGGTTCTTGCCGTGTTGCCCAGGCTGGTCCTGTACTCCTGGCCTCAAGCAATCCTCTCCCTCAGCCTTCCAAAGCTCTGGGATTACAGGCATGAACCACCACATCCAGCTGATCATGTTGTTTTGATATGTGCTGTGAAATAATTGCCACAATCAAGCAAGCTAACATATCCATCATCTAACATAGTTACCGTGTGTGTGTGTGTGTTAACACTTAAGATTTACTCTCAACAAATTTCAAATATTCAATATAGTATTACTAACTGTAGTTATTATGTTGTACATTTGATCTCGACAACTTATTCATCCTGTGTAACAGAAACTTTGTACCGTTTGAATGAGCAGTTAATCTTTGAAAAGAGTGCCAAGACAATTCAATGGGGGAAAGGATATTTGGAACAACTGAATATCCATACACAAAAAAATGAAGTTGCACTCAGAATCGATCATAGTCCTAAACGTAAGAGATGAAATTATAAAACTCTTAGAAGAGGCTGAGCACGGTGGCTCATGCCTGTAATCCCAGCACTTTGGGAGGCCGAGGCAGGCGGATCACGAGGCCAGGAGATCGAGACCATCCTGGCTAACACGGTGAAACCCCGTCTCTACTAAAAATACAAAAAATTAGCCAGGCGTGGTGGCAGGCACCTGTAGTCCCAGCTACTCGGGAGGCTGAGGCAGGAGAATGGCGTGAACCCGGGAGGTAGAGCTTGCAATGAGCCGAGATCACGCCACTGCACTCCAGCGTGGGTGACAGAGTGAGACTCCGTCTCAAGACAATAAATAAATAAATAAATAAATACTCTTAGAAGAAAGCATAGAATAATCTTTGTGACCTTGAATTATGCAAAAGCTTCTTAGACTTGACATTAAAAGCACAAGTAATAAAAGAAAAAATAAACATCAAAATTAATATATTTAGTGCTTCAAAGGACACCTTCAAGAAAGAGAAGGCTGAGCGTGGTGGCACATTCCTGTAATCCCAGTACTTTAGGAGGCCAAGGCAGGAAAATTTGCTTGAGCCCAGAAGTTCAAGACCAGCCTGGGCAACAGAGAGAGACTCCAAATCTACAAAAATAATAGTAAGTAAAAAGAAAGAGAACAAACAACCCACAGAACTGGAGAAAATATTTGTAAATCATGTATCTGATAAGTAACTTGTATCCAGAACATATAAAGATCTCTTACAACTCAAAAATAAAGATAAAAACTCAATTTTAAAAGGAGCAATGGATTTGAGCAGACATTTCTCCAAAGATATACAAATAGCCAATACACACATGAAAAGGTCCTCAACGTTATTGGCCATTATGTGAATGCAAATCAAAACTAAAATGAGATACCACTTCACACCCCTCAGGATGGCCAGAATTAAAGAGACACTAAAAGTATTAGTGAGAAAGTGGACAAATTACAATTCTCACACATTGCAGGAGGGAATGTACAAAGGCATGGCCCCAGTCTATGGCTACACCACCCTGAACATGCCAGATCTCATCTGATCTCAGAAGCTGGGCAGGGTGGGGCCTGGTTAGTACTTGCATGGAAGACTGCCTGGAAATACTGGGTGCTGTAGACTTAAAGGAAAAAAAAAAGAAAAAGAAAAAAAGAAACAAAAGAAACAAAGGGAACTGTTTTCCCTTTGGAAAACAGTTTTGCAATTCCTCAAACTATTAACCATGATGTTGTTACCTATGGCTCAGCAATTCTATTCCTAGTATGTACTGAAAGAAATGAAACCATGTTCACCTGAAAACTTACAGACAAATATTTATAGCGGTATTATTCAGAATAGCCCAAAAGTAGAAACAACCCAAATGTCCATCAACAGATGAATAAATGAGATGTGTGGTCTATCCATACAATGGAATATTTAACCATAAAAAGGAAGGAGGGACTGACATATGTTGCAACAGAGATAAATCTTGAAAACATTATTCTAAGTGAAAAAAGTTGTAACAGAGCCCCTTGAAATTTCAGCACCCCAACATTTTTAGTGACTGAAATAATGAAAATTCTCATAGGCCCTTGCTTCCTTACACAAAAGCCAGCATCCTTTGTTCCCATGATATAATTATAATATAAACTGCTGATGTGCTGTTTCTTTGTCAAGCAGAAGATAACTTCAGGGTCATGAAAAAAATTTTCAGAAGAAAGGGGCAGGTGCGGTGGCTCACGCCTGTAATCCCAGTACTTTGGGAGACTGAGGCAGGCAGATCACCTGAGGTCAGGAGTTTGAGACCAGCCTGGCCAACATGGCGAAACTCTGTCTCTACTAAAAATACATAAATTAGCCAGGTGTGGTGGTGGGTGCCTGTAATCCCAGCTACTCAGGAGGCTGAGGCAGGGGAATCACCTGAACCTGGTTGCAGTGAGCTGAGATCGCACCATTGCACCCCAGCTTGGGTGACAGAGCTAGACTCCGTCCTCCCCAGAAAAAAAGAAAAGAAAAAAGAAAAAACTTTGCAGAAGAAAGAACAAAATCATGTCCTTTACTGCAACATGGATGCAGGTGGAGGCCATTATGGTAAGTGAATCAATGCAGAAAGAGAAAACTAAATACTGCATGTTCTCAATTATAAGTGGGAGCTAAACATTGGGCACTCTTGAACATAAAGATGGCAACAATAGACTCTGGGGACTTCTACCAGGGGAGGGAGGAAAGGAGACAGGAGTTGAAAAACTATTGAGTACTATGCTCGGTACCTGGATGACAGGATCATTCATACCCTAAACCTCAGTATCATGCAATATACTCATGTAACAAACCTGCACATGTAACCCCTGAATCTAAAATTAAACTTGAAACTTTTATTTTATTTTATTTTGCAGAAGGAATGAATGTCCTTTAAGGACATTGTAACCAACTGCTGTAACCCAGCAATCTGCTTATTCAAGATGTTATCCGAGACTGAAGAAACGCAGACTTTTCCCCCTCGGTTCCTTGAAACTCCCCCTACCTTACTCTCTAGCCACATAAAACTATTTGCTTTTCATTCTTGATAGACAGAATTGAGAGATTTTGCTTTTCCCACCTTCTGGTTTTAGTCAAATCAAAAAAAACCTTTCTCTCTCTCCAACCACCTGTGTGTCAGTGTTTGGCATCAACTTCACGCCAGGCACACAAGCCTGAACTTGGGGTTCTGTTTCAAGGTCAGTCACAAAAGATCACATATGATTCCATTTATATAAACTGTCTGTAATAGGTGAATCTATAAAGATAGAAAGGAGATTAGTGGTTGTCTAAGACTGGGGACATTCACATGTAACTGCTAATGGTTACAGGTTTCCTTTTTTTTTTCTTTTAGAGACAGGGACTCGTTCTGTCACCCAGGCTGGAGTGCAGTTGTGCTGTCACTCACTGTAACCTTGAACTCCTGGGCTCAAGCAATCCTTCTACCTCAGCCTCCCAAAGTGTTGAGATTACAGGCATGAGCCAATGCACTTGGCCTTGAATTGTACACTTTAAACGAGTGAATTGTATGGTACATGGACTATATCTCTAAAGGTTTTAATAAGCTAACAAAACTAAAACCTATGAACTCAAGGTAAAAAATGTTAAACTTGACCAGCCATGGTGGCTCACACCTGCAATCCCAGCACTTTGGGAGGCCGAGGCAGATGGATCACTTGAGGTCAGGAGTTCAAGACCAACCTGGCCAACATGGTGAAACCTTGTCTCTATTAAAAAAAAAAATACAAAAATGAGGTGGCATGCACCTGTAATGCCAGCTACTCGGGAGGCTGTGGCACAAGAATTGCTTGAACCCAGGAAATGAAGGTTGCAGTGAGCTGAGATTGCACCACTAAACTCCAGCCTGGCAGAGCAAGATTCTGTCTTAAAAAAATAATAATTTAAACTCTAGTCTTAATAAAAACTCACACTTTGCAACATCATAACTCCATCACACTCCTGGTGTCCATGGAGCACCTACTGAGGTAAAGACACCTCTGTCCCCTCTGTGTACCCGTTTTGCTACCCAGTGAGTCTTAGACAGTAGCAGCTTCTGCCACTAAGAGCAATCCCTGGGATTAAGAGGAAAAGCAAGAGTTCTGGACCCTCCTTTCTTCCTCTGTGCACTCACTCCCAAGGTGATCTCATCCAGTCTTTGGTACTAAATCCATCTATACAAGGACACTCCAAAAGGTATGTCTCATCCCAGACCTCCATTTCAACTCCAGACTAGTATATTTAATCTATTACCTGACATCTCCATTAAGATGTCCAAAAGATATCTCAAATTTCACAGGCTCAGAACTAGCCTCTTGATTACTGCCCTCCATATTTCAGTTGCTCAGACCTAACATCTTCATCACCCTTGGGCCTCTCTCACTCCTCCATATCCAAGCCATCAACAAGTCCTGCTAGTTCTGTATTTCTATTTTCTGGATTAAGGTGGTGGATTGTTCATATGCATATAATTTTGCATCCTCACAAATTACACTAAATTGCTGTAAAGGGAATTTTTTTTAAAAGCAAACCATATGTACAAGGAGAACAAGAGAAAGAAAATTACAGAATGTCAGAAACTGAGGCCAGGCATGGTAGCTCACACCTATAATCCCAGCACTTTGGGAAGCCAAGGTGGGTGGGTCACTTGAGCCCAGGAATTCCAGACCATCCTGGGCAACATAGTGAAACCCTGTCTCTGCAAAAAAAATACAAAAATTAGCTGGGTGTGGTGGCGCACACCTGTTGTCCCAAGCTACTTGGAGAGCTGAGGCAGGAGGATCACCTGAGCCTTGGGAGGTTGAGGCTACAGTGAGCTGTGGTTATGCCACACTACACACTCCAGCCTGGGCAACAGAGTGAGACCATGTGTCTCAAAAAAAGAAAAAGAATGTCAGAAACTGAACAGAAAATAGACCAGCGATAACTGATGAAAGACTTTTGAAAAGTTAAGTCCCAGCTCATGCTTGTAATCTCAGCACTTTGGGAGGCTGAGTTGGGAGGAGCTATTGAACCCAGGAGTTCAAGACCAGACTAGGCAATAGAGTGAGACCTCATCTCTACAATAAAATTTTTTTAAGAATTAGCCAAGCGTGGTGGTGCACACGTGTAGTCCCAGCTACTTGGGAGGCTGAGCTGGAAGTTTTGCTTGTGTCCAGGAGGCAGAGGTTGCAGTGAGCGGGATCCTGAGATCCTGCCACTGCCTGGGCGACAGAGTGAGACACTGTTTCAAAAAGAAAAAAGAAGGAAGTTAAGCCCCAAGTCAGCATTGCAGTACACTGAAAAGGTCTAGGAACTGGCAGCACAGAATTCATCTACCACTAAGCATAAGAGGGTGGTTTTTCAGAAAGTTAAAATTTCAGAACCCACTGATTCCACTGTGTTCCTCCCTCAAAGTGGCAGTGGTTTCAACTCTAGATGTTTATTATTTGGGAAGGTGTTTCTAGCCTGAGGGACTCCTGGCACAGGCAAGGATGTGGGTAAAAACAAAAGAAGGAAGGGACTGACACTAAAAACTTAATGCAGATATCTGATATCGTAATATTTTTCCTGACTTGGATCCCAGAATTCTGGCATCAAGACACCCGTTTTCCAGCAGGGGGAATCCGATTACTTTTCTCCTGAGAAAATATTTTAAAAGAGATGCTCAGCCAGGTACAGTGGCTCATGCCTGTAATCCCAGCACTTTGGGAGGCTGAGGTGGGCGGATCACTTGAGGTCAGGTATTCTAGACCAGCCTGGCCAACATGGTGAAACCCCATCTCTACTAAAAATACAAAAATTACCTGGGGTGGTGGTGGGTGCCTGTTATCGCAGCTACTTGGGAGGCTGAGGCAGGAGAATTGCTTGAACCTGGGAGGCGGAGGTTGCAGTGAGCTGAGATCGAGCCACTGCTCTCCAGCCCAGGCGACAGTGTGAGACATTGTGGGGAAAAAAAAAAAGATGCTCATCATAGATTCCAACAAACAGCCTACTCTAATTACCCTATCACAGTGGTTCTTAATGGGGGACAATTTTCCTGCCCAGGAGACATTTGGTGATGTCTGGAGACATTTGTCATGTTACAGCTTTTGCGTGGGTGGGGTGGTTTCCCCTGGCAGCTAGTGGGTAGATACTAAAACTGCCTTTGCAAAATTATAACTGAGGAAATTATGGCAGTGAAAGAAATCAGACCTAACCGACTCCATCTTGCTTCTAACCCTTAAACTGTCCTTGTTCATTCCTGGATGTCGGCTGAACTAACTTTGGGGAGGAATTCAGTTCATAGTTTAACTCTGAAACAAAATTGATAACAGCACATTCCCAAAAAGACCCCCTTCTTGCCTGGGGACCAGTCTGCCTTTGCAGGACTAACAAATTAGCTACAAGATTTGAAATTACAGTTTAGGGGTCTGCAGCCTCTGGCTCCAAGAATCTGAACCTCCCCAAATTGCTCCTGGGGATGACATCACTACTGTGAACCCTAAGATCAGTGCTTGAGATACTTTGCAGACCCTGCACTCCATGGATCAGCTGACACCACCCAGACCGGCAGTCTGGCTCAACCAGTTCTGCCATTGCACCCAGGAACAAAGACAGCAAGAAAAACTCACTTCGACCCCCTGTGATTCCATCTCCAGCCTGACCAATCAGCACTCCCCACTTCCCAAGATTCTACCTGCCAAATTATCTTTAAAAACTCTGATCCCCGAATGCTCAGGGAGACTGATTTGAGTAATAAAACTCTGGTCTCCCACACAGCTGGCTCTGTGTGAATTAGTCTTTCACCATTGTAATTCCCCTGTCTTGATAAATCGGCTCTGTCTAGGCAGCGGGCAAGGTGAACCCACTGGGCGGTTACAATACCAGCGGTGCTGCTCAACACTTTACATTGCATAAGGATCATAAACTGCAGGAGATTCCTCAGATGGCGGGAGAGGAAGGGATCCAGGAGAGAAAAGTCACTTCCTCTACTCAAAGAGGACAGGAAGCAGACAGGACCAGGATCAGGAAGGGTCTGGGTCATTACCCTCAACACCAAACATGCTTGCTATGGTTTGCATATTTGACCCTTTAGGTTGAAATTTGCTCCCCAGTGTTTGAGGTGGGGCCTATTAGGAGGTGTCTGGGTCACAGAGGTGGATCCCTCATGAATGGCCTGGTGCCCAATAATGAGTGCATTCTTTCCCTTAGCTCCCAAAAGACCTGATGTGTTGTTTCTGTTGTTGTTGTTGTTGCTTGTGTGTGTGTGTGTGTGTGTGTGTGTGTGTGTGTGTGTGTGTGTGTGTTTTGAGATGGAGTATTGCTCTGTTGCCCAGGCTGGAGTGTAGTGGCACGATCCTGGCTCGCTGCAACCTCCACCACCTCCCAGGTTCAAGTGATTCTCCTGCCTCAACCTCCCAAGAAGCTGGGATTGCAGATGCCCACCACCACGCCCAGCTAATTTTTGTGTTTTAGCAGAGACGGGTGTTACACCATGTTGGCCAGGTTGGTCTTGAACTCCTGACATCAGGTGATCTGCCCGCCTTGGCCTCCCAAAGTGCTGGGATTACAGGCATGAGGCACCATCCTTGACCTGCTTTTTATTTACTGAGACACGGTCTCACTCTTTCGCCCAGGCTGGAGTGCAGTGGCACGAACAGAGCTCACTGCAGCCCTGACCTCCCAGGCTCAAGCAATCCTCCCACCTCAGCCTCCCAAGTAGCTTACACCATAGACACGCACCACCACACCAGCTTATCTTTTTAATTTTTGTAGAGATGGGAGTCTTGCTATTTTATCCAGGCTGGTCTCAAAGCAATCCTCCCATCTCGGCCTCCCAAAGTGTTGGGATTACAGGTGCAAGTCAAGGTGCCCAGCCAAAAGCTGATTGTTAAAAAGAGCCTGGCACCCCCCTATCCTGTCCCCAGCCACCTTGCCTCTTACTTCCTCTCTCTAACCATGTGATCTTTGCATAGAACAGTTCCCACTTGCTTTCCATCATGAGTGGAAGCTCCCTGAAGCCCTCACCAGAAGCAGATGCTGGAACCGTGCTTCTTGTACAGCCTGCAGATCTGTGAGCCAAATAAACCTCTTGCCTTTATAAATTACTCAGCCTGAGGTATTCCTTTATAACAACACAAAAATGGAGCAAGACAAATGTTGTTTCTCCTGTCTTTTTTTTTTTTTTTTTTTGAGACAGAGTCTTGCTCTGTCACCCAGGCTGGAGTGCAGTGGCATGATCTCGGCTCACCGCAACTTCCGCCTCGCGGGTTCAAATGATTCTCTTGCCTCAGCCTCCCAAGTAGCTGGGATGACCGGTGTGTGCCACTATAGCCAGCTAATTTTTGTATTTTTAGTAAAAACAGAGTTTCACCATGTTAGCCAGGACAGTCACGATCTCCTGACCTTGTGATCCACCCGCCTCGGCCTCCCAAAGTGCTGGGATTACAGGCATGAGCCACTACACCCAGCCTACTCCTGTCTTTTTATTTATTTATTTATTTATTTATTTATTTATTTATTTATTTTTATTATACTTTAAGTTCTAGGGTACCTGTGCACAACATGCAAGTTTGTTACGTATGTATACATGTGCCATGTTGGTGTGCTGCACCTGTTAACTTGTCATTTACATTAGGTATATCTCCTAATGGTATACCTCCCCCCTACCCCCACCCCATGACAGGCCCCAATGTGTGATGTTCTCCACCCTGTGTCCAAGTGTTGTCATTGTTCAATTCCCACCTATGAGTGAGAACATGCAGTGTTTGGTTTTCTCTCCTTTCGATAGTCTGCTCAGAGTGATGGTTTCCAGCTTCATCCATGTCCCTACAAAGGACATGAACTCATCCCTTTTTATGGCTGCATAGTATTCCATGGTGTATATGTGCCACATTTTCTTAATCCAGTTAATCATTGATGGACATTTGGGTTGCTTCCAAGTCTTTGCTATTGTGAATAGTGTCACAATAAACATATGTGTGCATGTGTCTTTGTAGCAGCATGATTTATAATCCTTTGGGTATATACCCAGTAATGGGATGGCTGGGTCAAATGGTATTTCTAGTTCTAGATCCTTGAGGAATCACAACACTGTCTTCCACAATGGTCGAACTATTTTACAGTCCCACCAACAGTATAAAAGTGTTCCTATTTCTCCACATCCTCTCCAGCACCTGTTGCTTCCTGACTTTTTAATGATCACCATTCTAACTGGTGTGAGATGGTATCTCATTGTGGTTTTGATTTGCGTTTCTCTGATGGCCAGGATGATGAGCATTTTTCATGTCTTTTAGCTTCATAAATGTCTTCTTTTGAGAAGTGTCTGTTCATATCCTTTGCCCACTTTTTGATGGGGTTGTTTGTTTATTTCTTGTAAATTTCTTTGAGTTCTTTGTGGATTCTGTATATTAGCCCTTTGTCAGATGAGTAGATTGCAAAAATTTTCTCCCATTCTGTAGGTTGTCTGTTCACTCTGATGGTAGTTTCTTTTGCTGTGCAGAAGCGCTTTAGTTTAATTAGATCCCATTTGTCAATTTTGGTTTTTGTTGCCATTGCTTTTGGTGTTTTAGTCATGAAGTCCTTGCCCATGCCTATGTCCTGAATGGTATTGCCTAAGTTTTCTTCTAGGGTTTTTATGGTTTTAGGTCTAACATGTAAGTCTTTAATCCATCTTGAATTAATTTTTGTATAAGGTGTAAGGAAGGGATCCAGTTTCAGCTTTCTACATATGGCTAGCCAGTTTTCCCAACACCATTTATTAAATAGGGAATCCTTTCCCCATTTCTTGTTTTTGTCAGGTTTGTCAAAGATCAGATGGTTGTAGATGTGTGGTATTATTTCTGAGGGCTCTGTTCTGTTCCACTGGTCTATATCTCTGTTTTGGTTCCAGTACCATGCTGTTTTGGTTACTGTAGCCTTGTAGTATAGTTTGAAGTCAGGTAGCATGATGCCTCCAGCTTTGTTCTTTTGGCTTAGGATTGTCTTGGTAATGCAGGCTCTTTTTTGGTTCCATGTGAACTTTAAAGTAGTTTTTTCCAATTCTGTGAAGAAAGTCATTGGTAGCTTGATGGGGATGGCATTGAATCTATAAATTACCTTGGGCAGTATGGCCATTTTCACAATATTGACTCTTCCTGTCCCTGAACATGGAATGTTCTTCCATTTGTTTGTATCCTCATTTATTTCATTGAGCAGTGGTTTGTAGTTCTCCTTGAAGAGGTCCTTCACATCCCTTGTAAGTTGGATTCCTAGGTATTTTATTCTCTTTGAAGCAATTGTGGATGGTAGTTCACTCATGATTTGGCTCTCTGTTTGTCTGTTATTGGTGTATAGGAATGCTTGTGATTTTTGCATATTGATTTTGTATCCTGAGACTTTGCTGAAGTTGCTTATCAGCTAGGAGATTTTGGGCTGAGAAGATGGGGTTTTCTAAACATACAATCATGTCATCTGCAAACAGGGACAATTTGACTTCCTCTTTTCCTAATTGAATACCCTTTATTTGTTTCTCCTGCCTGATTGCCCTGGCCAGAACTTCCAACACTATGTTGAATAGGAGTGGTGAGAGAGGGCATCCCTGTCTTGTGCCAGTATTCAAAGGGAATGCTTCCAGTTTTTGCCCATTCAGTATGATATTGGCTGTGAGTTTGTCATAAATAGCTCTTATTATTTTGAGATACATCCCATCAATACCTAGTTTACTGAGAGTTTTTAGCATGAAGTGCTGTTGAATTTTGTTGAAGGCCTTTTCTGCATCTATTGAGATAATCATGTGGTTTTTGTCATTGGTTCTGTTTATATGATGGATTATCTTTATTGATTTGCATATGTTGAACCAGCCTTGCATCCCAGGGATGAAGCCAACTTGGTCATAGTGGATAAGCTTTTTGATGTGCTGCTGGATTCAGTTTTCCAGTATTTTACTGATGATTTTTGCATCGATGTTCATCAGGTATATTGGTCTAAAACTCTCTTTTTTTGTTGTGTCTCTGCCAGGCTTTGGTATCAGAATGATGCTGGCCTCATAAAATGAGTTAGGGAGGATTCCCTCTTTTTCTATTGATTGGAATAGTTTCAGAAGGAATGGTGCCAGCTCCTCTTTGTACCTTTGGTAGAATTTGTCTGTGAATCCATCTGGTCCTGGACTTTTTTTGGTTGGTAGGCTATTAATTATTGCCTCAATTTCGGAACCTGTTATTGGTTTATTCAGGGATTCAACTTCTTCCTGGTTTAGTCTTGGGAGGGTGTATGTATCGAGGAATTTATCCATTTCTTCTAGATTTTCTAGTTTATTTGCATAGAGGTGTTTATAGTATTCTCTGATGGTAGTTTGTATTTCTATAGGATTGGTTGTGATATCCCCTTTATCATTTTTTGTTGCATCTATTTGATTCTTCTCTCTTTTCTTCTTTATTAGTCTTGCTAGTGGTCTATCAATTTTGTTGTTCTTTTCAAAAAACCAGCTCCTGGATTCATGGATTTTTTGAAGGTTTTTTTGTGTCTCTATCTCCTTCAGTTCTGCTCTGATCTTAGTTATTTCTTGCCTTCTGCTAGTTTTGAATGTGTTTGCTCTTGCTTCTCTAGTTCTTTTAATTGTGATGTTAGGGTGTCAATTTTAGATCCTTCCTGCTTTCTCTTGTGGACATTTAGTGCTATAGATTTCCCTCTACACACTGCTTTAAATGTGTCCCAGAGATTCTGGTATGTTGTGTCTTTGTTCTCACTGGTTTCAAAGAACATCTTTATTTCTGCCTTCATTTCATTATGTATCCAGTAGTCATTCAGGAGCATGTTGTTCACTTTCCATGTAGTTGAGTGGTTTTCAGTGAGTTTCTTAATCCTGAGTTCTAGTTTGATTGCACTGTTGTCTGAGAGACAGTTTGTTATAATTTCTGTTATTTTACATTTGCTGAGGAGTGTTTTACTTCCAACTATGTGGTCAGTTTTGCAATAAGTGTGATGTGGTGCTGAGAAGAATGTATATTCTGTTGATTTGGGGTGGGGAGTTCTGTAGATGTCTATTAAGTCTGCTTGGTGCAGAGCTTTGTTCAGTTCCTGGATATCCTTGTCAACTTTCTTCTAGTTGATCTGTCTAATGTGGACAGTGGGATGTTAAAGTCTCCCATTATTATTGTGTGGGAGTCTAAGTCTCTTTGTAGGTCTCTAAGGACTTGCTTTATGAATCTGGGTGCTCCTGTATTGGGTGCATATATATATTTAGGATAGTCAGCCCTTCTTGTTGAATTGATCCCTTTACCATTATGTAATGGCCTTCTTTGTCTCTTTTGATCTTTGTTGGTTTAAAGTCTGTTTTATCAGAGACTAGGATTGCAACCTCTGCCTTTTTTTGTTTTCCATTTGCTTGGTAGATCTTCCTCCATCCCTTTATTTTGAGCCTATGTGTGTCTCTGCACGTGAGATGGGTCTCCTGAATACAGCACACTGATGGGTCTTGACTCTTTATCCAATTTGCCAGTCTGTGTCTTTTAATTACAGCATTTAGCCCATTTACATTTAAGGTTAATATTGTTATGTGTGAATTTGATACTGTCTTTATGATGTTAGCTGGTTATTTTGATCTTTAATTGATGAAGTTTCTTCCTAGCATCGATGGGCTTTACAATTTGGCATGGTTTTGCAGTGGCTGGTGCCAGTTGTTCCTTTCCATGTTTAGTGCGTCCTTCAGCAGCTCTTGTAAGGCAGGCCTGGTGGTGACAAAATCTCTCAGCATTTGCTTGTCTGTGAAGGATTTTATTTCTCCTTCACTTACGAAGCTTAGTTTGGCTGGATATGCAATTCTGGGTTGAAAATTCTTTTCTTTAAGAATGTTGAATATTGGCCCCCATTCTATTCTGGCTTGTAGAGTTTCTGCTGAGAGATCCACTGTTAGTCTGATGGGCTTCTTTTTGTGGGTAAGCCGACCTTTCTCTCTGGCTGCCCTTAACATTTTTTCCTTCATTTCAACTTTGGTGAATCTGACAATTATGTGTCTTGGAGTTGCTCTTCTCGAGGAGTATCTTTACGGCATCCTCTGTATTTCCTGAATTTGAATGTTGGCCTGCCTTGCTAGGTTGGGGAAGTTCTCCTGGATAATATCCTGAAGAGTGTTTTCCAACTTGGTTCCATTCCCCCCTTCACTTTCAGGTACACCAATCAGACGTAGATTTTGTCTTTCCACATAGTCCCATATTTCTTAGAGGCTTTGTTTCTTTTTACTCTTTTTTCTCTAAACTTCTCTTCTCACTTCATTTCATTCATTTGATCTTCAATCACTGATACCCTTTCTTCCACTTGAAGCTTGTACATGTGTCACATAATTCTCGTGCCATGGTTTTCTGCTCCATCAGGTCATTTAAGGTCTTCTCTACACTGTTTATTCTAGTTAGCCATTCATCTAATCTTTTTTCAAGGTTTTTAGGTTCTTTGCAATGGGTTCGAACATCCTCCTTTAGCTTGGAGAAGTTCGTTATTACCAATCGTCTGAAGGCTTCTTCTCTCAACTCGTCAAAGTCATTCTCTGTCCAGCTTTGTTCCATTTCTGGTGAGGAGCTGCATTCGTTTGGAGGAAAAGAGGCACTCTGATTTTTAGAATTTTCAGCTTTTCTGCTCTGGTTTCTCCCCATCTTTGTGGTTTTATCTACCTTTGGTCTTTCATGATGGTGATGTACAGATGGGGTTTTGGTGTGGATGTCCTTTCTGTTTGTTAGTTTTCCTTCTAACAGTCAGGCCCTCAGCTGCAGGTCTGTTGGAGTTTGCTGGAGGTCCACTTCAGACCCTGTTTGCCTGGGTATCACCAGCGGAGGCTGCAGAACAGCAAATGTTGCTGCCTGATCCTTCCTCTGGAAGCTTCGTCTCAGAGGGGCACCCAGCTGTATGAGGTGTCAGTCGGCCCTTACTGGTAGGTGTCTCCCAGTTAGGCTACTCGGGCGTCAGGGACCAACTTGAGGAGGCAGTCTGTCCGTTCTCAGATCTCAAACTCTGTGCTGAGAAAACTACTACTCTTTTCAAAGCTGTCAGACAGGGACGTTTAAGTCTGCAGAAGTTTCTGCTGCCTTCTATTCCACTATGCTCTGCCCCCAGAGGTGGAGTCTGCAGAGGCAGTCAGGCCTCCTTGAGCTGCTGTGGGCTCCACCCAGTTCGAGCTTCCCAGCCCCTTTGTTTACCTACTCAAGCCTCAGCAATGGCAGATGCCCCTCCCCCAGCCTTGCTGCTGCCTTGCAGTTCCATCTCAGACTGCTGTGCTAGCAGTGAGCGAGGCTCCGTGGGCATGGGACCCTCTGAGCCAGGCACGGGATATAATCTCCTGGTGTGCTGTTTGCTAAGACCATTGGAAAAGCACAGTATTAGGGTGGGAGTGTCCCGATTTTCCAGGTATGATCTGTCATGGCTTCACTTGGCTAGGAAAGGGAATTCCCCGACCCCTTGCACTTCCCAGGTGAGGCAATGCCCTGCCCTGCTTCAGCTCACACTCCG